>NC_000016.10:34584622-35184622 GCF_000001405.40 Homo sapiens
AATGGAATCGAGTGGAATCATCGTATATACTGGAATGGTAACATCGAATGGAATCGAATGGAATCATCAAATGGATTTGAATGGAATAGTCATCAAATGGAATCAAGTGGAATGATCGAATGGACTGGAATGGAATCATCATCGAATGGATTTGAATGGAATCATCGAATACACTCGAATGGAATCTTCATCGATAGGAAATGAATGGAATCATCAAATGGACACGAATGGAATCATTGTCGAATGGAATCATATGGAATCATCAAATGGACTCGAATGCAATCATCGAATGAACTCGAATGGAATCATCATGGAATGGAATCGAATAGAATCATTGAATGGACTCGAATGTAGTGATCAAAAGGACTCGAAAGGCATTAACGAATGGACTCGAATGGAATCATTGAATGGACCCTAATGGAATCATCATCAAATGGAAAAGAATGGAATCATCAAATGGACTCGAATGGAATCATCAAATGGACTCAAATGGAATCACTGAACGGAGTCGAATGGAATCATCATTGAATGGAATCAATTGGAATCATTGAATAAAATCGAATGGAATCTCCTAATGGAATCTAACGGAATAATCATCGAATGGAATCAAATGGAATCAACGAGTGGATTCGATAGCCATAATCATTGAATGGAATCAATTGGAATCATCATTGAATGGAATAGAATGGAATCTTTGAATACACACGAATGGAATAATCATCAAAAGGAAAGGAATACAATCATCAAATGGACTCGAATGTAATCATCATCAAATGAAATTGAATGGAGTCATCGAATGTCATCGAATTGAATCATCACCAAATTGAATCGAATGGAATCATCGAATGGAGTGAAATGGAATCATCATCGAAGGGAATGGAATAGAATCATCCAATTGACTCGAAAGAATCATCATCGAAGGGAATTGAAAGGAATTATCAAATGGAATACATGAGAAACATCATCAAATGGAATCGAATGGAATCATCATCGAAAGGAATCCAATGGAATAATCATCAAATGGATTCCTACGGAATCATAATCGAATGGAATTCAAAGGAATCATCATCGAAGGGAATCGAATGCAACAATCGAATGGAATCTAATGGAATCATCATCGAATGGAATCGACCGGAATCATCGAATGGAATAGAAGAGAATCATCATTGAATGGAATCGAATGGAATCGTCAATGAATGGAATCGAATGGAATAATCAGCGAATGGATTCATACGGAATCATCATCAAGTGGAATTGAATGGAATCATCTTCGAATGGAATTGAATGTAATCATCATCAAATGGAATCAAATGGAATCATCGAATGTACTCGAATGGAGTCATCATCGAATGGAATTGAAAGGATTCATTGAATGGACATGAATGGAATCATCATTGAATGGAATCGAATGGAATGATCATTTGGACTCCAATGGAATCATCGAATGGACTTGAATGGAATCATCATTGAAATGAATCAAGTGAAATCATCATCAGATGGAATCAAATGGAATCATCACTGAATGGAATCAAATGGAATCATCGAAGGGAAAGACATGGAATCATCGTCGAATGGAATCAAATAGAAGCATTGAATGAAATCGAATGGATTCATAATAGAACAGAACTGAATTGAATCATCATCGAATGGACTCAAATGGAAACATCGTCAAATGGAATCGAAAGGAATCATCATTGAATGGAGTCGAATGGAATCATCAATGAATGGAATCGAATGGAATCATCATCGTATGGAATCGAATGGAATCATCATCATATGGAATCAAATGGAATCATCGAATGGACACGAATGGAATAATTGTCAAATGGAATCAAGTGGATCATCGAATAGAAACTAATGGAATCATTGTTGAAAGAAATGGAATGGAATCATTGAATGGAATTGAGTGGAATCACCAATGAATGGAATCGAATGGAATCATCATCAAATGGAATAGAATGGAATAATGGAATGGACACGAATGGAAACCTGTGGAACCATAGAATGAACACGAAATGAATCATAATCGAATGCAATCGAAAGGAATCATCATTGAATGCAATCACATGGAATCATCACAGAATGGAATCGTACGGAACCATCATCGAATGGAATTGAATGGACTCATCAATTGGACTCGAATGGAAACATCAAATGGAATCGATTGTAAGTGTCGAATGGACTCGAATGAAATCATCATCGAGTGGAATCGAATGGAATCATCGAAAGGACTCGAATCAAATCCTAAAATGGACTCGAATGGAATCATCGAATGCACTCCAATGGAATCAATATCGAATGGACCCTAACGGAATGATCAAATGGACTCGAATGGAATCATTGAATGAAATGAATGGAATCATTGATTGGACTCAAATGGAATTATCGAACAGGCTCAAATGGAATCATCGAATGGACTCGGATGTAATCATTATCGAATGGAATCAAATGGAATTAATGAATGGAATTGAAAGGAATCATCTTCGAATGAAATCAAATAGAAGCATCGAATGAAATCGAATGGAATCGGAGAATGGATTCAGATGGAATCATCATCAAATGGAATCGAATAGAAGGATTGAATGAAATCAAATGGAATTATCATCCAACGGACTCGTATGGAATCATCATCGAATTGACTCATATGGAATCATCGTCGAATGGATACCAATGGAATCATCATCGAATGGATTCGAATGGAAACATCATCTAATTGAATCAAATAGAATCATTATGGAATTGAATCAAATTGCTCACCGTCGAATGGAATCAAATGGAATCACCGAATGGAATCGAATGGAATCATCATTGAATGGAATCAAATGGAGTCATCGTCGAATGGAATAAAATGGAATCATCCAATGGAAGAGAATTGAATCATCATCGAATGGAATGGAATAGAATCATCAAATGAAATCGAATGGAATCATCATTGAATAGAATCGAATAGAATCAACATCAAATGGAATCAAATGGAATCATCATCGAATGGAATCGAATGGAATCATCAAATGCACTCGAATGCAATTATCGAATGGACTTGAATGAAATCACCTTTGAATGGAATCAAAGGGAATGATCGAAAGGAATCGAATGCCATCATCATCGAATGGAATAGAAAGGAATCATCGAATGGAATTGAATGGAATCACCATTGAATGGACTTGAATGGAATCATCATCGTATGGAATCGAATGGAATCATCATCATATGGAATCAAATGGAATCATCGAATGGACACGAATGGAATAATTGTCAAATGGAATCAAGTGGATCATCGAATAGAAACTAATGGAATCATTGTTGAAAGAAATGGAATGGAATCATTGAATGGAATTGAGTGGAATCACCAATGAATGGAATCGAATGGAATCATCATCAAATGGAGTCCAGAGGAATCACTGAATTGAATGGAATTATCATTGAATGGAATCGAATAGAATCATCGCATGGAATCAAATGGAATTATCATCAAATGGAATCGAATGATATCATCGAATGCACTTGAATGGAAGCATCAACGAATGGAATTGAATGGTATCATCGAATGGACTCGAATGGAATCATCTTCGAGTAGAATCTAAAGGATTCACTAAGTGGACTCCAATGGAATAATCATCAAATGGAATCGAGTGGAATCATCCAATATAATAGAATTGAATCACCATCGAATGGAATCGAATAGAATCATCGAATGAACTCAAATGGAATCATCATCGAATGGAATCAAATTGTCAATGAACGGAATGGAATGGAATCATAGAACGGAATCCAATGTAATAATCATTGAATTGAACCCAATGGAATCATTAAATGGACTCGAATGGACCCATCGAACGGACTCGAATGGAATCATCATCGAATGGAATAGAATGGAATCATCGAATGGAAACGAATGGAATCATCATCGAATGAAATCAAATGGAATGATCATATGGACTCGAATGGAATCATCATCGACTGGAACAGAATGGAATCATCGAATGGACTCGAATGGAATCATCATCGAATTGAATTCAAAGAAATCATCAAATGGACTTGAATGGAATCATGGAATGGACTCGAATGGAATCATCAACGAATGAAATCGAATGGAATCACCAAATGGTCATGAATGGAATCGAATGGAATAATCAGAGAATGGATTCTTACAGAATCATCATCGAATGGAATTGAATGGAATCATCTTCGAATGGAATTGAATGGAATCATCATCAAATGGAATCAAATGGAATCATCGAATGTACTCGAATGGAGTCATCATCGAATGGAATTGAATGGATTCATCGAATGAACATGAATGGAATCATCATTGAATGGAATCGAATGGAATGATCGTTTGGACTCCAATGGAAGCATCGAATGGACATGAATGGAATCATCATTGAAAGGAATCAAGTGAAATCATCATCAGATGGAATCAAATGGAATCATCGAAGGGAGAGAGATGGAATCATTCGAATCTATTCCATGATGATTCCTTTCGATTCCATTCGCTGATGTTTCCGTTCAATTCCATTCGATGATGATTCCATTCGATTCCATTCATTGAGGATTCCATTTGATTCCATTCAATGATGATTCCATTCTATTCCATTAAATGATTGCTTTCCATTCCATTCAACGATTTTCCCATTAGGGTAAATTCAACGATTATTTTCAATACCATGCGATGATGATTCCTTTTGAGTCCATTCAATGATTTCATTCAAGTCCATTTGATGATTCCTTTCATTCCATTCTATGATGATTCCATTCGAGTCCATTCCATGATTCCATTCGATTGCATTCGATGATTCCATTATATTCCATTCAACGATGATTCTACTCGAGTCCATTCGATGATTCCATTAGAGTACATTTAATGATTGCTTTGTTTTCAATTCGAAGATGATTACATTGGATTCCATTCTATGATTCCATTCGATTCCATTCATTGATGATTCCACCCGATTCCATTCGATGATGATTCCATTCGATTTCTTTCAATGTTTCTACTCGATTCCATTCAATGATGATTCAATTCTATTCCATTCGATGATTCCATTAGGTTCCATTCTATGATCATTCCATTCGAGTCCATTCGAAGATTCCATTCGATTACATTAAATGACGATTCCATTCGAGTCCATTCGATGATTCCATTTGAATCCATTCGACAATGATTCCATTTGATGCTATTCGATGATTCCATTGGATTCCATTCGATGATGATTCCATTCGACTTGATTCGATGATTCTATTTGAGTCCATTCGGTTATTTTATTAGACTACATTCGATGATGATTCCATTCGATACCATTCAATGATTCCATTTGATTCCACTCAATGATGATTGCATTCGTGTCCATTCGATGATTCCATTTGGTTCCATTTGATGATGATTCCATTCGAGTCCATTCGATGATACCATTCAATTCCATTCGATGATCATTCCATTCGAATCCATTTGATGATTCCACTCAATTCCATTTGATGACTCCATTCATTCCCATTCGATGATTCCCTTCAATTCCATTCGATGATCTTTCCATTTGATTCAATATGGTGACTCCATTCTATTATATTCAATGATGATTCCATTCGACTCCATTAGATGATGACTCCATTCCATTCCATTCGATTGTGATTTCATTCGATTCCATTCGAAGATGATTCCATTCGAGTCCATTTGATGATTCCATTCGATTCCATTCAATGATGATTCCACTCAAATCCATTGGATGATTCCATTCGTGTCCATTCGGTGATTTCATTAGATTCCATTCGAGGATGATTCCATTCCATTCCATTCGATGATTCCATTCAATTCCATTCGATGATGATTCCATTCGAGTCCATTCAATGATTACATTGGATTCCGTTTGATAATGATTCCATTAGAGTTCATTCGATGATTCCCTTCGAGTCCATTCGATTATTCCTTTTGATTCCATTTGATGATGATTCCATTCGAATCCATTCAATGATTCCATTCCATTACATTCGATAATGATTGCATTCAAGCCCATGTGATGATTCCATTAGATTCTATTCAATGATGATTCCATTCGACCACATTCGATGATGGCATTCGAGTCCATTCGATGATTTCACTCGATTCCACTTGATGATGATTCCTTTTGAGTCCATTTGATGATTACATTCGAGTCCATGAGATCACTCCATTCGATTCCGTTTAATGATGATGCAATTCGAGGCTATTCAATCATCCCATTTTAGTGCATTTGGTGATTCTCTTTTATTACATTCCATGAGGGCTCCATTCGAGTCCATTCAATGATTCCATTAGATTCCGTTCGATGATGATTCCATTTGAGTCCATTCAAAGATTCCTTTCGAGTCCATTCGATAATTCTATTGGATTCCACTAGGTGATGATTCCTTTCGAGTCAATTCGATGATTCCTTTCAAGTGCCTTCAATCATTCCATTCGATTCCATTTGATGACAATTCATTTCAAGTCCATTCAATGGTTCCATTCTGTTGAATTTGATGGTTCCATTTGATTCCATTCGATGATGATTCTATTCGTGTCCATTGGACGATTCCATTCGATTCCTTTTGAGGAAAATTCCATTCGATGATGATTCCATTCGTGTCCATTGGACGATTCCATTCGATTCCTTTCGAGGAAGATTCCATTTGACTCTATTCAATGATTCCGTTCGATTCCATTCCGTGATGATTCCATTTGAGTCCATTCGATGATTCCATTCGATACCATTCGATGATTATTCAGTTCGACTCCATTTGATGAATCCATTCAATGCTTCCATTCGAGTCCATTCGATGATTCCATTCGATTCCTTTCGATGAAGATTCCATACGTGTACATTTGATGATTTCATTTAATTCCATAGGATGATGATTCTATTAGGGTCCGTTGACTATCCCATTCAATTCCATTCGAAGATTCCATTCGAGTCCACTCGATGTTTCTATTTGATTCCATTTGATAATTCCATTCGATTCCATTTGATGTTGATTCCATTCGAGTCCATTCGATCATTATTACATTTGATTCTATTCGATGATTCCATTCGATTCCATTTGATGAGGATTCCATTCGAGACCATTTGATGATTCCATTCAATTCATTTGATGATGATTCCATTCAATTCCATTGGATGATTCCAATATTTTCCATTAGATGATGATTCCATTCGATTCCATTCAATGATGATTCCATCAGAATCCATTCGATGATGACTCCTTTTGCTTCCATTCAAAGATCATTACATTCGGTTCCATTCGATGATGATTCCTTTGGATTCCATTCGATGATGCTTCCATTCGATTCCATTTGAAGATGATTCTTTTCGATTCCATTTGATGATGATTCCATTTGATTCCACTCAATGGTGATTCCATTTGATTCCATTTGATGATTCCATTCGATTGTATTCGATGATGATTCCACTCGATTCTATTTGATGATGACTGCATTCGATTCCATTTGATGATTCCATTTGATTCCATTCGATGATGATTCTGATCAATTGCATTCGATGATCCATTCGATTCCATTTGATGGTTCCATTTGATTCCATTCGATGATGATTCTGATCAATTGCATTCGATGATTCCTTTCGAGTCCATTCGATGATTCCATTTGCGGATATTCGATAATTCCATTTGAGTCCAATCGATGATTCCATTCGAGACCATTCAATCATTCTTTTGGAGTCCTTTCGATAAAGATTCCATTTTAGTCCATTCAATATTTCCACTGGAGTCCATTCGATGATTGCTTTTAATTCCATTCGATGATATTCCATCCGAGTCCATTCGATGATTCCATTCGTTGCTATTAGATGATGATTCCATTCATGACCATTTGGTGATTCCATTCGATTTCATTCGTTGATGATTCCATTCGAGTCCATTCCATGATTCCATTCAAGTCCATTTGATGATTTCTTTGAATTCAATTCGATGATGATTCCATTCGAGTCCATTCGATGATTCCATTCAGTTCCATTCGATGATGATTCCATTCGAGTCCATATGATGATTCCATTTGATTTCATTCAATGATGATTCCATTCGATTCCATTCAATGATTCCATTCTATTCCATTCGATGATGATTCCATTCGAGTCCATTCGATGATTCCATTCGAGTCCATTTAATGATTCCATTGGGTTCAATTCAATGATGATTACATTGGATTCCATTCTATGATTCCATTCAATTCCGTTCATTGACAATTTGATTCCATTCGATGATGATTCCATTTGAGTTCATTCGATGATTCTGTGCGATTCTCTTCGATGGTGATTCCATTCTATTATATTGGATGATTCCATTCGATTCCATTTGATGTTGATTCAATTCGATTGTATTCGATGATGATTCCATTGGATTTCATTTGATGATTCTATTCGATTCCATTCAATGATGATTCACTTCTCGGCCATTGGATGATTCCATTTCATTCCATTCGATGATGATTCCATTCAATTCCATTCGATGATTCCATTTGATTCCATGCGACGGTGAGCAATTCGATTCAATTCCATGATGATTCTATTTGATTCAATTAGATGATGTTTCCATTCCAATCCATTCCATGATTATTCCATTGGAATCCATTCGGCGATGATTCCATATGAGTCAATTCAATGATGATTCCATATGGGTCCGTTCGATGATAATTCCATTTGATTTCATTCGATGCTTCTGTTCAATTCCAGTCGATGATGAGTCCGTTGGAGTCCATACGATGATTCCATTTGATTTCATTTGATGATGATTCCATTCGATTCCATTCGATGACTCCATTCTGTTCCATTCGATGATGATTCCATTCGAGTCCATTCGATGATTCCATTCGAGTCCATTTAATGATTCCATTGGGTTCAATTCGATGATGATTACATTGGATTCCATTCTATGATTCCATTCAATTCCATTCGTTGATGATTCGATTCCATTCAATGATGATTCCATTTGAGTTCATTCGATGATTCTATTCGATTCCGTTCGATGGTGATTCAATTCTATTATATTGGATGATTCCATTCGATTCCATTTGATGATGATTCCATTCGATTCCATTCGATGATGATTCCATTTGTTTCCATTTGATGTTGATTCCATTCGATTCTATTCAATGGTGATTCCATTCGATTTCATTTGATGATTCTATTAGATTCCTTTCGATGATTTTATTCGTTTCCATTCAATGATGATTCAATTCTCTTCCATTGGATGATTCCATTTTATTCCATTCGATGATGACTCCATTTGATTCCATTCAATGATGATTCCATTGGATTCCATTCGGTGATTCCATTTGATTCCATTCGGCGGTGAGCAATTCGATTCAATTCCATGATGATTCTATTTGATTCAATTAGATGATGTTTCCATTCGAATCCATTCGATGATGATTCCATTGGTATCCATTCTACGATGATTCCATATGAGTCAATTCGATGATGATTCCATACGGGTCCATTGGATGATAATTCCATTTGATTTCATTCAATGCTTCTATTCGATTCCATTTGATGATGATTCCATCTGAATCCATTCTCCGATTCCATTCGATTTCATTCGATGCTTCTATTTGATTTCATTCGAAGATGATTCCTTTCAATTCCATTCATTAATTCCATTTGTTTCCATTCGATGATGATTCCATCTGATTCCATTGGATGATGATTCCATTCAAGTCCATTCGATGATTCTGTTCTATTCCATTCTATGATTCCATTCGAGTCCATTCGATGATTCCATTCGATTCCATTCAGTGATGATTCCATTTGATTCCATCTGATCATGATTTCATTTGATTCCATTCGATGATTATTCCATTGGAGTCCATTGAATGATTCAATTCAATTCCATTCTATGTGGATTCCATCCGAATTCATTCGATTATTCCATTCAAATCCCTTCGTTGATTCCATCTGATTCCACTTGACGATGATTCCATTCAAGTCCAATCGATGATTCCATTCGGTTCCATTCAATGATTCCATTCGAGTCCATTTATGTATTGTATTCGTGTCCACTTGATGATTCCATTCAATTCCATTTAATGATGATTCCATTTGATTCCATCTGATGATGATTTCACTTGATTCCTTTCAATGATGATTCCATTCAATTGCATTCGATGATGATTCCGTACGATTCCATTCTGTGATGATTCCATGTGATTGCATTCAATGATGATTCCTTTCGATTGCATTCGATTATGATTCATTTTGTGTTCATTCTATGGTTCCACCGGTTTCCGTTCGATGACGTTTCCATTCGTGTCCATTCCATTATTCCATTCTATTCCATTTGACGATGATTCCATTCTATTCCATTCATTGGTGATTCCACTCAATTCCATTCAAAGATTCCATTCCATTTCTTTCAACAATGATTCCATTAGTTTCTATTCGATGATCCACTTGATTCCATTTGGCGATGATTCCATTCGTGTCCATTCGATGATTCCATTTGATTCCATATGATGATGATTCCATTCGATTCCATACGATGATGATTCCATTCGAGTCCATTCAACGGTGATTCCATTCAATTCCATTCGATGATTCCTTTCGATTCCATTCGATGATGATGGCATTCGATTCCTTTCAATCATTCCCTTTGATTCCATTCAAAGGTGATTTCATTCAAGTCCATTTGATAATTGCATTCGATTCTATTCTATGATGATTCCATTCGAGTCCATTTGATGATTCCATTCAATTCAAGTCAATGATGATTCCATTCGATTCCATTCCATGATTCCATTGGATTCCATTCGATGATGATTCCATTCAAATCCATTCGATAATTCAATTCAAGTCCATTCGATCTTGATTCCAATCGAATCCATTCAAAGATTCCATTCAATTCCATTCGACGATGATTCCCTTAGATTCCATTCGATGATTCCACTTGATTCCATTTACGATGATTCCATTCGATTCCATGTGATGATTCCATTCAATTCTATTCAATGATGTTTCCATTTGATTCCATTCGATCATGATTGCCTTTGATTCCATTCAATGATTCCATTCGGTTCCGTTTGATGATGATTCCGTTCGATTCCATTTGATGATTCCATTTGATTCCATTGGATGAGTCCATTAGATTACATTCGATGATTATTCCATTCGAGTGCATTAGATGATTCCATTCGAGTCCATTCGATGATTCCATTTGATTCCATTCGATGTTGATTCTGTTCAAATCCATTCGATGATTCCACTCGATTCCATTCGATGACTCCACTTGATCCCATTCGATGATTTCCTTTGATTCCCTTTGATGATCATTCCATTTGATTCAATTCGGTGATTTCATTTGATTCCATTCAGTGATGATTCCATTTGATTCCATCTGATGATGATTTCACTTGATTCCTTTCAATGATGATTCCATTCAAGTCCATTCGGTGATTACATTGGAGTCCAAACCATCATTCCTTTCGATTCCATTCAATGGTGATTCCATTCATGTCCATTCGATGAATCCATTCAATTCCATTCGATGATGACTCCATTCGAGTACATTCGATGATTCCATTTGATTCCATTTGATGATGATTCCATTCGATTCCATTTGATGAAGATTCCATTCGAGACCATTTGATGATTCCATTCAATTCATTTGATGATGATTCCATTCAATTCCATTGGATGATTCCAATATTTTCCATTAGATGATGATTCCATTCGAGTCCATTCAATGATGATCACTTTCGATTTCATTCCATAATTCTATTTGATTCCATTCGATGATGATTCCATCTGATTCCATTTGATGATACCATTCGATTCCATTCGATGATGATTCCATTCGAGTCCATTCGATGATTCCATTCAATTCCATTCGATGATGATTGCATTCGAGTCCATGGATTATTCCATTCCATTCTATTCAATGATTCCATTAGAGTCCATTCGATGATTCTCTTGAATTCCGTTTGGTAATTCCATTTGATTCCGTTTGAGGTTGATTACATTCGAGTCCATTCGATGATAATTCCATTCGATTCTATGTGATGATTCCATTCGATTCCATTCGATTCCATTTGAAGATGATTCCATTCGAGAACATTCGATTATTCCATTCAATTCATTCATTGATGATTCCACTCAATTTCATTTGATGATTCCATTAGATTCCATTTGATGATGATTCCATTCAATTCCATTCTATGATGATTCCATGCGATTCCATTCGATGATGCCTCCTTTCGTTTCCATTCGATGATGATTCCATTTGGTTCCATTCAATGATGTTTCCTTTGGATTCCATTTGATGACGATTCCACTCAATTCTAATTGACGGTGATTCTTTTCGATTCCATTCAATGATGATTCCATTCGATTCCATTTGATCATGATTCCATTCGATTCCAATCGATGATTCCATTCGATTCCATTCAATGATGACTCCATTCGAGATCATTGATTATTCCATTCCATTCCATTTGATGATTCCATTCGAGTCCATTCGATGATTCTATTCGATACCATTCGATAATTCCATTTGATTCCATTTGATGATAATTCCATTCAAGACCATTAGATGATTATTCCATTCGATTCTGTTTGGTGATTCCATTCGATTCCATTTGATAATGATTCCATTCGCGACCATTCGATGATTCCATTCAATTCATTTGATGATGATTCCATTCAATTCCATTCGATGATTCCATTCGACTCCATTTGATGATGATTCCATTCGATTCCATTCGATGATGATTCCATGCAATTCCTTTCGATGATGACTTTTTTCGGTTCCATTTGATGATGATTCCATTCGATTCCACTCGATGATGATTCCTTTGGATTCCATTCAATGATGATTCCTTTCGACTCCATTTGATGTTGATTCTTTTCTATTCCATTCGATGATGATTCCATTTGATGCCATTTGATGATGATTCCATTCGATTCCATTCGAGTATTCCATCCGATTCCATACCATGATGATTCCATTCGAGTCCATTCAAAGATTCCATTCAATTCCATTCGATGATGATTCCATTCGATTCCATTCAATTGTTCTGTTTGATTCCTTTTTATGATTATTCCATTGGAGTCCATTCGGTGATTCATTTTGATTCCAATTGAAGATGATTCCATTCGATTCCATTCATTGATACCATTCTATACCATTCATTTTTGATTCCATTTGAGTGCATTCCATGATACCATTCGATCTCATTCAGTGATGAATCCATTCGATTTCACTCGATGATTCCATTCAATTCCATTCTATGATGATTCCATTGGATTCCATTTGATGATTCCATTTGACTCCATTTGACGATGATTCCATTCAATGATTCCATTCGAGTCTATTCAATGATGATTCCTTTTGATATCATTTGATACTGATTCCATTCAATTCCATTCGATTATTCCATTTGATTCCATTTGATGATTCTATTCAATTACATTTGAGGATGATTCCATTTGATTCCATTCGATTATTCCATTCGATTCCATTTGATGATGACTGCATTCACTTCCATTTGATGATTACTTTTGATTCCATTCGATTATTATTGCAGTCAATTATGTACGATGATTCCTTTCTATTCCATTCTATGATTCCATTTGATTCCATTCGATAATGATTCCATTCGATTCCATTAGATGATTCCATTCGAGCCCATTTGATAATTCCATTTGAGTCCAATCCATGATTCTTTTCGAGTCCATTCGGTAATTCCATTTGAGTCTATTCGATGATGATTCCATTCATGTCCATTTGATAATTCTTTTTGAGTCCATTCGATGATGATTCCATTTGAGTCCATTCGATGATTCCATTCGATTACATTTGATGATGATTCCATTCGAGTCCATTTGATGATTCCATTTGATTTCATTCGATGATGATTCCATTTCATTCTATTGAATGATTCCATTCTATTCCATTTGATGATGATTCCTTTCGAGTCCATTCAATGATTCCATTCGTGTCCATTTAATGATTCCATTGAGTTCAATACGATGATGATTACATTGGCTTCCATTCTTTGATTCCATTCGATTCCTTTCATTGATGATTCCATTCGATTCCATCTGATGATGATTCCATTCGATTTCATTCGATGATTATATTTGATTCCATTCAATGAAGATTCAATTCTATTACATTGGATGATTCCATTTGATTCCATTCGATGATGATTCCATTCGATGATGATTCCATTCGATTCCATTCGATGATGATTCCATTTAATTACACTGGATGATTAATCCATTAGGTTCCATTCGATGATGAATCCATTCTATTCCATTTGATGAAGATTCCATTCAATTTCATTTGATGATTCCATTCAATCCCATTCGATGATGATTCCATTATATTCCATTGGATGATTCCATTCTATCCCATTTGATGATGATCCCATTCGATTCCATTCGATGATGATTCCATTTGATCACATTTGATGATGATTCCATTCTATTCCATTTGATGATTCCATTCTATTCCATTCGATGACGATTCCATTCACTTGCATTCAATGATGATTTGAATTGAGTCCATTCAAAGATTCCATTCGATTCCAATCGATCATGAATCCATTTGTGTCCATTCAATGATTCTATTCCATTCCATTCCTTGATGATTCAATTCGATGCCATTCAATGATTACATTTGATTCCATTCGTTGATGATTCCATTCAAGTCCATTCTCTGATTCCATTAGATTCCATTTGAAGATGATTCCATTTGAGTCCATTCGATGATTCCATTCAATTCCATTCGATGATGATTCCATTCAAGTACATTCGATGATATCATTCGATTCCATTCGGTGATGATTCCATTCGAGTCCATTAGATAATTCCATTCGAGTCCATTTGATTATTCCCTTAGATACCATTCTTTGATGATTCTATTCGATGCCATTCGATGATTCCATTTGGTTCCAGTTGATGATATTTCCATTTGAGTACATTCGATGATTCCATTGGATTCCATTCAATGATGATTCCTTTCGTGTTCATTCAATGATTCCATTTTATTCCATTCAATGATGATTCCACTGGAGTCCATTCGATGATTCCATTAGATTCCATTCGATGATTATTTCATTCGTGTCCGTTAGATGATTCCATTTGATTCCATTCTATGATTCCTTTTGATCCCATTTGATGATTTCTTTTTATTCCATTCAATGATCACTCCATTCAATTCAGTGATCCCATTGGATTCCATTCGATTGTGATTCCATTAGATTTCACTCCATGATGGTTCCATTCAGTTCCATATGATGATGACTCCATTAGATTCCATTCGGTGATTCCATGCGATTCCATTTGTTGACGATTCCATTCGGTTCCATTCAATGATGATTCCATTAGATTCCATTCGATGATTCCATTCGATTGCATTCCATGATGATTCCATTCGATTCCATTCAATGGTGATACCATTTGGATACATTGGATGATTCCATTCAATTGCATTCGATGATGATTCCATTCGAGTACATTCAATGATTCCATTCAAGTCCATTGGATGATTTCTTTCGATTCCATTCGATGATGATTCCATTCCAGTACATTCAATGGTTCCATTCAAGTCCATTGGTTGATTCCTTTCGATTATATTCGATGGTGATTCCATCCGAGTCCATTTGATGATTCCATTCAAGTCCATTCTATGATTCCATCTGTTTCCATTCGATGATGATTACATTCGAGCCCATTCGATGATTCCATTCAATTCCTTTCCATGATGATGCCATTGAAGCACAGTTGATGATTGCATTCGTGTCCATTTGATGATTCCATTCGATTCCATTTGATTACAATTCCATTCAGTTCCATTCGATGATGATTCCGTTCGATTCCATTCAATGATGATTCCATTTGATTTCATTGGATGATTCTATTTGTTTCCATTCAATGATGATTCCATTCTGTTCCATGCGACGATTCCATTTGATTCCATTCAATGACAATTCTATTCGATTCGATTTCATGATGATTCCATTCAATTACATTCGGTGATGATTCCATTTGTGTCCATTCGATGTTTCCATTAGATTCCATTCGATGATTATTTCATTCGTGTCCGTTAGATGATTCCATTTGATTCCATTCGATGATGATTCCATTTTGTGCCATTCAATTATTCCATTTGATATCATTCAATGATGATTCCACTGATTTCTTTTGATGGTTCCTTTCCATCCCATTCGATGAGTATTCCATATGAGTCTATTCGATGATTCCATCCGATTCCATTCGATGATTACTCCATTCGTGTCCATTCCATGATTTAATGCAATTTCGTTTGATGATTATTACATTCGATTGTATTCGATGATTCCATTCGATTCCATTTGGTGATGATTCCATTCGAGTCCATTCAATGTTTCCATTCGAGTACATTTGATTATTACTTTCGATTCCATTTGATGATGATTCCATTAGAGTCTATTCGATGATACCATTTGATTCCACTTGATGGTGATTCCATTCGAGTCCATTCAGTGATTCCATTCAAGTCCATTTGCTGATTCATTTTGATTCCATTTGATGATGCTTCGAATCGAGACCATTCAATGATTCCATTTGATTTCATTCGATGATGATTTCATTCGATTCTGTCCCATGATTCCATTCTATTCCATTCAATGATGATTCCATTTGAGTCCATTCAATGATTCCATTTGACTCCATGTAATGATTCCATTGGGTTCAATTAGTCAAGATTACATTGGATTCCCTTCAATGATTCCATTCGATGCCATTCGTTGATTATTCAATTTGATTCCTTTCAATGATGATTCCATTTGTTTCCATTCTTTGATGATTCCATTTGATTCCATTCGATGATGTTTTGATTTGATTCCATTCGATGATGATTCCATTCGATTTCATTTGATGATTCTATTCGATTCCATTCGATGTTGATTCAATTCTATTCCATTCGAGGATTCCATTTGATTCCATTTGATGATGATTCCATTTGATTCCATTTGGTGATGATTCCCTTCGATTGCATTCGATGATTATTCCATTCAAGTGCATTCGAAGATTACATTCGATTCCATTCAATCATGATTCCATTCGAGTACATTCGAAGATTAGATTTGATACCATTAGATGATGATTCCGTTCGAGCCCATTCGATGATTCCATTCTATTCCATTTGATGATGATTCTGCTTGATTCCATTTGATGATAATTCCATTCGATTCCATTTGATGATGATTCCTTTGGATTTCATTTGATGATTCCATTTGTTTCCATTCAGAGATAATTATATTCTATTCCATTTGATGATTCCGTTCGGTTCCTTTCGATGAGTATTCTATAAGATTTCATTTGATGATGACTCCATTCGATTCCATTCCATAATGATTCAATTCGTGTCTATTCGATGTTTTCTTTCGATTCCATTTGATGATGTCTCCATTCGATTCCATTCCATAATGATTCAATTCGTGTCTATTCGATGTTTTCTTTCGATTCCATTCGACAATGATTCCATTCGAGTCCGTTAAATCATTCCAATTGATTCCATTCGATGATGATTCCATTCGATGATTCCTTCCTATTACATTCGATGATGATTCCATTCGAATTCATTTGATGATTCCTTTCCATTCGATGATGATTCTATTCGAGTCCGATCGATGATTCCATTCGATTCCATTCAACGATGATTCCGTTCGAGTCCATTTGATAATTCAATGCGATTTCATTCGATGACGATTATATTCAATTCTATTCAATGATTCCATTCAATTCCATTTGATGATGACTCCATTCGAGTCCATTCGATGATTCCATTCAATTCTATTCGAAGATGATTCCATTGGATTCCATTCCATGTTTCCATTCGATTCCATTCGGTGACCATTCCATTCAAGTCCATTCAATGATTCCATTTGATTTCATTCGATGATGATTCCATTTGAGTCTATTCGATGTTTGCATTCGAATCCATTTGATGATTGTTTCAATTATATTCGATGATGATTCCATTGGAGTCCATTCATTGTTTCCATTCGATTCCGTTCGATGATAATTCCATTCGGGTCCATTTGATGATTCCATTCGATTCCATTCGATGATGATTCCATTCGAGTCCATTCGATGAACCCATTTGATTCCATTTTATGATGATTTCATTCGGGTACAATAGATGATTGCATTCGATGATGTTTCTCTTGCAGTCCATTAGATGATTGCATTCAATTCCATTTGATGATGATTCCATTCTATTCAATTCTATGGTGATTCCATTCGGATCCATTTGATGATTCCTTTGGATACCATTCAATGATGATTCTATTCTATTCCATTCAATGATTATTCCATTCGTGTCCGATTGATGATTCCATTTGATTCCATTTGATGATGATTCCATTCTATTCCATTCGATGATGATTCCATTCGTGTAAATTAGATGATTCCATTCTATTCCATTCGATGATGATTCCATTCGATACCATTCAGTGATTACATTCAATTCCATTTGATGTTGATTCTATTCGATTTCATTCGGTCATTCTACTCGATTCCTTTTGATGATAATTCCATTTGATTCCATTTGATGATTCCATTTAATTACATTTGATGATGATTCCATTCGATTCTATTCTATGATTCCATTTGATTCTTTTCGATGATGATTCCATTTGAGTCCATTCGACTATTCCTTCTGATTCTATTTGGTGATGATTCCATTTGAGTCCATTCAATGGTGATTAAGTTTGATTCAATTCGATGATTCCATTCGATTCCATTCAATGATGATTGCCTTCTATTCCATTCATTGATTCCATTCGATTCCATTCAAAGATGATTCCATTCAATTCCATTCCATAATTCCATTCTATTCCATCTGATGATTCCAATGGATTCCATTTCATGATGATTCCTTTCGATTCCATACAATAATGCCAGTCAATTCCATTTGATGATGATTCCAATCGATTCCATTCAATGATGATTGCATTCAAGTCCATCCGATGACTCTTTTCAATTCCATTCTATAATTATTCCGTTCGAGTCCATTTGATGATTCGATTCAAATCCTATCAATGATTCCATTTGCTTCCATTCGAAGCTGATTTGGTTCGAGTCCATCTGACGTTTCCCTTTCGGTCCATTTGATGAATTCATTTGAGTCCAACTGATGATTCCATTCAATTCCACTCTATGATGATTCCGTATGTTTCCATTCGATGATGATTCCATGTGATTCCATTCGATGATGATTCTTTCAGTAACATTTGATTATGATTCATTTCTAGATCATTCGACGATTCCAAATGATTCCATTCAATGTTTACTCCATTTGAATCCATTTGATGATTCCATTCGATTCCATTCGATGATGATTCCATTCAAGTTCGTTCGATGACTCCATTCAATTCCATTCAACGAGAATTCCATTCTTGGCCAATCGATGATTCCATTCTATTCCATTTGATGATGATTCCATTGGAGTCCGTTCAATGATTGCAATCGATTCCATTCGAGGATGACTGCATTCAGTTCCCTTCGATGATTCCATTCAATTCCATACGCTGATTCCATTTGATTCCATGCAATGATGATTCCATTCGATTCCATTCCATGATACCATTCGATTCCATTTGATGATGATTCCATTCCAGACCATTCGATGATTCCATTCTAGTATCTTCATTGATTCCATCCAATTCAATTTGATCATGACTCCATTCGAGTCCTTTCGATGATTCCATTTGATTACATTCGATGAAGATTCCATTCGAATCCATTAAATGATTCCATTCGATTCCAAACATTGATGATTCCATTTGATTCCTTTCTATGATTCTACTCTATTCCATTCAATGAAGATTCTATTCGATTCCATTCTATGATTACATTCGATTTCATTTGATGATGAATCCATACGAGTCCATTTGATGATTCCATAAGATTCCATTTGACGATGATTCCATTCAAGTCCATTCAACGATTCCTTTCGTTTCTATTTGATGATGATTCCATTGGATTTCATTCAATGATTCCATTCGATTCCATTCGTTGTTGATTCCATTCAATTCCATTTGATGATGATTCGATTCGATTCCCTTCATTGATAATTCCATTGGATTCCATTCCATGATGATTTCATTCGACTCCATTCGATCATGATTCCATTCGATTTCTTTTGATGAAGCCATTGGATTCCATTCGATGATGATTCCATTCGTTTCCATTTGCTGATTCCATTCAATTCCATTCAATGATGATGCCATTCGATTCCATTTGATGATTCCATTTGATTCCATTCAACGATTCCATTCTATACCATTTAGTGAAGATTCCATTCGATTCTATCCAATGATGATTTCATTAGATTCATTTCGATGATGATTCCATTCGAGGCGATTCGATGATTCCTTAAGAATCCATTCGATGATGATTCAATTCAAGTCCATGGATGATTCCATTCGAGTCCCTTCGTTGATTCCATCTGATTCCATTTGATGATGATTCCATTCGAGTCCATTTGATGAATCCATTCGATTCCATTCGATGATTCCATTCGAGCCCATTCGATTATTCCATTTGAGTCCATTCAATGTTTCCATTCAATTCTATTCTGTGATGATTCCATTCGATTTTATCCGATGATGATTTCATTCGATTCCATTTGATGATGATTCCATTTGAGTCCATTCGATGATTCCATTCGAGCCCCTTCGTTGATTCCATACGATTCCATTAGATGATGATTCCATTACAGTCCAATTGATGATTCCATTTGATACCATTGATGATTCAATTCGAGCCATTCGATTATTCCATTTGTGTCCATTCGATGATTCCATTTGATCCCGTTCAATGATGATTCCATTCAATTCCAATTGATGATTCCGTTCAATTCCATTCGATGATTTCCTTCAATTTATTTCGATGATGCTTCCATTTCATTCCATTCGACGGTTCCATTCGATTCTATTAGATGATGATTCTTTTCAATTCCATTTGATGATGATTCCTTTCAATTCCACTTGATGATGATTCCATTCGAGTCCATTCAGTGATTCCATTCGATTCCATTCCATGATGATTCCATTCCATTCTATTCGATGATTCAATTTGATTCTGTTTGATGATGATTCCATTTTATTCCATTCTATGATGATTCCATTCGAGCCCATTCGATGATTTATTACGAATCCATTTGATGATTGCTTTTGATTATATTCGGTGATGATTCCATTCGAGTCCATTCAATGATTCCATTCGATTCCATTTTCTGATGATTCCATTTGAGTCCATTGGGTGATTCCAATCGATTCCATTTGATGATGATTCCATTCGACTCCATTCAATCATAGCATTTGATTTCATTTGATGATGATTGCATTGAATTCCATTCGATGATTCCATTCGAGTCCATTCTATGTTTCTGCTTGATTCCATTCGATGACACCATTCGATTCCATTCAATGATGATTCCATTCGAATCCATTCGATGATGATTCCATCCGGTTCAATTTGATGGTGAATCCATTGGATTCCATTTGATGATTCTATTCTATTCCATTCATTGATGATACCATTCGATTCCATTTGATGATGTTTCCATTCAATTCCCTTCTTTTATGATTCGGTTAGATTCCATTCAATGATGATTCCATTCGACTCCATTCAATGATAATTCCATTCGATGACATTCGACGGTTCCAGTCGATTCCATTCAATGATGATTCCATTCAATCCCATACGATGATTCCATTCGATTCCACTCTATGATGATTCCATTTGCTTTCATTCCATGATTCCATTCGATGATGAGCCATTTGATTAAATTCCATCAGGATTTTATTTGATTCAATTCAATGATGTTTCCATTCTATTCCATTAGATGATGATTCCATTCGATTCCATTTGATGATTCCATTCGAGTCCATTCGATGATGATTCCATTCGAGTCCGTTCGATGAAAATTCAATTCGATTTCTTTCGATGTTTCTATTTAATTCCATTCGATGATGATTCCATCAGATTCCATTCGATGATTCCATTCGATTCCATACAGGGATGATACCATTCGATTCCCTCCGATGATGATTTCGCTTGATTCCATTTGATGATAATTCCATTCGAGTCCATTCAGTGATTCCATTCGATTCCATTCCATGATGATTCCATTACATTCCATTCGATGATTCAATTTGATTCTGTTTGATGATGATTCCATTTTATTCCATTCTATGATGATTCCATTCGAGCCCATTCGATGATTTATTACGAATCCATTTGATGATTGCTTTTGATTATATTCGGTGATGATTCCATTCTAGTCCATTCAATGATGATTCCATTCAAGTCCATTTGATGATTCCATTTGATTCCATTATGTGATGATTCCATTTGAGTCCATTGGATGATTCCAATCGATTCCATTTGATGATGATTCCATTCGACTCCATTCAATCATAGCATTTGATTTCATTTGATGATGATTGCATTGAATTCCATTCGATGATTCCATTCGAGTCCATTCTATGTTTCTGCTTAATTCCATTCGATGACACCATTCGATTCCATTCAATGATGATTCCATTCGAATCCATTCGATGATGATTCCATCCGGTTCAATTTGATGGAGAATCCATTGGATTCCATTTGATGATTCTATTCTATTCCATTCGTTGATGATACCATTCCATTCCATTTGATGATGTTTCCATTCAATTCCCTTCTTTTATGATTCCGTTAGATTCCATTCAATGATGATTCCATTCGACTCCATTCAATGATGATTTCATTCGATGACATTTGACGGTTCCAGTCGATTCCATTCAAAGATGATTCCATTCAATCCCATACGATGATTCCATTCGATTCCACTCTATGATGATTCCATTTGCTTTCATTCCATGATTCCATTCGATGATGAGCCATTTGATTAAATTCCATCAGGATTTTATTTGATTCAATTCAATGATGTTTCCATTCTATTCCATTCGATGATGATTCCATTAGATTCCATTAGATGATTCCATTCGAGTCCATTCGATGATGATTCCATTCGAGTCCGTTCAATGAAAATTCAATTCGATTTCTTTCGATGCTTCTATTTGATTCCATTCGATGATGATTCCATCTCTTTCCCCTCGATGATTCCATTCGATTCCATTCAGTGATGTTTCCATTCGATTCCATCTGATGATGATTTCTTTTGATTCCTTTTGATGATGATTCCATTCAAGTCCATTCGATGATTCCATTAGAGTCCAATAAATCATTCCATTTGATTTCATTCGATGATTCCATTCGATTTCATTTGACGATGATTCCACTCGAGTCCATTTGATGATTCCATTCAATTACATTTGATGATGACTCCATTCGAGTTGATTCGATGATTCCATTCAATTCCATTCGATGATGATTCCATTCGAGTCCATTCGATGAATCCATTCGATTCCATTCGATGATGACTCCATTCGAGTACATTCAATGATTCCATTTGATTCCATTTGATAATGATTACATTCAATTCCATTCGAAGATGATTCCATTCAATTCCATTCGATGATGATTCCATACGAATCCATTCGATGATTATTCCATTTGATTCCATTCATTGACGATTCCATTCAATTCCATTCGATGATGATTATCTTCTATTCCATTAGATGATTCCGGTCGATTCCATTCGATGATGATTCCATTCGTGTCCATTCGATTGTTGCATTCGATTCCTTTCGATGATGATCCCATTCGATTCCATTCAATTATGATTCCATATGAATCCATTTGATGATTATTCCACTTGATTCCTTTCGATGATGATTCCGTCCGATTCCATTCAATGATGATTCTCTTCTCTTCCATTTGATGATTCTTTCGATTCCATTCGATGATGATTTTTTGAGTCCATTCGATGATTCTATTCCATTCCCTTCGATGATGATTCCATTCGAGGTCATTTGATGATTCCATCCGACTCAATTCGGTGATGTTTCAATTCAGTGACATTCGATGACTCCATTCAATTTCATTTGATGATGATTCCATTCAATTCAAATTGATGATTCCATTAGATTCCCTTCAATGATGATTATATTCGAGTCCATTTGATGATTCCATTCCTTTCCATTCAATGATGATTCCATTCGTGTCTATTCTAAGATTCCATTCAATTCCATTCAATGATGATTCCATTTGATTCCATTCAATGATCATTGCTATCAATTCCATTCGGTGATTCCATTCAATTCCATTCCTTGATTATTCCGTTAGATTCCATTAGATATTACGTTCTATTTTATTCGATGATTCCTTTCGATTCCATTCAATGGTGATTCCTTTAGACTCCATTTGATGATTCCATTTGAGTCCATTCAATGATTCCATTCGAGTCCATTTGACTATTCCAATCTTTTCCATTCGATGATGATTCCATTAGGGTCCATTTGATGCATCCATTCGAGTCCATTTGATTATTCCTTTCGAGTCCTTTTGATCACTCCATTCGAGTCCATTTGATGATTCTATTCAATTCCATTCGATGATGATTCCATCGAGTCCATTCTATGATTGCATTTGAGTACAATCAATGATTCCATATGATTCCATTCAATAATAATTCCATTCGTGTCCATTTGATGATTCCATTCATTTCCATTCGATGATGATTCCATTCGAGTGTATTCGATGATTCCATTGAAATCCATTTGATGATGATTCCATTCGAGTCCATTTGATCATTCCAATTGATTCCATTCAATGATTATTCCATTCGAATCCATTCGATGATTCCATTTTATTCCATTCGATGACACCATTTGAGTAAATTCAATGATGCCACTCGATTCCATTTGATGATTATTCCATTGGAGTCCACTTAGTGAATCCTGTAGATTCCACTCGAAGATGATTCCATTCGATTCCATTCGATGATACCATTCAATGAAGATGATTCCATTCGATTCCATTCGATGATACCATTCGATTCCATTCTTTGATGATTCCATTCAAGTGCATTCGATGACATCATTTGATTCCATTTGATAATGATTCCATTCAATTCTATTCGATGATTCTATTCGATTCCATTCAATGATGATTCAATTCCAGTCAATTCGATGCTTCCATTGGACTCCATTTGATGATGATTCCATTCAATGTTTCCATTCGATTCTATTCGATAATGATTCCATTCGATTCCATTTGGTGATTCCATTCGATTCCATTCGATGATGATTCCATTCTATTCTATTCGATGATGATTCCAGTCGATTCCATTCGATGATGATTGGATTTGATTCCATTCGATGATTTCATTTGCTTCCATTCGATGATTCTGATCAATTCCATTTGATGATTCCATTTGATTCCATTCGATAGTTATTACATTCAAGTCCATTCGGTGATTCCATTTGAGCCCATTTGATAATTCCATTTGAGTCCTATCAATGATTCAATTCATTTCCATTCAATGATTCCATTTCCGTCCATTTGATCGTTCCATTAGGGTCCTTTCGTTGATGATTCCATTGGAGTGCATTCAATGATTCCATTCGAGTCCATTTTATGATTCGATTCGAGTCCTTTCGATGATTCCATTCGATTCCATTCGATGATGATTCCATTCGAGTCCATTTGAAGCTTCCAATCGATTCCATTTGATGATTCCTTTCGAGTCCAATTGATGATTCCATTCAATTCCATTCCGTGATGATTCCGTACGATTCCATTCGGTGATGATTCCATGTGATTGCATTCAATGATGATTCCTTTCGATTCCATTCGATTATGATTCATTTCGTGTTCATTCCATGGTTCCACAGCTTTCCATTCAATGATTATTCCATTCGAGTACATTCCATGATTACATTCTATTCCATTCGATGATGATTCCATTCGATCCATTCAATGGTGATTCCATTCAATTCCATTCGATGATTCCATTCGATTCCATTTGATGACGATTGCATTCGATTCCTTTCGATGATTCCCTTAGATTCCATTCAAAGTTGATTCCATTCGAGTCCATTCAATAATTCCATTCGATTCCATTCCATGATGATTCCATTCGAGTCCATTTGATGATTCCATTCAATTCCAGTCAATGATGATTCCATTCGATGATTCCATTGGATTCCATTCGATGATGATTCCATTCGAATCCATTCGATGATTCCATTTGAGTCAATTTGATGATGATTCCATTCGAGTTCATTCGATGATTACATTCTGTTCCATTCAATGATAATTCCATTCGAGTCCATTCGATGATTCCTTTCTATTCCATTCGATGATTATTCCATTCGAGTCCATTCGGTGATTGCATTCGAGTCCATTCGATGATTCCATTTGATTCCATTCGATGATGATTCCATTCAATTCCATTTGATGATTCCATTCGAGTCCATTCGGTGATGATTCCATTCGAGTTCATTCGATGATTACATTCTGTTCCATTCAATGATAATTCCATTCGAGTCCATTCGATGATTCCTTTCTATTCCATTCGATGATTATTCCATTCGAGTCCATTCGGTGATTGCATTCGAGTCCATTCGATGATTCCATTTGATTCCATTCGATGATTCCATTCTGTTCAATTCGATGATGATTCCATTCGAGTTCATTCGATGATTCCATTCTATTCAATTCGATGTAGATTCCTTTGCAGTCCATTTGATGATGATTCCATTCGATACAGTTTGAAGATTCAGTTCAACTCCATTCGATGACTCTCTTCGATTCCTTTTGATGATGATTCCATTCGATTCCATTCGATGATTCCTTTCAATTGTATTCGATGATGATTCCAACTAATTCCGTTTGATGATGCTTCCTATCAATTCCATCTGATGATGAATGCATTCGTTTCCTTTTGATGATGATTCCTTTTGATTCCATTTGATGATGATTCCACTTGATTCCATTGCGGACGATTGCATTCGATTACATTCAATGATTCCATTGGCGTCCATTAAAAAATGATTCTATTTGATTCAATTCGATGAATATTCCGTTTGAGTCCATTCGATGATTCCGTTCGATTCCTTACAAAGAATCCATTCATTTCCATTCGATGATTCCATTTGATTCCATTTGATGAAGATTCCATTCGTTGCCATTCGATGATAATTCCATTCAAATCCCTTCAATGATGACACCGTTAGTTTCCATTTGAGGATAATTCCATTCAGTTCCATTCAGTGATGATTCCGTTAGATTCCATTCAATAATTCCATTCCATTCCATTCATTGATGATTCTTTTGAAATCCATTTGGTTATGATTCTTTTGGATTCCATTCGATGATGATTCCATTCGAGTCCATTTGATGTTGATTCCATTGGATTCCATTCTATGATGATTCCATTCGATTCATTTGATGATTCTATTCGATTCCATTCAGCTATGTGACTTGAATGCAAACATCACAAAGAAGTTCCTGATAATGCTTCTGTCTACAATTTATATGACGATATTCCCGTTTCCAACGAAATCCTCAAAGCTATCCAAATATCCACTTGCAGATTCTACAAAAAGAGTGATTCAAAACTGGTCTATCAAAAGAAAGGTTCAACTCTGTTAGTTGAGTACACACATCATAAACTAGTTTCTGAGAATGCTTCTGTCTAATTTTTATGGGAAGATATTTCCTTTTTCACCATTGGCCTCAAAGCGCTCAAATGTCCGCTTCCAGATACTACAAAAAGAGTGTTTCAAAACTGCTCTATGAAAAGGAATGTTCATCCCTGTGACTTGAATGCAAACATCACAAAGATGTTTCTCAGAATGCTTCTGTCCAGATTTTATATGAAGATATTCCCATTTCCAACGAAAACCTCAAAGCTATCCAAATATCCACTTGCAGATTATACAAAAAGAGTGTTTCAAAACTGCACTATCAAAAGAAAGTTTCAACTCTGTTAGTTAAGTACACCCATCACAAACAAGTTTCTAAGAATGCTTCTTTGTAGTATTTATTGGAAGATATTTCCTTTTTCACCATAGGCCTCAAAACGGTAAAAATGTCCACGTCCAAATACAACAAAAAGAGTGTTTCAAACGTGCTCTATGAAAGGGAATGTTCAAGTCTGAGACCTGAATGCAAACATCACAAAGAAGTTTCTGAGAATACTTCAGTCTACATTTTATATGAAGATATTCCCGTTTCCAATGCAATCCTCAAAGCTATCCAAATATCCGCTTGCAGATCCTACAAAAAGAGTGTTTCAAAACTGCTCTATCAAAAGAAAGGTCCAACCCTCTAAGTTGAGTACACACATCATAAACAAGTTTCTGAGAATGCTTCTATCTAGTTTTTATGGGAAGATATTTCCTTTTTCACTATCAGCCTCAAAGTGCTCCAAATGTCCAATTCCAGATACTACAAAAGAGTGTTTCAAACCTGCGCTATGAAAAGAAATGTTCAACTCTGTGACTTGAATGCAAATATCACAAAGATGTTTCTCAGAATGCTTCTGTCCAGATTTTATATGAAGATATTCCCATTTCCAACGAAATCCTCAAAGATTTCCAAATATCTACCAGCAGATTCTACAAAAAGAGTGTTTCAAAACTGCTCTATCAAAAGAAAGGTTCACCTCGGTTAGTTGAGTACACACATCACTAACAAGTTTCTGAGAATGCTTCTGTCCAGTTTTTATGGGAAGATATTATCTTTTTCACCATAGGGCTCAAGGCGCTCTTAATGTCCAATTCCAGATACTAGAAAAAAGAGTGTTTCAAACGTGCTCTATGAAAGGGAATGTTCAACTCTGTGACTTGAATGCAAACATCACAAAGAAGTTTCTCAGAATGATTCTGTCTACTTTTTATGTGAATATATTCCCAATTCCAACGAAATCCTCAAATCTATCCAAATATCCACTTGCAGATTCTGCAAAAAGAGTGTTTCAAAACTGCTCTATCAAAAGAAAGGTTGAACTCCGTTAGTTGAATACACACATCACAAACAAGTTTCTGAGAATGGTTCTGTCTAGTATTTATGGGAAGATATTCCCTTTTTCACCATAGGCCTCAAAGTGCTCCAAATGACCACTTCCAGATACTGCAAAAAGAGTGTTTCAAAACTGCTCTATCAAAAGAAAGGTTCAACTCTGTTAGTTGAGTACATACATCACAAATAAGTTTCTGGGAATGCTTCTGTCTAGTTTTTATGGGAAGATATTTCCTTTTTCACCATAGGCCTCATAGCACTCCAAATGTCCCCTTCCAGATACTACAAAAGGAGTGTTTCAAACCTGCTCTATGAAAGGGAATGTTCAACTCTGTGACTTTAAAGCAAACATTACAAAGCTGTTTCTCAGAATGTTTCCGTCCAGATTTTATATGATGATATTCCCGTTTCCAACAAAATCCTCTAAGCTATCTAAATATCCACTTGCAGATTCTACAAAAAGAGTGTTTCAAAACTGCTCTATCAAAAGAAAGGTACAAGTCTGTCAGTTAAGTACACACATCACAAACAAGTTTCTGAGAATGAGTTTGTCTAATTTTTATGGGAAGATATTTCCTTTTTCACCAAAGTACTCAAAGAGCTCCAAATGACCACTTCCAAATACAACAAAAAGAGTGTTTCAAACCTGCAGTATGAAAGGGCATGTTCAACTCTGTGACTTGAATGCAAACATCACAAGAAGTTTCTGAGAATGCTTCTGTCTAGATTTTATATGAAGATAATTCCGTTTCCACCGAAATCCTCAAAGCTATCCAAATATCCACTTGCGGATTCTACAAAACGAGTGTTTCAAAACTGCTCTATCAAAAGAAAGCTTTAACTCTGTTAGTTGAGTACACACATCATAAACAAGTTTCTCAGAATGCTTCTGTCTAGTTTTTACAGGAAGATATTTCCTTTTTCACCACAGGCCTCAAAGCGCTCCAAATGTCCAATTCCAGATACTACAAAAAAAGTTTTTCAAACCTGCTCTATGAAAGGGAATGTTCAACTCTGTGACTTGAATATGAACATCACAAAGAAGTTTCTGAGAATGCTTCTGTCTACTTTTTATATGAAGATATTCCCGTTTCCAACAAAATCCTCAAAGCTATCGAATTATCCACTTGCAGATTCTACAAAAAGAGTGTTTCAAAACTGCTCTATCAAAAGAAAGGTTCAAATCTGTTAGTTGACTACACACATCACAAACATGTTCCTGAGAATGCTTCTGTCTAGTTTTTATGGGAAGAGATTTCCTTTTTCACCATACGCCACAAAGTGCTCCAAATCTCCACTTCAAGATACCACAAAAAGAGTGTATAAAACGTGCTGTATGAAAGGGAATGTTCAACTCTGTGACTTGAATGCAAACATCACAAACATGTTTTCAGAATGCTTCAGTCTAGATTTTATATGAAGATATTCCAGTTTCCAACGAAATCCTCGAAGCTCTCCAAATATCCACTTGCAGATTTTACAAAAAGAGTGTTTCAAAACTGCTCTATCAAAAGAAAGGTTCAACTCTGTTAGTTGACTACACAGATCATAAACAAGTTTCTGAGAATGCTTCTGTCTTGTTTTTATGGGAGGAGATTTCCTTTTACACCATTGGTCTCAAAGCGCTCCAAATGTTCATCTCCAGATACTACAAAAGAGGGTTTCAAACCTGCTCTATGAAAGGGAATGTTCAACTCCGTGATGTGAATGCAAACATCACTAAGGTATTTCTGAGAATGCTTCTGTCTAGATTTTAAATGAAGATATTTACGTTACCAACGAAATCCTCAAAGGTATCCAAATATTCACTTACAGATTCTACAAAAAGAGTTTTTCAAAACTGCTCTATCAAAAGAAAAGTTCAACTCTGTTTGTTGAGTACACACGTCATAAACAAGCTTCTGAGAATGCTTCTGTCTAGTTTTTCTGGGAAGATATTTCCTTCTTCACCATAGGCCTCCTAGCGCTCCAAATGTCCACTTCCAGACACTAAAAAAAGATGGTTTCAAACTGCTCCATGAAAGGGAATGTTCAACTCTTTGACTTGAATGCAAACATCACAAAGATGTTTCTGAGAATGCTTTGGTCTAGATTTTATATGATGATATTCCCGATCCCAACGATATCCTCAAAGCTATCCAAATATCCACTTGCAGATTCTACAAAAACAGTGTCTCAAAACTGCTCTATCAAAAGAAGGGTTCAACTCTGGTAGTTGAGTACACACATCACAAACAAGTTTCTGAGCATGCTTCTGTCTAGTTTTTATAGGAAGAGATTTCCTTTTCTACCATAGGCCTCAAAGCGCTCCAAAGTCCACTTCCAGATACTACAAAAAGAGTGTTTAAAACCTGCTCTATTAAAGGGAATGTTCAACTCTGTGACTTGAATGCAATCATCACAAAGAAATACCTGAGAATGCTTCTGTCTGCTTTTCATATGAAGATATACCCGATTCCAAAGAAATCCCGAAAGCTATCCAAATATCCACTTGCAGATTCTACAAAAAGAGTGTTTCAAAACTGTTCTATCAAAAGAAAGGTTCAACTCGGTTAGTTTAGTACACACATAACAAACAAGTTTCTGACAATGCTTCTGTGAAGTTTTCATGGGAAGATATTTCCTTTCACACCATACGCCTCAAAGCGCTCCAAATGTCCAATTCCAGATACTACAAAAAGATTGTTTCAAACCTGCTCTATGAAAGGGAATGTTCAACTCTGTGACTTGAATGCACACATCACAAAGCAGATTCTGAGAATGCTTCTGTCTACTTTTTATATGAAGATATTCCCGTTTCCAAAGAAATCCTCAAAGCTATCCAAATATCCACTTGCAGATTCTCCAAAAACCGTGTTTCAAAACTATCAAAAGAAAGGTTCAACTCTGTTAGTTGAGTACACACATCATAAACAAGTTTCTGAGAAAGCTTCTGTTTAGATTTTATGGGAAGATATTTCCTTTTTCACCATAGGTCTCAAAGTGCTCCAAATGTCCACTTCCAGATGCTAAAAAGAGTGTGTTTCAAACCTGCTCTATGAAAGAGAATGTTCAACTCGGTAACTTGAATGCAAACATCACAAAGTTGTTTCCTAGAATGATTCTGTCTAGATTTTATATGAAGATATTCCCGATTCCAACGAAATCCTCAAAGCTATCAAAATATCCACTTGCAGATTCTACAAAAAGAGAGTTTCAAAACTGCTCTATCAAAAGAAAGGTTCAACTCTGTTAGTTGAGTCCGCACATCACAAACAAGTTTTTGAGAATGCTTTTGTCTAGTTTTTCTGGGAAAATATTTCCTTTTTCACCATAGGCCAAAAAGCGCTCCAAATGTCCCCTTCCAGATACTACAAAAGGAGTGATTCAAACCTTCTCTATGAAAGGGAATGTTCACCTCTTTGACTTGAATGCAAACATCACAAAGTGGTTTCTCAGAATGTTTCTGTCCAGATGTTATATGATGATATTCCCGTTTCCAAAGAAATCCTCTAAGCTATCCAAATTATCCACTTGCAGATTCTACAAAAAGAGTGTTTCAAAACTACTCTATTAAAAGAAAGGTTCAATTCTGTTAGTTGAGTACAAACATAACAAACAAATTTCTGAGAATGCGTCTGTCTAATTTTTATGGGAAGATATTTCCTTTTTCACCAAAGGCCTCAAAGCGCTCCAAATGTCCACTTCCAAATACAACAAAAAGATTGTTTCAAACCTGCTCTATGAAAGGGAATGGTCCACTCTGTGACTTGAATGCAAACATCACAAACGTGTTTCTTAGAATGCTTCTGTCTAGATTTTATATGAAGGTATTCCCGCTTCCAAAGAAATCCTCAAAGCTATTCAAATATCCACTTGCAGATTCTACAAAAAGAGTGTTTCAACAATGCTCTATCAAAAGAAAGGTTCAACTCTGTTAGCTGAGCACACACATTACAAACAAGTTTCTGAGAATGCTTCTCTCTAATTTTTATGGGAAGATATTTCCTTTTTCACCGTAGGCCACAAATCACTCCAAGTGTCCACTTCCAGATACTACAAAGAGAGTGTCTCAAACCTGCTCTATGAAAGGGAATGTTCATCTCTGTGACTTGAATGCAATCATCACAAAGATGTTTCTGAGAATGCTTCTGTCTAGATTTTATATGAAGATATTCCCTTTACCAATGAAATCCTCAAAGCTATCCGAATATCCACTTGCAGATTCTATGAAAAGACTGTTTCAAAACTGCAATATCAAAAGAAAAGTTCAACTCTGTTAGTTGAGTACACACATCACAAACAAGTTTCAGAGAATGCTTCTGTCTAGTTTTTATGGGAAGAGATTTCCTTTTCCACCATTGGCCTCAAAGCGATCTATATGTCTACTTCCAGATACTACAAAAAGAGTGTTTGAAACCTGCTCTATGAAACGGAATGTTCAACTCTGTGACTTGAATGCAAACATCACAAAGAAGATTCTGAGAATACTTCTGTCTACTTTTTATATGAAGACATTCCCGTATCCAATGAAATCCTCAAAGCTATCAAAATATCCACTTGCAGATACTACAAAAAGAGTGTTTGAAACCTGCTCTATGAAAGGGAATGTTTAACTCCGTGACTTGAATGCAAACATCACAAAGAAGTTTCTTAGAATGCTTCTGTCTACTTTTTATATGAAGATATTCCCGTTTCCAATGAAATCCTCAAATCTACCCAAATATCCACTTGCAGATTCTACAAAAAGACTGTTTCAAAACTGCTCTATCAAAAGAAAGGTTCAAATCTGTTAGTTGACTACACACATCACAAACAAGTTTCTGAGAATGCTTCTGTCTAGTTTTATGGGAAGAGATTTCCTTTTTCACCATAGGCCTCAAAGCGCTCCAAATGTCCAATCCCAGATACTGCAAAAAGAGTGTTTCAAATGTACTCTATGAAAGGGAATGTTCAACTCTGTGACTTGAATGCAAACATCACAAAGAAGTTTCTGAGAATACTTCTGTCTAGATTTTATATGAAGATATTCCCGTTTCCAACGAAATCCTCAAAGCTATCCAAATATCCACTTTCAGATTCCACAAAAAAGGGTCTCAAAACTGCTCTATCAAAAGAAAGGTTCAACTCTGTTAGTTGAGTACACACATCATAAACAAGTTTCTGAGAATGCTTCTGTCTAGGTTTCATGGGAAGATGTTTCCTTTTTCACCATACACCTCATAGCACTCCAAATGTCCACTTCCAGATAATACAAAAGAGGGTTTCAAACATGCTCTATGTAAGGGAATGTTCAAATCCGTGACTTGAAAGCAAACATCACAAAGGTATTTCTGAGAATGCTTCTGTCTAGATTTTATATGAAGATATTCCCGTTTCCAACGAAATCCTCAAAGCTATCCAAATATCCAATTACAGATTCTACAAAAAGAGTGTTTCAAAACTGTTTTATCAAAAGAAAGGTTCGACTCTGTTAGTTGAGCACACACATCACAAACAAGTTTCTGAGAATGTTTCTGTCTAGTTTTTATTGGAAGATATTTCCTTTTTCACCATAGACCTAAAAGTGCTCCAAATGTCCACTTCCAGATACTACAAAAGGTGTGTTTCAAACCTGCTGTATGAAAGGGAATGTTCAACTCTGTGACTTGAATGCAAACATCAGGAAGAAGTTTCTGAGAATGCTTCTGTCTAGATTTTATATGAAGTTAATTCCGTTTCCAATAAAATCCTCAAAGCTGTCCAAATATACACTTGTGGATTCTACAAAAGGAGGGTTTCAAAACTGCTCTATGAAAAGAAAGGTTCAATTCTGTTACTTGAGTACACACATCACAAACAAGCTTCTGAGAATGTTTCTGTGTAGTTTTTATGGGAAGATATTTCCTTTTTAACCATAGGCCCCATAGCGCTCCAAATGTCCACTTCCAGATACTACAAAAAGATGGTTTCAAACCTTCTCTTTGAAAGGGAATGTTCAACTCTGTGACTTGAATGCAAACATCACAAAGATGTTTCTGAGAATGCTTCTTTCTAGATTTTATATGAAGATATTCCCTTTTCCAACGAAATCCTCAAAGCTATCCAAATATCCACTTGCAGATTCCAGAAAGCAGTGTCTCAAAACTGTTCTATCAAAAGAAAGGGTCAACTCTGTTAGTTGAGTACACACATCACAAACAAGTTTCTGAGAATGCTTCTGTCTAGTTTTCAAGGGAAGATATTTCCTTTTTCACCATACACCTCATAGCGCTCCAAATGTCCACTTCCCGATACTACAAAAAGAGTGTTTCAAACCTGCTTTATGAAAGGGAATGTTCAACTCTGTGACTTGAATAAAAACATCACAAAGCAGATTCTGATAATGCTTCTGTCTAATTTTTATATAAAGATATTCCTGTTTCCAATGAAATCCTCAAAGCTATTCAAATATCCACTTGCAGATTATACAAAAACCGTGTTTCAAAACTACCAAAATAAATGTTCAACTCTGTTCTTTGAGTACACTCATCATAAACAAGTTTCTGAGAAGGCTTCTGTCAATTTTTTATGGGAAGATATTTCCTTTATCACCATAGGCCTCAAAGTGCTCCAAATGTTCACTTCCAGATACTACAAAAAGTGTGTTTCAAACCTGCTCTATGAAAGGGAATATTCAACTCTGTGACTTGAATGCAATCATCACAAAGGTGTTTCTGAGAATGCTTCTGTCTAGATTTTATATGAAGATATTCCCGTTTCCAACGATATCCTCAAAGCTATCCGAATATCCACTTGCAGATTCTACAAACACAGTGTTTCAAAACTGCTCTATCAAAAGAAAGGTTCAACTCTGTTAGCTGAGTACACACATCACAAAGAAGTTTTTGAGAATGCTTCTGTCTAGTTTTACTGGGAAGATAGTTCCTTTTTCACCATAGTCCTGAAAGTGCTCCAAATGTCTCCTTCCAGATACTACAAAAGGAGTGTTTCAAACCTGCTCTATGAAACGGAATGTTCAACTCTGTGAGTTGAATGCAAACATCACAAAGAAATTTCTGAGAATGCTTCTGTCTACTTTTTCTATGAAGATATTCCCGTTTCCAAAGAAATCCTCAAAGCTATCCAAATATCCACTTGCAGATTCTACAAAAAGAGTGCTTCAAAAGTGCTCAATCAAAAGAAAGGTTCAACTCGGTTAGTTTAGTACACACATCACAAACAAGTTTCTGAGAATGCTTCTGTCTAGTTTTTATGGGAAGATATTGCCTTTTTCACCATAGGCCTCAAAGCGCTCCAAATGTCCACTTCCAGATACTACAAAAAGAGTGCTTCAAACCTGCTCTATGAAAGGGAATGTTCAACTCTGCGACATGAATGCAAACATCACAAAGATGTTTCTCAGAATGCTTCTTTCTAGATTTTATATGAAGATATTCCCGTTTCCATCGAAATCCTCTAAGCTATCCAAATAGCCACTTGCAGATTCTACAAAAAGAGTGTTTCAAAACTGCTCTATCAAAAGAAAGGTTCAACCCTCTAAGTTGAGTACACACATCATGAACAAGTTTCTGAGAATGCTTCTATCTAGTTTTTATGGGAAGATATTTCCTTTTTCACTATCGGCCTCAAAGTGCTCCAAATGTCCAATTCCAGATACCACAAAAAGAGTGTTTCAAACCTGCGCTATGAAAAGAAATGTTCAACTCTGTGACTTGAATGCAAATATCACAAAGATGTTTTTCAGAATGCTTCCGTCCAGATTTTATATGAAGATATTCCCATTTCCAATGAAATCCTCAAAGATTTCCAAATATCCACTTGCATATTCTACAAAAAGAATGTTTCAAAACTGCTCTATCAAAAGAAAGGTTCAACTCTGTTAGTTGAGTACAGACATCACAAACACGTTTCTGAGAATGCTTCAATCTAGTTTTCATGGGAAGATATTTCCTTTTTCACCATAGGCCTCAAAGCACTCCAAATGTCCACTTCCAGATACTACAAAAAGTGTGTTTCAAACCTGCTCTATGAAAGGGAAAGTTCAACTCTGTGACTTAAATGCAAACATCACAAAGAAGTTTCTGAGAATGCTTCTGTCCACTTTTTATATGAAGATAATCCCGTTTCAAAAGAAACCCTCAAAGCTATCCAAATATCCACCTGCAGATTCTACAAAAAGAATGTTTCAGAACTGCTCCATCAAAAGAAAGGTTCAATTCTGTTAGTTGAGTATACACATCATAAACAAGATTCTGAGAATGCTTCTGTCTAGTTTTTATTGGAAGATATTTCCTTTTCACCGTAGGCCTCAAAGCGCTCCAATTGTCCACTTCCAAATACAACAAAAATAGTGTTTCAAACCTGCTCTATGAAAGGTAATGTTCAACTCTGTGACTTGAATGCAAACATTACAAAGAGGTTTCTGAGAATGCTTCTGGCTGGATTTGATATGAAGACATTCCCGTTTCCAAGGAAATCCTCTAAGCTATCCAAGTAGCCACTTGAAGATTCTACAAAAAGAGTGTTTCAAAACTGCTCTATCAAAAGAGAGGTTCAAGTCTGTTAGTTGAGTACACACATGACAAACAAGTTTCTGAGAATGCTTCTGTCTAGTTTTTATGGGATCAGATTTCCTTTTTCACCATAGGCCTCAAAGCGCTCCAAATGTCCACTTCCAGATACTACAAAAATAGAGTTTCAAACCTGCTCTATAAAAGAGAATGTTCAACTCTGTGACAAGAATGCAAACATCAGAAAGTGGTTTGTGAGAAAGCTTCTGTCTACTTTTTATATGAAGACATTCCCGTATCCAAAGATATCCTCAAAGCTATTCAAATATCCACTTGCAGATTCTATAAAAACAGTGTTTCAAAACTGCTCTTTCAAAGAAAGGTTCAAATCTGTTAGTTGAGTACACACATCATAAACAAGTTTCTGAGAATGCTTCTGTCTAGTTTTTGTGGGAAGAGATTTCCTTTTCCACCATAGGCCTCAAAGGGATCCACATGTCCACTTCCAGATACTACAAAAAGAGTGTTTGAAACCTGCTGTATGAAAGGGAATGTTCAACTCTGTGACTTGAATGCAAACATCACAAAGCAGATTCTGAGAATGCTTCTGTCTACTTTTTATATGAAGATATTCCCGTTTCCAAAGAAATCCTCAAAGCTATCCAAATATCCACTTGCAGATTCTACAAAAAGAGTGTTTGAAACCTGTTCTATGAAAGGGAATGTTCAAATCTGTGACTTGAATGCAAGCATCACAAAGATGTTTCTCAGAATGCTTCTGTCCAGATTTTATATGAAGATATTCCCATTTCCAACGAAATCCTATGAGCTATCGAAATATCCACTTGCAGATTCTACAAAAAGAGTGTTTCAAAACTGCTCTATCAAAGGAAAGGTTCAACTCTGTTAGTTGAGTACACACATCACAAACAAGTTTCTGAGAATGTTTCTATCTAGTTTTTATTTGAAGATGTTTCCCTTTTCACCATAGGCCTCAAAGCGCTCCTAATGTCCACTTCCAGATACCACAAAAAGAGTGTTTCAAAGCTGCTGTATGAAAGGGAATGTTCAACTCCGTGACTTAAATGCAAGCATCACAAAGGTGTTTCTGAGAATGCTTCTGTGTAGAGTTTATATGAAGATATTCCCGTTTCCACCGAAATCCTCAGAGCTATCCAAATATCCTCTTGCAGATTTTACAAAAAGAGTGTTTCAAATCTGCTCTATCAAAAGAAAGGTTCAACTCTGTTAGTTGAGTACACACATCACAAACAAGTTTCTGAGAATGTTTCTATCTAGTTTTTACAGGAAGAGATTTCCTTTTTCACCATAGGCCTCAAAGCTCTCCAAATGTCCACTTCCAGATACTACAAAAAAAGTGTTTCAAACCTGGTCTATGAAAGGAAATGTTCAACTCTGTGAGTTGAATGCGAACATCACAAAGAAGTTTCTGAGAATGCTACTGTCTACTTTTTATATGAAGATATTCCCGTTTCCAACAAAATCCTCAAAGCTATCCAAATATCCACTTGCAGATACTTCAAAAAGAGTGTTTCAAAACTGCTCTATCAAAAGAGAGTTTCAACTCTGTTAGTTGAGTAAACACATCATAAACAACTTTCTGAGAATGCTTCTGTCTAGTTTTTATGTGAAGAGATTTCCTTTTTAACCATAGGCCTCAAAGCGCTCCAAATGTCCAATTCCAGATACTACAAAAAGAGTGTTTCAAACCTGCTCTATGAAAGGTAATGTTCAAATCTGTGACTTGAATGCAAACATCACAAAGATGTTTCTCAGAATGCTTCTGTCCAGATTTTATATGAAGATATTCCCATCTCCAACGAAATCCTCTAAGCTATCGAAATATCCACTTGCAGATTCTACAAAAAGAGTATTTCAAAACTGCTCTATCAAAGGAAAGGTTCAACTCTGTTAGTTGAGTACACACATAACAAACAAGTTTCTGAGAATGCTTCTATCTAGTTTTTATTTGAAGATATTTCCCTTTTCACCATAGGCCTCAAAGCGCTCCTAAGGTCCACTTCCAGATACTACAAAAAGAGTGTTTCAAAGCTGCTGTATGAAAGGGAATGTTCAACTCCGTGACTTAAATGCAAACATCACAAAGGTGTTTCTGACAATGCTTCTGTGTAGAGTTTATTTGAAGATATTCCCATTTCCAATGAAATCCTCAGAGCTATCCAAATATCCTCTTGCAGATTTTACAAAAAGAGTGTTTCAAAACTACTCTATCCAAAGAAAGGTTCAACTCTGTTAGTTGTGTACACACATCACAAACAAGTTTCTGAGAATGCTTCTATCTAGTTTTTATGGGAAGAGATTTTATTTTTCACCGTAGGCCTCAAATCTCTCCAAATGTCCATTTCCAGATACTACAAAAAAAGTGATTCAAACCTGCTCTATGAAAGGGAATGTTCAACTCCGTGACTTGAATACAAACATCACAAATAAGTTTCTGAGAATGCTTCTGTCTACTTTTTATATGAATATTTTTCCGTTTCCAATGAAATCCTCAAAGCTATCCAAATATCCACTTGCAGATTCTACAAAAAGAGTGTTGCAAAACTGCTCTATCAAAAGAAAGGTTCAACTCTGTTAGTTGAGTACACACATCACAAACAACTTTCTGAGAATGCTTCTGTCTAATTTTTATGGGAACAGATTTCCTTTTTCACCATATCTTCAGAGCGCTCCAAATATCCACTTGCAGATACTACAAAAAGAGTGTTTCAAACCTGCTCTGTTAAAGGGAATGTTCAATTCTGTGACTTGAATGCAAACATTACAAAGATGTTTCTCAGAATGCTTCTGTACAGATTTTTTAGAAGATATTCTCGTTTCCAATGAAATCCTCTAAGCTATCCAATTATCCCCTTCAAGATTCTACAAAAAGAGTTTTTCAAAACTGCTTTATCAAAAGAAAGGTTCAAGTCTGTTAGTTGAGAACACACGTCAGAAACAAGTTTCTGAGAATGCTTCTGTCTAGTTATTATGGGATGAGATTTCCTTTTTCACCTTAGGCCTCAAAGTGCTCCAAATTTCCACTTCCAGGTACTACAAAAAGAGTGTTTCAAACCTGCTCTATGAAAGGGAATGTTCAACTCTGTGACTTGAATGCAAACATCACAAAGAAGTTTCTGAGAATGCTTCTGTCTACCTTTTACATGAAGATATTCCCGTTTCCAACGAAATCCTCAAATCTATCCAAATAACCACTTGCAGATTCTGTAAAAAGAGTGTTTCAAAACTGCTCTGTCAAAGGAAAGGTTCAACTCTGTTAGTTGAGTACACACATCATAAACAAGTTTCTGAGAATGCTTCTGTCTAATTTTTATGGGAAGAGATTTCCTTTTTCACCATAGGCCTCAAAGTGCTTCAAATGTCCACTTCCAGATACTTCAAAAAGAGTGTTTCAAACCTGCTCTATGGAAGGGAGTGTTCAACTCTGTGACTTGCATGCAAACACCACAAAGTTTTTTCTCAGAATGCTTCTGTCCAGATTTTATATGAAGATATTCCCATTTCCAACGAAATCCTCAAAGCTATCCAAATATCCACTTGCAAATTCTACAAAAAGAGTGTTTCAAAACTGCTCTATCAAAAGAAAGGTTCAACTCTGTTAGTTGAGTACACACATCATAATCAAGTTTCCGAGAATGCTTCTGTCTAGTTTTTATTGGAAGATGTTTCCCTTTTCACTATAGGCCTCAAAGTGCTCCAAATGTCCACTTCCAGATACTACAAAAAGAGTGTTTCATACCTGCTCTATGAAAGGGAATGTTCAACTCCGTGACTTAAATGCAAACATCACAAAAGTGTTTCTGAGAATGCTGCTGTCTAGATTTTATATGAAGTTATACCCGTTTCCAACGAAATCCTCAAAGCTATCCAAATATCCACTTGTAGATTATATTCGAGTGCATTCGATGATTCCATTCTATTCCATTCGCTGATGATTCCATTCGAGTCCATTTTATGATTCCATTCGCGTCCAATGAATGATTCCTTTGGGTTCAATTCGATGATGATTACATTGGTTTCCATTCTTTGATTCCATTCGATTCCATTCATTGATGATTCAATTCCATTCGATGATGATTCCATTTGATTTCATTCGATGATTCTATTCAATTGCATTCGACGGTGATTCAATTCTATTATATTGGATGATTCCATTCGATTCCATTCGATGTTGTTTCCTTAGGAGTCTATTAGATGATTCCATTCGATTCCATTTGATGATGATTCCATTCCAGTCCATTCTGTGATTCCATTTGATTCCGTTCTATCATGATTCCATTCGAGTTCAATCAATGACTCCATTCGATTCCATTTGATGATGATTTCATTCGAGTCCATTCAATGATTCCATTCGATTCCATTCGATGATGATTCCATTCGACTCCATACGATGATTCAATTCGAGTCCATTTGATTATTCCATGAGATTCGATTCAATGATGATTCCATTCAATGCCATTCAGTGACTACATTCGATTCCTTTCAATGATGATTGCTTTCGTGTCCATTCCAATATTCCATTCTATTCCATTGGATGATGATTTCATTCGAGTCCATTCGATGATGATTTCATTCGTGACCCTTCAATGATGATTCAATTCGATTACATTCAATTATTCTATTCGATTCCATTCGATGATGATTCCATTTGATTCCATTCGATGAATCCATTCAATTCCATTCTATGATGTTTCCATTTGACTCCCTTCGATGATGATTCCATTCTATTTCATTTGATGGTTCCATTCGATTCCATTCGATGATGATTCCATTCGCTTCCATTCGAGGATTCCATTCGATGATGATTCCATTCGATGATTCCATTTGATTAAATTCTATGATGATTCCATTTGATTCAATTCGATGATGTTTCCATTCGATTCCATTCGATGATGATTCATTTTGATTCCATTAGACGATTTTTCCATTTGACTCCACTTGATGATGATTTCATTCGAATCCTTTCGATGAGGATTCCATTCGATTTCATTCGATGCTTCTATTTGATTCCATTCTATGATGATTCCATCTCATTCCCTTCAATGATTCCATTCGATTCCATTCAGTGATGATTACATTCTATTCCATCTGATGATGATTTCATTTGATTCCGTTCGATGATGATTACATTTGAGTCCATTTGATGATTCTATTTGATTCTGCTGGATGATGATTCTATTTCAGTCCATTCGATGATTCCATTTGAGTCCATTCAATTATTCCTTTCAATTCCATTTGATGATGATTCCATTCGATTCCATTTGATGATGATTCCATTCGAGTTCATATGATGATTCCATTCAATTCTGTTCGATGATGATTTCATTCGAGGCCGTTTGATGATTGCATTCGAGTCCATTCGATGATTTCATTCGATTCCACTCGATGATGATTGCTTTTGAGTCCATTCGATGATTCCATTAGAGTCCATTCGATAATTCCATTAGATTCCATTTAATGATGATTCAATTTGAGGTCATTCGACATTTCCATTCGAGTCCATTCAGTGATTCCCTGTGATTACATTCGATGAGGACTCCATTCGAGTCCATTCGATGATTCCATTAAGTTCCATCCGATGTTGATTCCATTTGAGTCCATTCAAAGTTTCCTTTCGAGTCCGTTCAATGATTCCATTCGATTCCACTTGATGATGATTCCTTTCAAGTCCATTCGATGATTCCTTTCGAGTGCCTTCAATGATTCTATTCAATTCCATTCGATGATGATTCCATTCGAATCGATTCAATGATTCCATTCTGTTGCATTCGATGATTCCATTAGGTTTCATTCGATGATGATTCCATTTCAGTCCATTTGATGATTCCATTCGATTCCATTCCATGGTGATTCCATTAGATTCAATTTGATGATGATTCCTTTCTATTCCTTTCAGTGATGATTCCATTCGTGTCCATTCAATGATTCCTTTTGATTCCATTTGATGGTGATTCCATTCGATTCCGTTCAATGATTACATTTGATTCTATTCGATGATGATTCCATTCGGGTCCATTCAATGATTCCATTCAAGTACATTCAATGATTCCACTGGATTCCATTAGATGATTATTCCATTGGAGTCCATTCGGTGATTCCTTTACATTTAACTTTCAGATGATTCAATTCCATTCCATGATACCATTCGATTCAATTCATTGGTGATTCCATTCGATTCCATTTGATGTTTCCTTTTGATTCCATTTGATGATGATTGCATTTGATTCCTTTTGATGATTCCATATGATTCAATTCAACGATGTTTCCATTCATGTCCATTTGATGATTCCATTCTTTTCCATTTGATGATGATTCTATTCGAGTATATTCGATGATTCCTTTCGAATACATTCAATGATGATTCCATCCAAGTTCATTTGATGATTCCACTTGATCCCATTCTTTGATGATTCCATTCGATTCCATTCTATGTTTCCATTCGATTCCATTCGATGATTCCATTCCAGTACATTTCATGATTCCACTCAATTCCATTCGATGATTATTCCATTAGAGTTCATTTGGTGATTCCTGTGGATTCCACATGAAGCTGACTCCATTCGATTCCATTCGATTATACCATTCGATTCCATTCGTTGATGATTCCATTAGAGTGCATTCAATGATCCCATTAGATTTCATTCGATGATGATTCCATTCGATTCCATTCGATGACTCCATTTGATTCCACTCAATGATGATTTCATTTGAGTCAATTTGATGATTCCATTGGCCTCCATTTGATGATGATTCCATTCAATGTTTCCATTCGATTCTATTCGATAATGATTTCTTTCAATTCCATTCGATGATGATTCCATTCGATGATTCCATCTGAATCCATTCGATGATTCCAGTCGATTTTATTTGATGATGATTCCACTTGATTCCATTCAAAGATGACTGCTTTCGATTCCATTCGATGATTCAATTTGATTCCATGTGATGATGATTCCAATCAATTCCATTTGATCATTCCATTCGATTCCATTTGATAATGATTCCATTCGAGTCCATTCGATGTTTCCATTCGAGCCCATTCGATAATTCCACTTGAGTCCAATTGAAGATTCCATTCGTTTCCATTCAATGATTCCATTAGAGTCCATTCGATGATTCCGTTAGAGTCCGTTCGATGATGATTCCATTCGAGTCCATTCGATGATTCCATTTGAGTCAGTTTGATAATTCCATTAGAATCCATACGATTATTGCTTTCAATTCCATTCCACTATGATTCCATTTGAGTGAATTCGATGATTCCATTTGATTCCTTTCGATGATGATTCCATTCGTGTCCATTCGGTGATTCTACTCAATTTCATTCGATGATGATTACTTTCTAGTCCATTTGATGATTCCATTCGATTCCATTCGATGATGATTCCATTGGAGTGCATTCAATGATTGCCTTTGATTCCATTCGATGATGATTCCATTCGACTGCATTCAGTGATTCCATTTGATTCCATTTGATGATGATTCCATTCGAGTCCATTCTACGATTCCATTCGATTCCATTCGATGACAATTCCACTTGAGTTCATTTGAAGATTCCATTCGAGTTATTTCATTGATTCCATCCAATTCCATTTGATGATGTATTCCTTTCGAGTCCATTCACTGAATCCATTCGATTCCATTTGATGATTCCATTGGAATCCATTCAATTATTCCATTCGAGTCCATTCGATGATTCCATTCGATTCCATTCAATGATAGTTCAATTCGAGTCCATTTGGTGATGATTTCATTCGATTCCAGTCGATGATTCCGCTCGATTCCATTTGATGATTCCCTTCGATTCCATTCGTTGATGATTCCATTCCATTCCATTCGATGATTCCATTCGATTCTATTCCGTGATGATACCTTTTGATTCCATTCGATGATGATTCCATTCGATTCCATTCAATTTCTGCATTCGATTCATTTCGTTGATGAATCCATTAGTTTCCATTTGATTATGATTCCATTCGATTCCATTTGATGATGATTCCATTCAATTCCATTCAATGATGATTCCATTTGATTCAATTCAATGATGATTCCATTTTATTCCATTCGATTATTCCATTTGATTCCATTCAATGATAATTCCATTCGTGTCCTTTTGATGATTGTATTTGATTCCATCCCATGATGATTCCATTCGAGCCCATTCAATGATTCCATTGAAGTCCATTTGATGATTCCTTTCAATTCCATTCAATGATGATTCCATTCGAGTCCATTCGATGATTCCATTTGATTTCATTTGATGATGATTCCATTCGAGTCCATTTTATGATTCCATTCGAGTCCATTTAATGATTCCATTGGGTTGAATTCGATGAAGATAAAATTGGATTCCATTCAATTTCTGCGTTTGATTCCATTCGTTGATGATTCTATTCAATTCCGTTTGATGATGATTCAATTCTATTACATTGGATGATTCTATTTGACTCCATTCGATGATGATTCCATTCGAGTGCATTCAAAGATTCCATTCGATGCCATTCGATGATGATTCCATTCGAGTCCTTTCGATGATTCTATTCGATTACATTTGATGATGATTCTATTCGAGTCCATTCGATTGCCTTCAATGATGATTCCATTCAAGTGCATTCAAAGATTCCATTCGATGCCATTCGATGATGATTCCATTCGAGTCCATTCGATGATTCCATTCGATTCCATTCAATGATGATTCCATTCGTGTCCATTCGATGATTCCATTTGATTCCATTCGAAGATGTTTCCACTCGAGTCTATTTGATGATTCCTTTTGATTCCATTCAATTGTTCCCTTAGATTCCATTCATTGATGATTCCATTTGATGCCATTTGATGATTCCATTCGATTTCATTTGATGATGATTCCTTTCGGGTCCACTCAATGATTCCATTTGATTCCATTCGATGATGATTCCTTTTGATTCCATTCAATGATGATTCCATTCGATTTCAATCCATGATGATTCCATTCAATGATGATTCCATTCGATTTCATTCAATGATTCTATTCGATTCCATTCAATGATGATTCAACTTGACTCCACTGGATGATTCCTTCCCATTCCATTTGAGGATGATTCCATTCGATTCCATTCGATGATGATTCCATTCGACTGCATTCAATGATGATTTCAATGGAGTCCATTTGAAGATTCCATTCGATTCCATTCGGTGATGATTCCATTCAAGTCCATTCGAAGATTCCATTCCATTCGATGATGATTCCATTCGATTCCATTCAATGATTCCTTTCCATTCCATTTGATGATGATTCCATTCGAGTCCATTCGATGATTCCATTAGATTTCATTTGATGATGACTCCATTCGAGTCCATTTGACGATTCCATTCAATTCCATTCGAAGATGATTCCATTCGTGTCCATTGGATGATTCCATTCAATTCCATTCAATGATGATTCCACTCGAGTCCATTTGATGATTCCATTCGGTTCCATTTGATTATTCCCTTAGCTTCCATTCACTGACGATTCAATTCGATGCCAATGGACGTTTCCATCTGATTCCATAGCATGATGTTTCCATTCGAGTCCATTCAATGATACCATTCGATTCCATTCAACGATGATTTCATTCATGTCCATTCGATGTTTCCATTCGGTTCCATTCGGTGATGATTCCATTCGAGTCCATTCTATGATTCCATTCGATTCAATTTGATGATGATTCCATTCGAATCCTTTCGGTGATTCTATTCAATTCAATTCAATGATTCCATTCCATCCCATTTGATGATGCCCTTCAATTCCGTTCGATGATCATTTCATTTAATTCAGTGATCCCTTTGGATTCCATTTGATGATGATTCCATTCGATTCCACTCCATCATGATTACATTTGGTTCCATGTGCTGATGATTCCATCAGAATCCTTTCGAGGATTCCATGTGTTTCCACTTGTTGAAGATTCCATTCGTTTCCATTCAATGATGATTCCATTCGATTCCATTCGGTGATGATTCCATTCGTTTCCATTCGATGTTGATTCCATTCAACTTCATTTGATGATTCTATTTAATTCCGTTCGTTGATGATTCCATTCTATTCCATTCGATGATGATTCCATTCGATTCCATTGGATGATTATTCCGTTCAATTTTATCCGATGATTCTATTTGATTGCATTTGATGATGATTCCATTATATTCCATTCAATGATTCCATTCAATTCCATTATATGATGATTCTATTGTATTCCATTTGATGATGATTCCTTTTGATTCCATTCGATGATGATTCCATTCGTTTCTGTTAGATGATTCCACTCGATTCCATTCAATGATGATTCCACACGAGTCTGTTAGATCACTCCATTTGATTCCATTGGATGATGATTCCATTTGATGCCATTCCATGATTCCATTCGATTTCATTTGACGATGATTCCATTTGATTCCATTCGATGATTCCATTCGATGATGACTCCAGTCATTGCCATCCGATGATTCCGTTCGAGTCCATTTGATGATTCCATTTGAAACCATTTGATGAGGATTCCATTAGATTCCATTCATTGTTGATTATATTCAATTCTATTCAATGATTCCATTCCATTCCATTCGTCAATGATTCTGTTAGATTCCATTCGATGATTCCACTTGATTCCATTTGATGATGATTCCATTCGATTCCCTTCATTGGTGATTCCATTCAATTCCATTCAATGATTCCATTCCATTGCATAGGAACAATTAAAATATAATATTGTGAACATGTAAACTTATACCCTATGTTTATTTTATGTATAAGCATATATGATTAAAAATATAGTAATAATATTTAACCCTAGAATTATAAAATAAAAATTAGTTAACTTCTGATGATTATTTGTTAATTAAGATAAAATTATTTTGATTTGGGTGATTTTAAATAAAGAAAAATATTAAATTACATGACAAAAATTCTTTATAAAATGTTTATCATTTTTACATTGGTTTTATCACTTTATTCCACTATTTTATTTTAAGATGATCTGCCTTGTTTAAAACACTGTATTCATCTTAATTAAATTAAATTCCACTTGTAAACAAATTAACAAATGATTTGCTCTATTGTACAGTGCAGTTATAACCTGAGTCAGTATCTCAAGATTTGATCCCCATTATCATCATCTGTGGCCCTATTTGTTATATAAATGTATTCTCTTTTTACATGCCTGTCACATCTCTATTGCTCTTTCATTTTTCTCTTTGTGCCTTATAGGGAGCACTGCCTATCTCTAGATTAAGCAAACGTTGCATCTTAAAAAAGCACAATAACGTGCTCAAACTTTCTCACACAGAGAAATGTTTGTTAAGTAATTAAAGTGTAGATGATGATACAAAGAGCTTGATTAAATTAGATGCCAAAGTACCCTTGTGATTCAGAATATGAATGGTATTTAATTTCTTTGAAATCATTAATTGCTGAGTGACATTAATTAATGCCAATATTTCAGAAGTTGTTCTAGTTAGTGAAATGTATACAACATGCAAAAGATTCAGAACTCTGAAGGGCAACATTATTCTATAATTAAGAATTAAGAATTAATTCACATTAATTGTTGGGGAGAAATAATTATTAAGAATTAATGACAGAGAAAATGTTCTTATTTTTTATTTAGGAAATTATTTTTTGCATGAGCATTACCAAAAGTTTTGCAAGAACCATAAATTTAAAGAACAATTATGTGCACAAGAGGAATTTAGAAACATCTTGATATTTTCCATGATTACAGTTTTATTTGGTAAATATTTAAATGCACATCATCTAAAGATAATAAATGAATCTTGGAAATCTTGTAGGTAAGGGTAAATATTAGGATGCATCCAGTTACATTTACACACATATACAGTTACATTTACACATACATACATGCATACAGACAGATACACGTGTGTATATATACATATGAATTTACTAATTGATTTTAACTAATATTTATAAGAGCCAGTTGGATTGATATATTTTGTTGAACCTGAAAAATATTTATAATATACATGCTTAAAATACACACAGAAACAAATATTAATTGCACTAGGCATTTGAAACTGTACTAAAATATAAGCTGTGAACATTTTGTGATCATTACAAATTCTTACACTGAATATTTTTATTTTTACAATATTAAAATGTTTGATACCTGTGTATATTTTTTACAATGTGTTATTTTATTTTTGTCATAGAGTCATGTCATGCATAATAACATTTCAATCAAAGATGGATTACATATATAAAAGTGGTTCCATGAGATTATAATACATATTTTTACATACTTTTCTACGTTTAAGTATGTTTAGATACATAATCTCTTACCACTGTGTTCTTACTGCCTGCAGTATTCAGTACAGTAATGTAGTACACAGGTTTGTGGCCGGGGAGAGAGAGGTTATACCATATAACCTAGACGTGGTAGGCTGTACAATCTAGGTGTTTGTAATATTCTCCGTGATGTTTGCAAAATGAAGAAATTGCCTATGGATACATATGATAGAACCTATCCCTATCATTCAGTGATGTGTGACTGTACTAAAATGCTCAAGGTAGGTTTCAATTCCCTCCATAAAATTGTTGTACAGTGAAATACAAATCTCTCACCCATGGCCTGAATATGTTTGCAAACTAAGCAGATCATGGGAAGGAGAATATGCTGGCATCGCTGGGATGATTTTCTCACACTACATGAATAATATCTACAGACCATGAATATGAGCCACTTGCATAGAGTTAAAGTAGGCATGTCTTTGCTGGGAAATTTATCAAATGGGAGTATGAAGTGTTTTTAAAAGATACTTGTTTGTTTGTAGCTGGTAGGCCTAGAGTGGCTCATGGCAATGGTTGAGGTTGCTAAGATTTGGTGGCAGAAGGCAAAATGAAATGGCCACTTATATGGTATATGGTATATGGATCACTTGTTTCTGTTGAGTTACAGACTCAGCTGGCTATTTCTCCCAATGTTAGTTATTTGGAGAAAAAACGTGATGGTAATTTTGGGGTAACAAATACAATATTTGATGAAAGCAAATTTATTGAGGGTTAGAAAAACTACAAGACACTTTAGGCTGCAAAGTCAACACGAGACTTCTGGCCCAAATTCTGCAGAGTTTGCGTCCAGCTGCAAAGTTCAAAGGAAGAGGCCATATAAGACGATTCTCATTTCTGACACCAACTGCCAGTTCAGGGGTTTCCCCTGAACACCCTCAGTTTCAACAATTTACTAGAAAGAATCTCAGAACTCATTGAATGCCGTTGTACTCTTGGTTTATAATAGAGAAAGGGTAGAAATTAGGACCAGTTAAAGAGACATATCATATAATGTGGAATCTAGGAGATTTTGAATGTTAAGTTTTCATTGTCTTCGTGACATATTAACTGTCACTGTTGTACAGCAATAATCATGGAATGCTACCAACCTGGGGAGCTCACCTGATGCTAAAAAGACACTATTTAGAAAATGAAAAGACAAATGAAAGGATGAGATAAGATGACCTTCCACATTAAGGCACTGGAAAGAATAGCAAACTAAAACTAAAGCAAGCAGAAGGAAGAAAATAAAAATTGGAGAAATTAATAATTTATAATAATAATATTTGTTAGTGTTGAATAACTGATATTAATTCTTGACTAGCTTTTTTAAAAGAGAGAAATATTCACTTCCCAATTTATTCTGTAGGACCAGTGTTACCTTGACACAAAAAATAGTCCAAATAGCATAGAAAAATAAAACTACTGTAAGTATAAAGGCAAAATACCTTAAAAAATACTAACAAATCAGATCTAGCAACATATAAAAGAATTATACACTATGACAAAGTGAAATTTATACAAGTAATCCCAGGTTGGTTTAACAGCCCAAAATCCATTAAGGTAATACATCTTATCCATAGAATAAGAAACGAGAATTGCATGATCATCTCGATAGATTCAGAAAAGACTTTTACCAAAATCCAAATGTTTTAATGATTAAAAATAAAAATAAAAACACAATGAACCAGGAATAGAGAAATTTCTACACCAGATACATGGCACCTGTGAGAAGCCAACATCAAACATGCAACTTAATGGTAAAGGATGCTTTCCTGCTATGGTCAGAGATAAGAATAGGATGTATACTTTGACCTCTTCTAGTCAACACTGTACTAAAGATTTTATGCAGGGCAAATCAGCAACTAAAAACATAAGAGTCACCCATATTGAACAGGAAGAAATAAAACGTTATTTGAAAATAACATTCTTGTATATAAAAAATTTTAAGGAATCCACTGAACAATAGAACTAGTAAATTATTCCAGCAATATTACAGCATACAAGATAAATGTACAAAAACCAATTGCACACATCTACAATGAAAACCCAAAAATGAAATTAAGAAAACAATTTAAAATAGCATCAAAAAAAGAAATAATAATTAATTTGGAAAATGTGATACAAGAGTTTACTCTGAAAATTAAAAATTATTGTTTAAAGAATATCTAAATAATTAGCAAACATCTTACAGCCATGAATTGGAAGATTTAATATTGTGGTACTTTACAATTTGAACTACAGATTGATGAAATCCCTGCAAGTATCCCAACAGACTTCTGTCTAGAAACTGATAAGCTGATTCTGAAATACACATGGAATTGTGAGGGACCCAAAATAGCCAAAATAATCTTGAAAAAAGAAAATATATTAGGATAATTCACACCCCCATGCTCCAAACCTTACTGCAAAGTATCAGTAATCAAGACAACACAATATTAATGAGGGAAAAATATATAGATTGATGGAAGAGAATTGAGAGTCCATATATAAAACTATGTGTATATAGTCAATGCATTCTTAAAGTGGTGCCGTGTGCAATTCAACGAGGAAGAGACGGTCTTTGAACAAACTAGGTCAACAACGTTCACGTGGATCACCACTTGCAAAATAATAAATTTGAACCTTTACCCCAAAGCATACAAAAATATTAACTCAAATGAATTAAAGACACACATGCGAGAGCTAGAATAAAGCATATGGGAAAATCTTCAGTATTTTGGATCTAGCAAAGGAATAGCTGTAACACCAAAAACATGAGCAAGAAAATAAAAATTAGATATTTAAAATTTCTTAAAAATTAAAGACATTGATGTTTCAAAGGACAACCAAGTAAGTCAAAAGGCAACTCAAAAATTGTGAGAAGATATTTGAAAAACACGTATCTATATGTCTGTATATACATGTATCTTGAATATAGAAAAATTGTTTTAACTCAGTAACAAATATCCCAACTCAAAACTGATAAATGATAGGAATAGATGTGTTTCCCAAGAAGATACACGAACGGTCAATAATCCCATATAAAGATACTCAATAGCATCACTCATCAGGCAACTACAAATCAAAACCACAGTTAGATACTCTATGGCTAGAACTGGCCACTTTGGAAAATAATTTGATGGCTTCTAAATATATTGAACATTGAATTGTCATATGACCCAGAAATTTATTCCTAGGTATACACCCAGATTATTGGAAAGAGGTGTTCAAACACAAATTGTACACAAGTATTTTTAGCAGCAGTATTGAAAATAGCCAAAGGCTGAACACAACTTAAATGTAAATAAAAATATTATTGGATAAACAAAATGTTTTATCCATGAAATTGAATGTTATACAGTTATAAAAAGAAATAAAGTACCAATACTTACATGAAACTTGATAGCATTATCCCAACTGAAAGAAGCCAGGCAGAAAAGGCCACCTAATTTATGATTCTATTTAGATGAAAACAGAATAGGAAAATCTATAGAGACAGAAAACAGATTTGTGGTTGCTTAGGATTGAGTAGGGGATGGGTGCATAGGAGGTTAACAGCTAGAGAAGGTGGGGTTTTTTTTTGAAGTGGTGAAAGTGTTCTAAAATTCATTGTGATGATGGCTCCACTTATCTGTGCACATACTAAAAGCCAGTGACTTGTAGACATTAATGTGTGCACTCAACACTATGTAAATTATATCTCAATAAATCCTTTCACAAATACACGGAGGAGTAAGGGTTTTTGGAATGTTGCAGATGGGAGGCAGTTTGAAATACTGATTAGGCCTCATCGAGAATGTAAAGTTACAGTAAAGACTTGAGGAAGTTGAATGAGCTGATGAATGGATATATGGAGGACTCTCTTTCCAAGCCAAGAAATTAACTAGAGCGTTGGTCATAAGGCAGCAGCCTGTTGGCATGTCCAGAGGACATTGAGGTGGCCAGGACCACTGGTAAGACCAAGGGTGAAGATATAAAGAATCTTGGCGGTTAACATGTGGCAGATCATGATGGGCTTGCAGATCATTGTAAGAATTGTTGTTTTTAGTGTACATGAAATGGGGAGACAAATCATTATCCCATTATCAATATTTTAATAAATTGGATCCATGAACCAAATCCAATGAGATTAAATCAATTAATAATAATATGCAAACATATTAAAATTACAAGAATTACTTGCACATTTGAGAAGAGGAGAGTCATGATTGTTTATCAGGAATAATAAACATTATTAATTTTCATTGTGATCAGCTAATTGAGATTAATTGCAATACATCATGCTTTATAATGTGACTGTCAAAAGGAAAATATGATTATAATCTTATATTACATCTATCAATGTCTTTGATTCATAAGACTATAGAGTAAGCCCCTAGTTTTCAAAGCCAGCTGATGAGGCAGTGACATCTTATGGAAGTTTGCTGCTTTCTGCCACAGTGATCCTTGGTCAGCTGGCACAAATTCTTTTACAAATGGCCCTAGGTCTAAAAATAGTTTGGATCACAATGAACACAGAAACACCTTCATCCCTTCAGAAATACCCATCAATTACTTCCAATACAGAAAGAAAAATTGACAAAGGAAATATGTGGATTGTAAAAATGCCAGTTAGCTTGCACCTACATGAAAGAAAAATCCATTTTTATTACATTAGATCATTGTTTTACTTCAGTTTTGGTATAGCACAATGTTGAACCAAGGGCAAAGAGAGATGAATTAATGAAGTCTTAACATATCAAGAATTTGAAAGAAAAGGTAGGTCATCTTTGAAGGTTAGTGACATAGCATTCATCTTCTGTTGTCACCTTTTCCGTCATTTCCTGTATGCCTGATGGACAGGTTTCACTCAAGTTCAGAGAACAGCATGCAAAATCAGCTACCAATTAATCTTTATGAAGTGAGCTGCATTTCTAGCCAGACTGAGCTTACGTTTTAGCAGGAAGCATTTTTGGGAAATGTTTATGTTAGAGTTTGCCCTTCTTGACAAGGTGAGACATAAATGTCTACTTTAGAGACATGAATTAAGACGGGAAGATATTTGGGGGAATCATTTACTCAAACGCAAAATAATAAAGGTACACAACGGGCAAATTATACTAGATTTCTTTCCCACTTGTTTTCTATGTCTCATGCAATTATCCTTGATTCCTTTCAGTTTCTGTTTAATGTAGAAAGTGGCATTTTCATTATTTTAAGCTTCTAGCACAATGAAAGAATTTCTCTTTTTCATGAGCAGGATCATAAATGAAAGGGAGGAAGAGTGTCCTATATCATATTTATTGTTCAACCAAACACTGCTCCACGGCTTACATTCAGTTTAAAAAAGAGAATTTATTGAACATCTAACACATACATAAAAGGCAGTAAAGACAAATGTGAAGAGGGAAGGATATTGAAGTATACAGACTTCAATGCTGAGTTTTATATCTTAGGAAGTTATTCCACCTTACAGAGGCTCAATTTCCCCTGATTTAGGAAGACGATGCTACTGGGTATTGCATAGGTGCAAGTATAAAAATGTTGTATTTAAGAGAATCCCACAAGCTTGGTAAAAGGCAGAAAATAAATAGATGTGACATGAATAAGTAGTTTATTACATTTGTATGCTACCTGCGGACTAGAGGAAGCAAGAAACACAGCCACTATGCTTGATTAGCATTATAGAGATGGTACAATGATGGTTGCCAGAAACTGGGGGGAGGAAGAAATGGGGAAGTATTGTTTAATAGGTATAGACTTTCAGTTTTACAAGATGAAATGATTTATGGAGATGGATGGTAGGGACGGCTGCACAATGTTATGACTGTATTTAGTACCACTGAACTGTACACTTAAAATGGTTAACAGAGCACATTTTATGTTATGTGTATTTTACCACAATAAAAAAATAAAATACTTTAACAATATTTTCATGAAAAAGCCCACATAAAATTCATTTTAATGCACGTGTTTATGCATAGCTTTCTATTTTTCTCTTTTCTCTTTATATTCCAAATTCTAATCAGAGAAGGGAATCCCCTCTGTACCTCCAGGATATTCAGTAAAGACCACTGGAGTTTCATGCCCTAGTGACAGTGTTCATTTAGTTCCAAATTACAGATGGCTCTAGACTAACTCCACAAAGTTTAAAGAGAAGATTTAAAACAACAACAGACAAATACTCATCCTGAAGTTACTGAACTGCCTGCCACAACATTGTTCAAAGGTAGCCAACAAAATCTAGATATTCAATAGCATAAAATCAAAATACACAAAAAAATCTCTGACATGCAAAGAAGCCGCAAAATATATATAATTAAGATATATATTAACAGGATAAAAATAAGACATTTATAAATGACGGAAAAGAAGGGAATTTCAACGTCCTTAAAGTAAATATATTTTATAAATACATATAGATAAATACATATATATGTCAAGGTACTTAAATGAAAATTGAACATAGGAGAAAAATAGAAGTTATAAAATGAGAAATGTGACATGTATAGATGAAAAATAAATATTTGAAATAAAAATTCCATGAGATAGAATAAGTAATGGATTTTACCCTAACATCAGAAAATTTATAGAAAAAAGTAGAAGCTTTACAAACTAAAGGACAAAGGGTAAACTAAAATAAGAAAGCCAGAAACTCACTGATACTTCAGACAATATGCAGCAGTGTAACATACATGTAATGATTATCTCAAAAAGGATGAATGGGGGAATTATAGGTGAATAAAGAATGGTACACTCATTCCTGAGGGCACCGAGGAGGGAGGATAGCTTCAGATTTCTAAAGGAGGGTATTATCCATTCATGAAGGTCCAACACCATGAACAAACACCTCGCAGTAAGCCCCGCCTGCTACATTGGGGATCAAATTTTAACATGAGATTGGAAGGGGCAAGCATTCAAACCATAGCAAGAGTTAAATTTCCTTTTTAAAAAAATCACTGATATGATTCCATTTCGCCATAGATAAAAGCTAGTATTTCAGCCTACCATTGAGTGTGCTTATAGCTCACCAAAAGGGCACTCTGTCTCGGGAATATAGATTTGCCTAGAGGTATCCTAGTGCATTCAAAGAAAGAGCAATGAGGGATAGAAAAGGTTAGTGATGGAGACACCAGCGCTGCTTTTTGCAACCAACAATGTAAAAATTTTACGGATTGGTTCTGCTAACTTACTACAGTTTACATTCCTCTCAGGTGGGAGAATTGTTGCGTTTTATCTCAAGATAGAAAAGCAATTCATATAATCTGAAATCTCCACAAGAAGGGTAAGAAGCACAGCAGAAAGTATTCTAGGCAGGAAGTCAATCCTTTCAACTGTCTGTGCTCCATAGAAACAATTGTCTGCACTGGGAGTCATATGAAGTACAGACAACAGCCAGACCTCTGATCCTCTCATTAGTGATTTCAGAAGAAATTACCAGTCAACTGAGTAATTCACTGAGTAAAGTAAACATTTGGCACTGAAAGAGGTTAGACGGATAACTATTTGTATCACCATATTCACGAAGCTGGAATATTTTCCATTACTGGTATCACATCTGAATGGAAGATGTTAAAAGGTCTCTCATCTTGTAAGATGGATATGAAAGAACATTTTCTGAGAAATGAAATTATGAACACACCTGCGAGGTGGATGGAAGAGAAAAAAAAAGAATAATCAGCTTGAGTTCTTCTCCTTGATAAGACAACTCACTAAAAACATAAAGAGAAAAATACAAGTTTAAAATAATTAACCAGAAGAAGACGACTCAAGAGATTTTAAATTGCTGATAAGATTTTGATTTGCTCCAAATTGAAAAGAATTATATTGCGTGTGTTTTAAGGCACATAATGAGCAATTATATCACACATGATAGTTTCAGCAGTAAAATATGATCCGTTAACAGCTGGAACTCATAAAAGCATAGCACAATGTGAAGATGGAATTTGCTAAAATAAACCATCTGCTGAAAACTACTATTCTGCAAATTTAAAAATAAAGTTTAAATGTTATTTCTCTTATTTAATAGGTCTGTGAAAAAAATGAGCTCTTGGAAAAGTAGCTGCTACCTTAATTAATTCTTTATATCAGACGGCTGGTTACAGTAATGCACAGTAAGGTGCTACATAGATATATTGCTAAATTTTCTGCATATACTATGTATTTGGCTTAAATTATTTGAAATTTTATAGTTAAAATAACAAATGTATATTTAAATGTTTTGACACATATTGCAAATATACCTTTAAAAAGCGTCTTACACTCTAAATATTATTTGTCACCTATATATTTGTCTTTTCTCTATAGGAAAGTTTAAATTTTTCCCTTGAAGCTTTAATTATTTGAGTCTATATACCAAACTGATAATGTACAAATTAACAGGAAAAAAAGGTTTACAGATATGTGCACAAGTATGCACTTGGAGTTTACATAATATATATAAATAAATCTATACAAATATTTGTATATTATAAATAGATATACAAATATATACTATATATATAAAAACTCCAGGAAAGGCAAGGTAGTCAACACGCCTATGCTGTCTTGAGGTTACAGAAAACACAGAGCTGTAGGTTGGTAAATCAGGCTTTGCGGAAGACAGGTGAGGAGAAGGAAGAAAAAGGAGCCTGGCAGCAGAGGTGGTTTTGTTACATGGATGAAACCTCACAGGGAGCAGCCCTCCTCTTGGGAAGTATGGATAGGAAATGGTTTCTAGAAATGTAAACGTGCCAGGCTCAGTTAATATTTCCTAAACCCAGACAAGGGAGTATCTCAGGGAAAGCCTGTCTATAACAATGCAGATTTTCTCTACAAATGCAAATCTCCCCAACAAACAGAGCTTTTCAGCTATTCTTGTAGAAGAAGCTATCTCCAGTCTTCTGGGTAGCCATTTTGAAATATGTCAAAAAGCTGGCCAGGCGCACACCTGTAATCCCAGCATTTTGGGAGGCTGAAGTGGGTAGATCACCTGAAGTCAGGATTTGGAGAACAGCCTGACCAACATGGTGAAACCCCGTCCCTACTAAATACAAAAAATTAGCGGATTGTGGTGGTGCATGCCTGTAATCTCAGCTACCTGGGAGGCTGAGCTAGGAGAATTATTTGACCCTGGGAGGCTGAGGTTGCACTGAGCCAAGATTGTGCCATTGCACTCTAGCCTGGGAAATAAAAGCAAAACTTCATCTCAAAAAAAAATGTATTTTAGGGTAATATTTTGAGTATCTTTACCACCATATGTACAATAAATATTATTGTGATTTTTAATCTTTTCTGTGGAGAAAACACAGGTGTGATTTCTAGTGTAGCTGAACATCGTTTATTTGACAATATTGCACTTGGGTGTGGGTGTGTGCGTGTGTAGCTACTCTTTAATTTTGTTCTCGCATAATGATTAGATATTAACAATTAATTCAGTCAAATGTATGTTTTGCAATAATTCTCCATGTTATCGTGCTTTAAATTAGTTTATTCCTGCCCCTATAATGTGTACATTTTAACCGTTGACTATAGGTCTCAATCTTACTTCGGTTCCTGTGTTTGAATTTACGCCAATAAAGTCCTACAGCTAAAAAAGATTATATAAACTTATGTACATTTTTACTAGTATTCTGGTGTCATTTTAAATTATGTAATGAAATCAAATTTTAATTTGGATTATTGTTATGAGAGTTAAGGACATATATTTTTCATTTTCTTATAAATATTAAATAACTATTTCTGAACCATATATTGACTCATCTGCCCTTTATATGATGTGCATTATAAGAGCTTGGGATTGTTTCATTTGCAAAGATGAATCATTGAGAAGTAGATATTTAATCATAACATTTCAAAATCTACAGGATAACCTGGAATTGAAAAATAGCGTATAGGTTGAAAAACTCCTGTAGTGAAGAAAGGAAATAATAATATATAGTGACAATATAAATATTAGAAGTATTTATTTTATTATCGTGCTGAAATTTAATAATACAAACATGTAATATCTACATATCATCCATATATCAGGTCATAAAAAATCAATACATTCTTCAAAAATTTAGCATAACAGAAAATACACTCTCTCTCCTTGATGGAATTAAGTTACAAATAAAAGTAAAAATAAGTAGATAAGTAGATGGAAGTAGATGTTTAAAAACAAAGAAAGTATTTGTTTTGGATAACATAAAATCTGAATGGACAATTCCAATATTTCCAGAACTTTGGCTGTCAACTGGTGGAGAGTTCTCCCCAAGAGACATTTGTCAATGTCTAGGGTTATTGTGGGGATGTCTAGACTGGTGGAGGTGTGAAATATAGAGGTCAAACGAAACACTTAGCATTGCTAGGGCAGCCTCTCACAACAAAGAATCCTCTGGTCCTAAAGGTAAGTAGCACCAAGGTTGAGAAACCATAATCTAGACAGTAAACACTACGTAGCTATTCCAAGTGCTCAGGAAAACACATCAGTGCCCTCGAGGGGAAAAGTGTAAACATTTTAATTGCTGTACATGGTGACACAAATCCATGTTGTTAATCTACTTGGAAGGGGCTGAAGCACAAAACGTAATACAAAGAGTTTACTTGAGCCAAAATGAGGACAGCTACCTGGAAGAAACAGACCCAAGTATCCTTGGATATGAACTCCCTTTGGAGCTTTGCAACAATAAATTTCTTAAAGGCAAAAAAGGGTCCAGAAGTGGGATGATGCAAAGAGGTTTGTCACAAATTCTCATTGGCTTATGGAAATAACATTTATTAGTGACTGGCTATATACTGTTACACTATTATTGGGTGCAGATTATAGTGTCGGGTGTGTCGTTATTGGTTAATTTATAGCTACTGTGGCAACAGCAAGCAGCCTAGATGAACACACACCTCAAAGAGGAGAAGGACAGAACTGCTGTCTCATTTGAATATCTCTCTGGGCCTGATTATTTAAAAGGACTTGCATTTCTCACATGAAAGTTATTTCCTTTTCTCAATGTCTATAAATGAGAATAAATAGACGTAAAATAGATCTTTTCGAGGATGAAGTAAATGGAATGAAAACCAAAACCCAAGCTGACCAGAAATCATAGAGGGAAGAAAAGTTTATAAATATATGGATCTGTCAAAGTGATTTTAAGCTATTAGGAATCAGTTAAATGTTGGGGGATTTTGTCTGAGAATGGGCTAATGGAGAATGTCCCTTTTGCCTTCTGAAGTTTCCCTGAAAATCACTAAGAGAAAGCAGATAAATAGTAGAAAAGGCATACAGGTTTCTGCAATGTGTGTACACTGGAGCCCTTAGAACGAAGACCCAGACACACGATGCGTGCAGAAGCTTATCTACCACATGAAGTTTACAGAAAGAATGGGGTCTTGGATCACAGGGAAAAAAAAAATGTTGTGTGAGAAAACGACCCTGGTTAGCAAAAGTGGACTTATTGCATAGGTGGAATCTCACTGGGAGCAGTCCTCATAGAGGATAGACAGAAAATGTTTCTTTCAGACCTTTGGAGACCTCAGACTCTCATTTAAGCTTTCCGAGATCCAGACAATGGGGCAGAACTCAGAGAAAGCCTGGCTGCATCAAGGCAGATTCTCTACCGATGCAAATCTCCCCAAGACAGCTTTGCAGCTATGTTTGCATTTCCAGCCCTTCTTAATAGCCATTTTGAAATTTATCAAGGAAATATATTTAGGGGTAAAATATATTAGTTTCCTTCATACAGCTATAAAACATACAAGAATAATTTTTGTCAATGTCTACTACAAATCCAATAGAGCAGTAATTATAAAAACCACCAGATACTGAAGAAAAAATATGTGGAGTACATCAATTTCAAATGTTGATAATAAAATGCCAAATAAAATAAAAATAATATTCAACAATGTTTGAAACAGTAAGACAAGGTATTGGAAAAATAATAAAACAAATATCCACCTTGGGGATGAAAATGTGTTTCCAAATTTGGTAATCCAATAATATTAATAATCATATTGATTAGCCCAAATTAAAAATAAATAGGGGATTCTCAGTACATGCTAAAATATATTTGTTAGAAGACAATATTCATGTCTTTAAAGATTTTAAATGCTATAAAGAGTCTGATATTCTATATGCAAACATGTGTATGTCCATTAGAAGAAGAGAGTCCTGATTTTCGTATGTTACTACTTGGAGATAGAGAAGTGGATACATTAATTTTCATATGCATAGAGAAAGCATAAAATAGAAATTTACTATCATATTAAAGGAATTTTAATTCAACAATAAAATAATTCAGAGGTAAAATTTTAAATATTTTTAACAGGTACATTATTAATATTAGATATTATTTATAATAATTGTGAAAATACTCAATGCTAAAATAAGATAGAATGTCTAAATATCAGTATTAAAACTAGTATAAATATTTGCTTGTTTATACAAGGAAAATTCAAGCTCGACCTAAAATTATATAGGAAATAAAAGAAAAATTTTAAGGGAGCTCTTTAATAACATAAACATATATATATATACACACACTTATAGCATGTATATATGTTATATGGGATAGATATAGATTTACATGTTATATCTATATTTGTATCTATAACTACAGCAGTATGTATCTACATTTCTATATATATACTCAGTGATATAAATATAGACTGGAATAAACATAAAGACTCATATGATTCTTGGATAAAAAGGATTTAGTATCATAAAGACAAATTCTTTCCAAATTCACTTATGAATTCACAAAAATATACAGTTTCATTAGCATAATTTAAAATTTTTAAATAAATTCCAAGATTCTTTTAAAGGAATACGCATGTATACAAGCATTGAAGAAAGGAGCAAGAGTGCACTAAACTAACTTGCTATTAAAATACATTTTTAAACTTAGTAACTAAAACTGAGTAGTACTGATTTGGAGTACTGGAATTTAGGTATATGGGATCTCAAAAGCACAGAGCTCAAAGGAGACCCCTATATGCACGAGAGCTTAGGATGTGCTTTAGAAGGCATTACCAATCCACAGGAAAAGTTCCTTTAGTGTCTTAGTCTTACTAGGTTTGAAAAGCCAGAGAAAAGACTCAAGACCACCATATAAGAACAAAACAAAAGGACAGGGAGAGAATGTGAAGATACTGAAACATTATACAGAAAGTTGTATAAAACATCCTTTAACGAAAATGTAAAATTTAGGATATACATCAAAATCAGCAAAGCCACTAAATAAATAAATAGGCATTGTAAAATAGCAAGAGAAAACTTAAGTGGATTTCTAAAAATTATTGCCACCTATGATTTTTAAAATATGTTTAAGAAATCCCGTATTTCACAGGGCAGCCTTTCACAACACAGATATGTTAGGACATAAAGGTCCTTCTGTTTTTAATTTACTAGTGTGTATAGGTTTACAAATATCTTCTACCCTTGTCTTCTGTCTGATGGTGCAAACAATTTTCATTAGCATGTATTTCTGAATGCCTGATTTATTGACATATATAGTATGCTGCTAGTATTAAAATATGTGATGGAAAACCCATCCAATTTTCTCACTGTTTACATAAATTCTAGACTTCTCCTATTTACCTCAAACACATATGGAGCGAATTCTTACCTTTTAATATTGCCATGGCATTCACATTGAACATAAGTTGAACTCTCTCATATGTTAGCTGGGTTCAGATTCCCTTGACAATTTCCAGTTCTAACCCTCACAGTTCCTCAGTGTGGCTGGCCCAGATATTGACCCTACACATTTGCCTCCTCCTGGTGATTACCAGCTCTGGAACCATTGGATACAACCTACCTGACTCACCTCACAGACCTCACAGCACACATGGACATCCCCCACACGCCAGAGTGACCTGGTTGGTTGCAGCAGGAGTCAAGAAATGTGCCTGCTGGCACTCACCCCACCGACTAGTGCCCCGTGGAAAACTTATTTGAGTAATGTTCTGGGCCTAATAAAGGCTGGAGTCCCACAGACTCCTTTTCTCTCTCCTGCTCCCCACTCATCTTCCCCATTTTGTTCAGCCCTATGAGGTGTGCTACTCTATTAGTCCATTTTCACACCGCCGGTAAAGACATGCCCAAGACTGGGTAATTTCTAGAAGAAAGAGGTTTAATAGATGCACAGTTCCACATGGCTGGGTAGGCCTCACAATCATGGCACAAGGTGAAAGGCACGTCTCACATGGCAGCAGACAAGACAAGAGAGCTTGTGCAGGGAAACTCCCCTTTATAAAACCATCAGATCTTGTGAGACATATTCACTATCAGAAGAACAGCATGGGAAAGACCTGCCCCCATGATTCAATTACCTCCCACCTGTTCCCTCCCTCAACATGTGGGAATTCAAGATGAGATTTGGCTAGGGTCACAGCTAAACCCTCTTCTCAGCTACCCTCTTCTCTCTGGATCTGTGAGTAATAAACCTACTTCTGTGATTTCCCATGTTTGGTTCTGTGGCCTCCATGGTCTGAGCTGACCTACACTGGAACCTAACTCTCCTCCTGGCCAAGGTCTCTGAGAGTGGCTCTTGTCAGAAATACACAGGACACAGGTCAGGCAACAGTCACCAGGCCTCTCCTAGTCTCAACAGATGTTCTGTGAGAGGGAGGCCTGGTCGTGGGATGCACACCTGGCCACTGCTGGGGTAAGGAAGTGTCCTGTGAAAGGCACATGTTAAGCATCCACAACCCCCTGACCAGAAACCCAGAAAGGCAGGGCTCCAATTGACAGTCACTCTCCAGAGACAAACCTCAATCCCCAACTGGAGGAAAAGAGAATAATGTAAAATGTTGAATTTATCTTACTATTTCAATGATCCAGTAAAGACATTCTATGCCTGTACACCACATATTTTCTTCGATTGTGGATTTATTTTAGATAGAATTTTATGTCTAGCTTTCACTTTAGCCTGGTCCCTACCTCAAGCATAAGGTAAAGATTTTCCATGGGTTATTTTCTGGTACTACTACCTGCCAGTGTGGGGTCATGTCCTAGTCTATCTTGAGGGAAACCCCCTGTTCATTATTGTCAGAGTGAGACTGTTAAGTCTTGATTTTCCTGGACAACTTCACTGCATGACTTTTAATATGATTTTTTAATATACCCTTTACTGGACAATAAATTATATACCTATCTGAGTAAGAGATATGGTCAGGAAGAGGCATTGCCTCATTCAGCTTTTCTCTTTGGTGAACTCGCATATGTTCTCCTCACCCACCAGTCACCTCTAAACTGTATTGTTCCAAGACAACAAACAGAACTTGAGTGTGTATCTTTCACCACTGGATTTGTGTTTGTTCCATAAATCTTCATGCTTAATAGTGTTTCTGTTAGCATTTTCTCTATTTATTTTCCCATAAAATATCACAGGCCTTCTTCCTATGGAATTATGGGTGATTTCCTTCAATCTGCATCGTATCAAGTTGAGGTTCATGTTGATGAAAAGTAAAACATACGTTGAAAATATCAGTAATGATGTTTTCCCCTCCTTTTTAGCATCTGTGCTTGTGATACAAGCATATGTTAATACAATTGTAGTCTCATGCTTTGATCATTCCTATGATGAAAATAACATTTTTAGTTAAAATATGTGAGTTTTATGAGGCCTTTAGTATGTGATGTGATAGAATATCAGAAGACCATACTTTTTTCTAGTTTTCCATGCAAATCTATCATTGTTTCATCTTTACTCCTACCAGAGTAATTTTCCAAAATTGATATCTTGTCATTCTTCCTATTGTTATCAGTAAATAACTGAAATGAAAATCTAGATTATATAATTTATCTAGAACAAGAAATTAGAATTGAATCTATATTCATTAATGAGACTAACCAGTCAATTACACAGATAGGCATTTTACATTTTGAAGATCATATGGACCCATTGTCAGAAATATTATTATTTATGTCTATATGGACATCACCTGTGCATATTTACATAGAAATCAAGGAGAGCTGATTTTTATTTTTATTATACATATTTTTTGGAATAGGGTCTTTCTTTGTTGCCCAGGCTAGAGTGTAGTGGTGCAATCACTTCTCACTGCAGCCTCAGCCTCCCAAGCTCAAGCAATCCTTCCACCTTGGTCTTCCAAATAGCTAGGACAACAGGTGCACATTACCATGCCCCTTTCTTTGGTTTTAACTTTTGGTAGAGACTGGGTCTTGCTATGTTTCCCAGGTTGCTTTTGAACTCCTGGGCTCAAGGAATCCTCTCATTTCAGCCTCTTCAACTGCTGGTATTACAAGCATGAACCACCGTATGTGCTGGAAGCTGATTTTTAAAATACTGAGATCATATAGATGACAGCGCCTGAAAAATAGACAACACCAAGCTTTATGTTAAAAGGTGTGAGGGTGTCAATATTGTTGTGGCTATTGGGGAGGAGAACATTAGTAAAACCAGTAAGTTAAAGCTCTTGCTTTAAACTTGGCTTTAATTTAAAAAATGTTCTATGGAGTGACAGTATGTATGTAACCATGCTATGCCCATTCACAGATGCAGTAGAGGGAAGAATTTCTCAAAGACAACTGTTCTAAGACTCAAATTAAATCGTACTGAGTTTGAAAAGAGAAAGTCCAGGAATTACCAAATATTTTAGATATCAGATAAAAGAGAATGCCAGGTATGCGATGATAATCAGCAATGCTTGTTCACACAATACATCACATCAGTATTTGAATTAGCTTTTGAATTACAAGGACAAATGGATCAAGTCTAGACTCTTTAGTAGATAAATCTTATTAGGCTGAGATGTGTTTTCCCCTGGCTTTCCACAAGGAGATTACAAATTTGCAAACCTCAGATGCTCTCATTTTATGCTCTCACCAATCCAAAAGCTGAAGTTCATCAATCAGTGTGTCTAAGTGTTCACTGGTTATATACCATTTTGTAGTTTCAGGTATCTTTCCAACTTCCTAAATCATCACCTTCATTTGATCTTGTTTTTTTCCACCATCACTTCTTTATTGACCATATAAAGAATATAAGTAAGTTCTTATTTTGTTATTGTTCATTTTAGTCTAATTTCATCAAAAGATCACAATCTTTTAATTTCATTTTAATTTCAAAGATTAAATGAAACCTACATAGAAATGAGTGTAAGATTTGCATTTGCATTATTTTGGCATCAATTTGCTATCCTCCCTCATGCACATAGAGATCATTTCCATTTAAGTGATTTCAAACGTCCAAGTGCAGTATTAAAAGCAGTTGTAAATTATGGTTCTCTTTTTCATGATAAAATTACAATATAAACTTCCTCTTGCTGCTGTAACCAATTACCACAAACTTCATGTCTTACAATAAAGTGACCGTTAATCCTACAGTTCTGTAGTTCAGAAGCCTTAAATGAAACTCACAGGGCTAACATCAAGTTTTGGGCAGGGCTGCAGTCTTTCTGAGGGCTATGTGGAAGAATCTATTACTTGATTTTTTTCAGCATCCGGATTCCACCTTTATTCCTTGGAACATGACCTCATTCTTATATCCTATTTTTCTTTTTTTTTTTTTTGTGATGGAGTCTGCTTCTGTCTCCCAGGCTGGAGTGCAGTGGCACGATCTCAGCTCACTGCAACCTCTGCCTCCAGGGTTCAAGTGATTCTTCTGCCTCAGCTTCCTGAGTAGCTTGGACTACAGGCACTTGCCAACATGCCCAGTTAATTTTTTTGTATTTTTTAGTAGGGATGTGGTTTCACCATGTTAGCCAGGATGGTCTCGATATCCTGACCTCGTGATAAACCCACCCCAGCCTCCCAAAGCACTGGGATTAGGCATGAGCCAGTGCGCTGGGTCCTCATTCTTGTATCTTAAACATCAGTGATTTTGAGTAATTTCTCATGCCACCACCTCCAAGGTTGCCTTTCTTCTGCCTTCTTCTTTCACTTATAAGGAAGTTTGTCATTTCATTGATCCCACCCATTTAAGACAATCTCTCTATCATTTTCCCGCAACCTTAATTTCACTTGAAATCTAAATTCACACTGCCATGCAACCTAACATATTTGTATGTTAGACTCTGGGAATTAGGACATGAAAATTTTTTGGAGGCCATTCTTTTGCCTACAGTAGACATAGTATATTTACCTGCAGATTAAACATTCTTTATTTTTCTGTCTCCCTCTCTTAGTTTTTTTTAAAATAATATGAATTGTAGTAAAGAGAAAGAAAGAAAAGAAAACAAAGAAAGAAAAAGAAGGAAGGAAAGAAGGAAGGAAGGAAATAAAGAAAGAAAGAAGAAAGAAAAGAAGGAAGAAATGAGGGAAGGAAGGGAGGGAGGGAGGAAGGAAGGGAGAAAAGCAGGAAGGGAGAAAAAACAATGCATGAACACAAGAAAGAAAGAAGAAAGAAAGAAAGAAAGAGAGAGAGAAAGAAAGAGAGAAAGAGAGAAAGAAAGAAAGCAGGAAGGGAGGAAGGACAGGAGGAAGAGAGAATGGTAAAAGGGAGGAAGGCAAAGAAAGAAAGAAAAAGAGGCGAAGGGAGGAAGGAAAAAGAGGAAAGGAAGGGAGGAAGGAAGGAAGAAAAGGAAGGCGGGAGGAAGGGAGAAAATAGGAAAGAAAGCAAGAACGTGAGAAAGAAAGAAAGAATACGAGAAAAGAAGAAAGAAAAGGGAGGGAGAAAGGAAGAGAGGGAGGAGGGAAGGCAGAATTAGGAAAGAAGGAAAGAAGGAAGGAAGGAGACAAAAAGAATGAAAAGAAAGAAAGGAAAAGAAAAAAGAAAAGAAAAGGAAGAGGAAAAGAAGAAAAGAAGGAAGAAGGGAAGGGAAGAGAATAGAAAGGAAGATGGAAAGAAAGAAGGAAGAACGCAAATATTAGAAATTCTGGGTTTGTTAGATAATATGCCATACTGTTTTTTTCATTTGAAAAGAAAGAGTATCTGCCATTGAAGATTGGATGTCTTGTTGGTGATATTGTTGTTCTTATCTTCCACATGATTACTGAGTTTGTGACTAGTCTTTCCATTACTGAGACAAAAGTGTTGAAGTCTGCAAATATAATTTTTGATTTTTGTAGTTCACCTTTGATTTCTTTCCTGTTTTACCTCATGTATTTGGAGGTTCTGTTGTTAGCTGCATACCCTAATTAGTAGGATGTTTACATCTTCTTGAGAATAATTATATTATCTATTATCTCTCATCTCTGATAGTATTTCTTGTTCTGAACTCTGTTGTGTCTAATATCAATGTAGTCCTTCCACAGCCTTATTTTAGTGTTTTCATGATATTGCTTTCTCCATTTCTTGATGATAACCTATTTATATCTCTGTATATTTGGAGCAAGATATAAAATTTAGACTTGATTTTTTAAAGATTTTTCCAGATATAATTCTTATTTCTTTGTGTTCTATTTGACATTCTCTGAGTATCCTGTATCTGAAGTTTGATTTTCCTTCACTTATTTTAGAATATTTTTGGCAGTTATTTTGAAAAATATTTCTTTTTCTCCATTATTTTTCCCTCTTTTGTTTTTGAGATTTCAATCATAACTAGAGTAGTTAATTTCATCTCAGTCTTATGCAGGTACTTTTTCTCAGGGTCTCAGGAATGTAGGCTTCTCACACTTCTGTTCTTTTCCTGGCTGTGTTGTTGAGCTCAGTGATATTCCTGCTTCACCTTCAAGAGCAGTTTTGTTTTGTTTTTCCTGTTTTCATACTCCCAGCATCAGGAGTATTCTAAGTGTGGCAGATTTTGTTGTCTTCCCCTACATATTAAGCGGAATATCTTGGTCTATTTGGACTCTTATAACAAAATAACATAAACTGGGTGACTAAAAAACAACAGATATTTCTTTTTTCACACTTCTTGAGGCTGTAAATTCTCAGGTCAAGGTGCTCACAAATTCAGTGTTGATGAGAGCCAATTTTATGGTTCATAGACGGTGCATTCTTTCTATGTCCTCACATAGTGGAAGGCACACAAGAACTCCGTTGAGCTTCTTTTATAAAGGCACTAATCCCATTCATAATGGCTCGGTCCCCAAGACCTGGTCACCTCCCAAGTGTTCTGCTCTCCTTGATCTGTGTCTTATACAGACTCTCTTGGATTCCTTACCAATTGCTTGAGAGATCGCAGTGGGTTTGTGGGGAAAACGTTTTCAAGATGATGGATCTTTCCCAGCTTCTGCAACTGTCAGCGGTCTCCCAATCTCACCAGCCCCACTTTGTCTTTAGGAATTTATTGATTATTCCAGCTTTACTTGTCATAGTGTTCTCTATTTGCATCTGTCCAATGTAAGTTCATCTGACCTTTATCTCCTTGCAGGTGCAAGTACTCAGGAGTGCACTGTTGTTACTAATTCCTCAGTATTGGTTGGTACATTGTCAAAGATCAAAAAAATTTTTAAAGATAAAAAAATTCTTGGAGGTTGTGTAATGAAGGGTTAATTCTGCAGTCATGGCTTTCCAAAACCTGGTGCATTCCAAAGGTCTTCAGGACTGGCCCTTGACAAGCTCCTGGGTGATAATAACCTATGAGCTCTTGGTATATGCTGCCTGATGAGAGTCTTTGTATACCTGAAAACGTAGGTCATATCAAATAGCTGATGTTAACAACATGATTTCTTGTGAGCACCTGTTTCTCTATGCCTATGATTTTGTGTAATGCCATATTAATATGACCTCTCTTAGGGCATAAGGAGGTTGGGAACTAAGTAGCTAAGTTCAGTCACAGGACGCTCGATGCATATGTGGTGGAATCCTAATAAAAACCCTGGACTCAAGACTGATTGAGCTTCCCTAGTTGGCAACAAGTTCACACATGTTGTCTCACACCATTGTAAAGAAAATTAGGCAGTGTGAAGTCCCCACTATGAAAGGACACCTGTAAGCTCACATCTGGTTTGTCCTGGACTCAACTTTATGTGCTTTTATGCTTCTGATTATTTTAATCTGGTTTCTTTCACTGTTAGAAACTATAACCACAGAAAAAATCAGCTTTCTTGAGTTATGTGAATCATTAAACTAAAGAGGGACTTGGGGACCCCCAATAGAAAGTATATATGTTCTTAAAAAGAAAAAGAAAACTGGCTATAGCAGATATTGCTGATGACTTGTCTTCTATGTCCTGGTCTCAATGTGTTCACCTGGAATTCACCTGTTTCCAGCTAACTTAGAGCTCCCCACATCATGCCTGTCTTTCTGATTTTTGGGCCTGCCTGCAAGCTTCTTGAGGGTAACCAGTGCTTCTCAACCACACATAGGAACAAAGAAGGAGTTGGGGTGGAGAGTTAATGATTCTAAGGAATCCTTAAGCAATAAGAGATGGGGATTCCAGCATCCTCATCTCTTTGTAAAGTTTTTTTGAGACAATATCCATACCTCCATCATTACTGAGCACATAGCAGTAACTATTCATTCACACTGGCTTCGTGTTCTGTTTCATTTTCTCCACTTCTGTGCTTTCTCACTCAATTTCTGATTAAAGTATCTGACCCCAGATATTTGTTTCATAGTCTATTTTTGAGGGAATCCAGAGCCAAGACAATAACAATGGGAGCTTTGCAATGAGGGAGGGTGAGTATAATCATCAGAAGGTTACCTACCTCACTGGGAACATGAAGGCCTGGAGAGCTTGCCTTTTCAATGAGAGAAACATGTTGAATCTCAGTTGAATACGTATATATATGTATATATATATATATACATATATATATACATATATACACATATATATACATATATATGTATGTATATATATATATGTGTGTGTGTGTGTGTAATAAGACGTGCCCTTTACTTATATCAAAGGAAAGTGCTCTTTACCTCTCTGTTGTTGTGTTTTTATCACTATTGCCTACACAAGCAGAATATCATAACCAGGATTTAAAGCTCTCTCTGCAGGATTTTCAAGCTCATGTTTTTATGATAAGTCACTCTGCTTCCATGGGTTTTAAATATAATCCTCATTCCTCTGCTTTTACTCTAGAGAATTCATCACTGACTTATTTTTGACTGATCTTCTTATAGAGCTGTCAGGTACACAATTTCTGCTGTGACCTTTCTCTTAGAGTTCAGTCATATAGCCTCTCACTAGACATCATTTCCTCTTATCTTTCCTAATAATGAATTGTCAGTTAAAACTCAATATTTTTAAGATTGAACTTACCATCTGCACACACACACACACCATTATTGGTGTATTCTCATAGCCTTGAAACACTAATGTCACGTTCATGTCTACCTTTTCTTTCTCTGCTACCTCATTCCTCATCCTTAGATTATTCTAAAATATTCAATTAGATCAAGTTGGCTAATTATATTTATAAGATGCTTTCTACCCTTACCAACTTTTCGTTTAACAAAATTTAAAAATTTCTGGCAGGAGACTGTTGAAAGCCCTATGGATGACTGTGGCTTTACTATTTTACCTTTCAGTTTTAATAGGTTTTATATTATGTATTTTGAAGTAATGCTATTGTGTGCATACATATTTCTTTTTTTTCTTTTTTCTTTTTTTTATTATACTTTAAGTTTTACAGTACATGTGCACATTGTGCAAGTTAGTTACATATGTATACATGTGCCATGCTGGTGCGCTGCACCCACTAACTCGTCATCTAGCATTAGGTATATCTCCCGATGCTATCCCTTCCCCCCTCCCACCATCCCACAACGGTCCCCAGAGTGTGATATTCCCCTTCCTGTGTCCATGTGATCTCATTGTTCAGTTCCCATCTATGAGTGAGAATATGTGGTGCTTGGTTTTTTGTTCTTGTGATAGTTTACTGAGAATGACGATTTCCAATTTCATCCATGTCCCTACAAAGGATATGAACTCATCATTTTTTTTGGCTGCATAGTATTCCATGGTGTATATGTGCCACATTTTCTTAATCCAGTCTATCATATTTCTTATTTACATGACTTGGTGTATTTTCCCCTTTGTGATTTAGAAATGTTATTCTTCATCCCCAGTGATATTTCCTGTTCTGATGTCTACTTTGCTCATCACAGTTTTAGTGGGTTTTGGTTTGTTTGTTTTTCTATTTTTTGGTTCAAGTAAGTTTCTTATAAATCTGTTTGATTCCATTTGATGATTCCATTTGATTCCATTCGAGGATTCCCCTCAATTCCATTATATGATGATTCCATTCGTGTCGATTCAATGATTCCATTCGAGTTCATTTGATGATTCTATTTGATGATGATTCCATTAGAGTCCATTCGATGTTTCAATTCGATTCCATTCGATTACATTCGATGATGATTCCATTAAAGTCCATTCGAGAATTCCATTCGATTCCATACGATGATGTTTCCATTTGAGTCCACTCAATGATTCCACTCGAGTCCATTCAATGATTCCATCCGATTCCATTCAATGATGATACAATTCCAGTCCCTTCGTTTATTCCATTCGATTCAATTCTATGATGACAGCATTCGGTTCCATTCGATGATGATTCCAACGGATTCCATTCGATTTCTCCACTCGATTCCATTCCTTGCTGATTCCATTCATTTCCATTAGATGATGACACCACTAGATTCCATACGATGATGATTTCGTTAGATTCCATTCAATGATGATCCAATTCGATTCTATTCAATGATGATTCTGTTTGATTCCATTCAATAATTTCATTCGATTCCATTCGAAGATTCCATTCAATGGTGATTCCATTCGTTTCCAATCGATGATTCCATTCAATTCCATTCAATGCTGATTCCATTTAAGTCCATTCGATGATTCCATTCGATTCCATGTGATGATGATTCCATCAAGTCCATTCGATGATTCCATTTGATTCCATTAAATGATGACTACATTCGGTTCCTTTCGATGATGATTCTAACGGACTCCATTTGATGACTCCATTCGATTCCATTCAATGATGATTCCATTCGATTCCATATGACGATGATTCCATTTGATTCCATTCGATGATGATTCCATTCAATTCCATTCGAAGATGATTCCATTGGATTCCACTCGATGATTCCATTTGATCACATTCGATGATGATTCCTTTCGTGTCCATTCGATGATTCCATTCTATTCCAATCGACGATGATTCCATTCGATTATTCCATTCAACTCCATTTGATGTTTTCTTTCGATTCCAGTCAATGTTGATTCCATTTGAGTCCATTCGCTGATTCCATTCGAGTGCATTCCATGATTTCATTTGATTCCATTCAATGATGATTCCATTTGATTCCATTTGATGATTCCATTTGATTTCATTCAATGATGATTACATTAGATTCCATTCGATGATTCCATTCGAGTCCATTCAATGAATCCATTTGAGTCAATTAAAGCATTCCATTTGATTCCATTCGATGATGACTCCATTCGAGTCCATTCAATGATGATTCCATTTGATTCCATTCGATGATTCTGTTGGATTCCATTCTTTGTTTTATTTTGATTCATTTTGATGATGATTCCATTCAGTTTCATTCAATGAGTCAATTTGATTCTATTCGATGATGTTTCCATTCTATTCCATTTGAAGAAAATTCCATTCAATTCCATTGATGATGATTCCATTCTATTCTATTGAATGCCGATTCTATTCGGTTCCATTCGATGATGATTCCATTCGATTCCATTCGATGATTAAATTCGATTCCATTCGATGATGATTCCAATCAAGACCATTCGATGATTCCATTCAATTCCATTCAAAAATTATTCCATTCGAGTCCATTCGATGATTCCATTCAAGACCATTCAATGATTCTATCTGATTCCATTCAATGAATCCATTATATTCCATTCTATGATGATTCCATTCGATTCCATTGGATGATTATTCCATTCGTGTCCAATCGATGATTCCATTTGATTCCATTCGATGATGATTCCATTCGACTCCATTCGATGACTCCATTCGATTCCATTCCATGTTGATTCCATTCAACTCCATTCAATGATTCCACTCGATTCCATTTGATGAGGATTCCATTAGAGTCCATTTGGTAATTCTATTCGATTCCATTCGATGATGATTCCACTCTTGTCCATTCAAAGACTCCATTTGAGTACATTCAATTATTCCATTTGATTCCATGTGATGATGATTCCATTCTATGACATTTGATGAATCCATTCAATTCCATTCAATGATGACTCCATTCATGTCCATTTGATGATTCCATTCGATCCCATTTGATGATGATTCCATTGGAGTCCATTCAATGATTCCATTCGATTCCATTCGATGATGATTTCATTCGAATCCATTCAATGATTCCACTCGATTCCATTCGATGACTCCCTTCAGTCCCAATCGATGATTCCCTTTGATTCCCTTTGATGATCATTCCTTTCGATTCAATTTGGTGATTCCATTCGATTCTATTCGATTATGATTCCATTCGATTCCATTCAGTGATGATTCCATTCGATTCCACTGGATGATGATTTCTTTCATTTCGATTTAATGACGATTCCATTCAAGTCCATTCGATGATTACATTCGATTCCATTTTATGATGATTCCACTCAAGCCCATCCGATTATTCCATTATTGTCCATTCGTTGATTCCATTGGATTCCATTCAATGATGATTCCATTTGATGCCACTTGATGATTCCATTCGATTCCATTAAATCATGATTCAATTCGTGTTCATTCAATGATTCCATTGGATTCCATTTAATGATGATTTCACTCGGGTCCTTTCAATGATTCCATTCAATTCCATTCAATGATTATTCCATCCAAATCCATTCCATGATTCCATTCAATTCCCTTCAATGATCCCATTTCATGCCATTCTATGATTCCCTTCGATTCCATTCCATGATCATTCCATTGGATTTAATTCGGTGATACCATTCTATTACATTCGATGATGATTCCATTTGATTCCATTCGATGATGATTCCATTTGATTCCATTCGTTCATGAGTCCATTCGATTCCATTTGATGACTTCTCCGTTCATTTCCAATTGGTGATGATTCCATTCGGTTCCATTCGTTGATGATTCCATTAGGTTCCATTCAATGATTCCTTTCGACTCCATTCGATCATGATTCCATTCGAGTCCATTCGAAGATTCCATTCAATTCCATTCGATGATGATTCTTTTCGAGTCCATTCGATGATTCCATTCCATTCCATTTGATGATGATTCTATTCGATTCCATTTGGTCATGATTCCATTCGTTTCTATTTGATGATTATTCCATTTGATTTCATTCGATGATTCTATTTTTTTCCATTCAAAGATGATTCTATTCTATTCCATTTGATGATTCCATTCGATTGCATTCTATATTGATTCTATTTGATTCCACTTGTTGATGATTCCATTCGATACCGTACGATAATGATTCCATTCGTGTCCATTCAATGATGATTCCATTTGATTCCGTTCGACGATGATTCCATCTGAGCCCATTCGATAATTCAATGCGATTTCAATCAATGATGAATACATTAGATTCTATTCGATCATTCCATTCGATTCCATTTGATCATGATTCCATTCGAGTCCATTCAATGATTCCATTCACTTCTATTCGATCATGATTCCATTTGAGTAATTTGATGATACCATTTGATTTCATTCGATAATGATTCCATTCGATTCCATTTGACGATACCATTCGATACCATACCTTGATGATTCCATTCGTGTGCATTCAATTATACCATTTGATTCCATTTGATGATGATTCCATTCAATGATTCCATTTGTTTCCATTCGATGATGATTCCATTTGTGTCCATTCGATGATTCCATGCAAATCCATTTGATGATTGTTTTCAATTATATTCAATGATGATTCCATTCGAGTACATTTGATGATACCATTTGATTCCATTTGATGATGATTCCATTCGGGTTCATTAGATGATTCCATTCGATGACGATTCCATTCGTGTTCATTCGATGATTCCATTCCATTCCATTCTCCATTGATTACGTTCAAGTTCAGTCTATGATTCCACTCAATTCCATATGATGATGATTCCATTTGATTCCATTCGATGATGACTACATTCTATTCAATTCAATGATGATTTCATTCAGATCCATTTGATGATTCCGTTGGATTCCATTCAATGATGATTCCCTTCTATTCCATTCAATGATGTTTCCATTTGGGTCCATTAGATTATTCCATTTGATTCCATTCAATGATGATTCCATTCTATTCTATTCGATGATGATTCCATTCGTGTCCATTAGAAGATTCCTTTTGATTCCATTCGATGATGATTCCATTCGCGTCCATTTGATGATTCCATTATACTCCATTCAATGATGATTCTATGGTTGTCCATTTGATGTTTCTGAGTCCATTCAATGATTGCCTTCAATGACATTTGATAATGATTCCATTTGATTCCATTTGATGATGATTCCATTCGTTGCTATTCTGTGATTCCATTCGATTCAATTTGATGTTGATTCCATTCGATTTCATTCGCTGATTCTATTCGATTCCATTCCATGATGATTCCATTCTATTCCTTTCGAAGATTCCATTTAATTACCTTTGATGATGATTCCATTTGATTCCTTTCTATGATTCCATTTGATTCTATTCGATGATGATTCCATTCGAGTCCATTCCATAATTCCTTCTCATTCTATTTGATGATGATTCCATTTGAGTGCATTCAGTGGTGATTAAATTCAATTCCATTCGATTCCATTCAATGATGATTGCATTCAATTCCATTAGATGATTCCGTTCGATTCCATTCAAAGATGATTCCATTCGATAATTCCATTTGATTCCATCTGATTCCAATGGAATTGATTTGATGATCATTCCATTCGAGTCCATTCAATGATGCCATTCAATTCCATTCAATGATTCCAATCGATTCCATTCAATGATGATTCCATTCAAATCCATCCAATGACTATATTCAATTCCATTCTATAATGATTCCATTCGATTCCATATGATGATTCAATTCGAGGTCTTTTGTTGATTCCATTCGATTCCATTCAATGATGATTCTGTTCGAGTCCATTTGACACTTCCCTATGAGTTCATTTGATGATTCCATTCAAGTCCAACTGCTGACTCCATTCAATTCCATTCTATAACGATTCCGTATGATTCCATTCGATGATGATTCCTTGTGATTCCATTGGAAAGATGATTCCTTTCGATTCCATTACATTATGACTCATTTCCAGGTTATTCGATGATTCCACATGATTACAATCGGTGATGATTCCAAACGAGTCCATTGGATGATTCCATTCGATTCCATTCGATGATGATTCCATTTGATTCCATTCACTGGCTATTCCATTCAATTCCATTAAATGATTCCATTCCATTCCATTCGACAATGATTCCATTTGATTCCATTCGATCATATTTGCATTCAATTCCGTTTGATGATTCAATTTGATTCCATTCGATGATGATACGGATCAATTCCATTAGATTGTTCCATTCAATTCCACTCGATAATAATTCCATTCGAGTCCATTCGGTGATCCATTCGAGCCCATTCGATAATTCCATTGGAGTCCAATCGATGATTCCATTTGTTTCCATTCAAGGATTCCATTAGAGTCCATTCGATCATTCCATTAGAGTCCGTTCAATGATGATTCCATTCGAGTCCATTCGATGATTCCATTCATGTCCATTCGAAAATTCCATTTGAATCCAATCGATGATTGCTTTCAATTCCATTCGATGATGATTCCATTAGAGTCCATTCGATGATTCCATTCTATTCCATTCGATGATGATTCCATTCATGTCCATTCAGTGATTCCACTCAATTTCATTCGATGATGATTCCTTCAGAGTCCATTCGATGATTACATTCGATTCCATTCGATGATGATTCCATTCACGTGCATTCAATGATTCTCTTTGATTCCATTCAATGATGATTCCATTCGAGTCCATTCAGTGATTCCATTTGATTCTATTCGATGATGATTCCTTTCCAGTCCATTCATCGATTACATTTGATTCCATTCGATGACAATTCCATTCGAGTCCATTCGATGATTCCATTTGATTCCATTCAATGAGGATTCCATTCGGGCTATTCGATGATTCTATTCAAATCCATTTGATGATTGCTTTCGGTTATATTCAATGATGATTCCATTCGAGTGCATTCAATGAATCCATTCGATTCCATTTGATGATGATTCCATTCGGGTCCATTTAGGTGATTCCATTCGATTCCACTCCATGAGGATTCCATTCGAGTTCATTCCATGATTCTATTTGATTCCATTCTGCGATGATTACTTTCAAGTCCATTCGATGATTCCACTTGATTCCATATGATGATGATTCCATTCGAATCAATTCGATGATTCCATTCTATTCCATTGGATGATGATTCCATTCGAGTACATTACATGATTCCATTCGATTCCATTCGATGATTATTCTTTTCGTGTCCCTTAGAAGATTCCATTCAATTCCATTCAATGATGATTGCATTCTATTCAATCCGATAATGATTCCATTCACGTCCATTAGATGATTCCTTTCAATTCCATTCGATGGTGATTCCATTCTATTCCATTCAATGATGATTCCATTTGTGTCCATTCGATGATTCCGATCTACTCCATTCGTTGATGATTCCATTCAACTCCATTTGATGATTGTATTGGAGTCCATTCAATGATTGCTTTCGATTCCATTCAATGATGACTCCATTAGATTCCATTCGATGATGATTCCATTTGATAACATTCTTTGATTCCATTTGATTCCATTCGATGTTGATTCCATTCAATGGTTCTATTCAATTCCATTCAATGATGATTCCATTTGATCCCATTCGATGATAATTCCTTTTGATAACATTCAATGATTCCATTTGATTCCATTTGATGTTGATTCCATTCGATTACATTCGATGCTTCTATTCTATTCCATTTGATGATTTTTCCATTCAATTCCATTTGATGATTCCATTTGATTATATTTCACGATGATTCCATACGATTCCATTCGATGATGATTCCATTCCAGTCCATTTGATGATTCCTTCCGACTTTATTCAATTATGATTCCACCCCATTCCATTCGATGTTTCCTTCTGATTTTATTCAATTATGATTCCATTCGATTCCATTCAATGGTGATTCCATTCGATTCCATTTGATGATTCTATTGGATGCCATTCGATGATGATTGTATTCATTTCCATTCGGTGATTCCATTTGAAGATAATTCCATTCGATTCCATCCGATAATTCCATTCAATTCCATTCGATGATTCCAATGGATTCCATTTTATGATGATTCCTTTCGAATCCATTTGATGATTCCATTCGATTCCATTCGATGATGATTCCATGCGAGTCCATTCAATGGTGATTCCATTGGTTTCCATTTGATGATTCTATTCGATTCCATTCGATGATGATTGCATTCAATTCCATTCGATGATTCCATTCAATTTCATTCAAAGATGATTCCATTCAATTCCATCCGATAATTCCATTCCATTCCATTGGATGATTCCAGTGGATTCCATTTGATGATGATTCCATTTGAGTCCATTCAATGATTCCATTGAATTCCATTCAATGATGATTCCATTTGAGTGCATTCGATGATTCCAATCGATTCCATTCGATGATGATTCCATTCAAGTTCATCCAAAGAATCTATTCGATTCCATTCTATAATGATTCCGTTTGAGTCCATTTTATGATTTGATTCAATTCTTTTTGATGATTCCATTCGATTCCATTCGATGATGATTCCTTTCAATTCCCTTCATTGATTACATTAGATTACATTTGATGAAGTTTCAATTTGACTCCCTTCGATGATGATTCCATTCAATTTCATTTGATGGTTCCATTTGATTCCATTCAATGATGATTCCATTCAATTCCATTCAAAGATTCCGTTCAATGATGATTCCATTCGATGATTCCATTCGATTCCATTTGATGATTAGCCATTCGATTCAATTCCATGATGATTCCGTTTGATTCCATTCGATGATGATTCCTTTTGATTCCATTAGACGATGATTCCATTCGACTCCATTTGATGATGACTCCATTTGAGTCCGTTCGATGATGATTCCATTCAGTTTCATTTGATGCTTCTATTTGATTCTATTCATTGATGATTCCATCTTATTCCCTTCGATGATTCCATCTTATTCCCTTCAATGATTCCATTCGATTCCATTCAGTGACGATTCCATTCTATTCCATCTGATGATGATTTCATTTGATTCCATTCGAAGATGATTCCATTTGAGTCCTTTCGATGATTCTATTCGATTCCGCTCGATGGTGATTCTAGTTGAGTCCGTTCAATGATTCCATTCGAGTCCATTCAATTGTTCCTTTCAATTCTATTTGATGATGATTCCATTGGATTCCATTCGATGATGATTCCATTCGAGTCCATTCAATGATTCTATTCGATTCCGCTCAATGATGATTCTATTTGAGTCCATTCGATGATTCCATTTGAGTCCATTCAATTATTCCTTTCAATTCCATTTGATGACGATTCCATTTGATTCCATTCTATGATTCCATTCCATTCCGTTCGACGATGATTCCATTTGTGTCCATGTGATGATTCCATTCGATTATATTTGATGATGATTTCGTTCGAGGCCATTCGATGATTTCATTCGATTCCACTCGATGATGATTCCTTTCGAGTCCATTGGATGATTCCATTCGATTCCATTTAATGATGATTTAATTTGAGGCCATTCGACGTTTGCATTCGAGTCCATTCAGTGATTCCCTGTGATTACAATCAATGAGGACTCCATTCGAGTCCATTTGATGATTCCATTAGGCTCCATTCGATGATGAGTCCATTCGAGTCCATTCAAAGATTCCTTTTGAGTCTGTTCGATGATTCCATTTGATTCCACTTGATGATGATTCCTTTCGAGTCAATTCGATGATTCCTTTCAAGTGCCTTCAATGAATCCATTCAATTCCATTCGATGATGATTCCATTTGAATCCATTCAGTGATTCCATTCTGTTGCATTCGATGAATCCATTCGGTTTCATTCGATGATGATTCCATGCCATTGCATTCGAAGATTCCATTTGATGATGATTTCATTCGATTCCATCTGATGATTCCTTTCGATTCCATTTGATGATGAGCCATTTGATTCTATTCCATGATGATTCCATTTGATTCAATTCGATGGTGTTTCCATTCGATTCCATTTGATGATGATTCCTTTTCATTCCTTTAGACGATGCTTCCATTCGGCTCCATTTGATGATGTTTCCATTCGAGTCCATTCGATGATGATTCCATTCGATTTCATTCGATGCTTCTATTTGATTCCATTTGATGATGATTCCATCTCATTCCCTTCAATGATTCCATTCGATTCCATTCAGTGATGATTCCATTCTATTCCATCTGATGATGATTTCATTTGATTCCATTCAATGATGATTCCATTTGAGTCCATTTGATGATTCTATTCGATTCCACTCGATGATGATTCTATTTGAGTCCATTTGATGATTCTATTCGAGTCCATTCAATTATTCCTTTCAATTCCATTTGATGATGATTCCATTCGATTCCATTCGATGATTTCATTCCATTCCATTCGATGATGATTCCATTCGAGTTCATGTGATGATTCCATTCGATTCTGTTCAATGATGATTTCATTCGAGGTCATTCGATGAATGCATTTGAGTCCATTCAAAGATTTCATTCGATTCCACTCGATGATGATTGCTATTGAGTCCGTTTGATGATTCCATTCGAGTCCATTCGATAATTCCATTCGATTCCATTTAATGATGATTCAATTTGAGGCCACTTGATGTTTCCATTCGAGTCCATTCAGTGATTCCCTGTGATTACAATCGAAGAGGACTCCATTCGAGTCCACTTGATGATTCCATTAGGTTCCATTCGATGTTGATTCCATTCGAGTTGATTCAAAGATTCCTTTCGAGTCCGTTCAATGATTCCATTCGATTCCACTTGAAGATCATTCCTTTCGAGTCCATTCGATGATTCCTTTCGAGTGCCTTCAATTATTCCATTCAATTCCATTCGATGATGTTTCCACTCAAATCCATTCAGTGATTCCATTCTGTTGCATTCGATGATTTCATTCGGTGTCACTCGATGATGATTCCATTCGAGTCCATTTGATGATTCCATTCGATTCCATTCGAGGATGATTCCATTCGAGTCCATTCGATGTTTCCATTCGATTCCATTCCATGGTGATTCCATTAGATTCAATTTCAAGATGATTCCATTCTATTCCTTTTGATGATGATTCCATTCTTGTTCATTCAATGATTCCTTTTGATTCCATTCGATGGTGATTCCATTCGATTCCATTCAATGATTCCATTTGATTCCATTTGATGATGATTCCATTCGAGTCCATTCAATGATTCCATTCAGGTACATTCGATGATTCCACTGGATTCCATTTGATGATTTTTCCATTGGAGTCCATTCGGTGATTCCTTTAGATTTAACTTGCAGATGATTTCTTTCAATTCCATTCCATGATACCATTCGATTCAATTCGTTGATGATTCCATTTGATTCCATTTGATGATTCAATTCGATTCCATTTGATGATGATTCTATTTGATTCCTTTTGATGATTCCTTATGATTCAATTCGACGATGTTTCCACTCGTGTCCATTTGATGATTCCATTCTTTTCCATTCAATGATGATTCTATTCAAGTATATTCGATGATTCCATTCGAATCCATTCAATGATGATTCCATTCAAGTATATGCGATGATTCCATTCGAATCCATTCAATGATGATTCCATTCGAGTCCATTCGATGATACCATTTGATCACATTCATTGATGATTACATTTGATTCCATTCTATGATTCCATTGGATTCCATTCAATGATTCCATTCGAGTACATTCGATGATTCCACTCGATTCCATTCGATGATTCAATTTGATTTCATGTGATGATGATTCCGATCAGTTCCTTTTGATGATTCCATTCAATTTCATCCGATAATGATTCCATTCGTGTCTATTCGATGTCTCCATTCGAGCCCATTCGATAATTCCACTTGAGTTCAATTGAAGATTCCATTCATTTTGATTCAATGATTCCATTAGAGTCCATTCGATCATTCCGTTAGAGTCCGTTCGATGATGATTCCATTCGAGTCCATTCGATGATTCCATTTGAGTCCGTTTGATAATTCCTTTAGAATTCATTCGATTATTGCTTTCAATTCTATTCCACAATGATTCCATTTGAGTGAATTCGATGATGCCATTTGATTCCATTCAGTGATGATTCCAATCGTGTCCATTCGGTGACTCCACTCAATTTCATTTGGTGATGATTCCTTTCTATTCCATTCAATGATTCCATTCGATTCCATTTGATGATGATTCCTTTGGAGTGCATTCAATGATTCCCTTTGATTCCATTCGATGATGATTCCATTCGACTCCATTCAGTGATTCCACTTGATTCCATTCAATGATGATTCCATTCGAGTCCATTTTACGATTACTTTCGATTCCATTCAATGAAGATTCCACTTGAGTCCATTCGAAGATTCCATTCGAGTCCCTTCATTGATTCCATCAGATTCCATTCGATGATTTCATTCGAGTCCATTCATTGATTCCATTCGATTCCATTCCATGATTCCACTGGAATCCATTCAATTATTCCATTCGAGTCTATTTGATGATTCCATTCGATTCCATTCGATGATAGTTCAATTCAAGTCCACTCGATGATGATTTCATTTGATTCCATTTGATGATTCCCTTCAATTCCTTTCATTGATTATTCCATTCCATTCCATTCGATGATTCCATTCGATTCTATTCCATGATGATTCCTTTTGGTTCCATTCTATGATGATTCCATTCGATTCCATTCGATGATGTTTCCATTGGATTCCACTTGATGACGACTGCGTTCGGTACCATTCGATGATTATTCCAAAGGATTCCATTCGATTTCTCCATTTGACTCCTTTCGTTGATGATTCCATTAGATTCCATTAGATGATGATGCCATTAGATTCCATTCGATGATGATTCCATTCGATTCCATTTGATGATGATTCCATTCGATTCCATTCAATGATTCCATTCGATTCAATTCGATGATGATTCCATTGGATTCTATTCAATGATTCCATTTGATTCCATTCAAAGATGATTCCATTCGTGTCCATTTGAAGATTCCATTTGATTCCATCTGATGATGATTCCATTCGTGTCCATCCAATGATTCCTTTGAAGTCCATTAGATGACTCCCTTAAATTCCATTCGATGATGATTCCATTCAAGTCCATTCGATGATTCCATTCGATTCCATTTGATGATGATTCCACTCAAGTCCATTCGATGATTCCATTTGATTTCATTTGAAGATGATTCCATTCGATTGCATTTGATGATTCCATTATATTCCATTCGATGATTATTCCATTTGAGTCCATTTGATGATTCCATTCGAGTCCATTTAATGATTCCATTGGGTTCAATTCAATGATGATTAAATTGGATTCCATTTGATTTCTCCATTCGATTCCATTCAATGATGATTTTGTTCTATTCCATTCGATGATGATTCATTTCTATTACATTGGATGATTCTAAAAGATTCCTTTTGATGATGATACATTTCTATTACATTGGATGGTTCTATTTAATTCCATTCGATGATGATTCCACTCTACTCTATTTGATGATTCCTTTTGATTCCATTCAATTTTTCCCTTAGATTCCATTCATTGATGATTCCATTTGATGCCATTTGGTGATTCCATTCGATTTCATTTGATGATGATTCCATTCGAGTCCACTCAGTGATTCCATTCGATTCCATTCAATGATGATTCCATTCGATTCCATTCGATGATGATTCCATTCGATTCCATCTGATGATCATTCCATTTGATTTCATTCGATGATTCTATTCGATTCCATTCTATGATGATTCAATTCTACTCCATTGGATGACTCCATTCCATTCCATTTGATGATGATTCCATTCGATTCCATTCAATGATGAGTTCATTTGACTGCGTTCAATGATGATTTCAATCGAGTCCATTCGAAGATTCCATTCGATTCCATTCGGTGATGATTCCATTCGAGTCCATTTGATGATTCCATTCCATTCCATTCGATGATGATTCCATTCGATTCCAGTCTATGATTCCTTTCGATTCCATTTGATGATGATTCCATTCGCGTCCATTCGATGATTCCATTAAATTGCATTTTTTGATGATTCCACTCGAGTCCATTAGATGATTCCATTCAATTCCATTCGAAGATGATTCCATAAGTGTCCATTCGATGATTCCATTCGATTCCATTCATTGATGATTCCACTTGTGTCCATTCGATGATTCCATTCAGTTCCGTTCAATTATTCCCTAAGAGTCCATTCAATGATGATTCATTTCAATGACAACTGATTTTTCCATCTGATTCCATAGCATGATGTTTCCATTCGAGTCCATTCAATGATATCATTCGATTCCATTCAATGATGATTTCATTCGTGTCCATTCGATGTTTCCATTCGATTCCATTTGATGATGATTCCATTCAAATCCATTCGGTGATTCCATTCGATTCCATTCGATGATGATTCCATTCGAATCCCTTTGATGATTCCATTCTATTCCATTCAACGATTTCATTCCATCCCATTCGATGTTGCCCTTCGATTCCATTCGATGATCATTCCATTCAATTCAGTGATCACCTTGGATTCCATTCGATGATACCATTTGATTCCACTCCATGTAGATTCCATTCGGTTCCATGTGCTGATGATTACATTAGATTCCATTCGAGGATTCCATGTGATTCCACTTGTTGAAGATTCCATTCGATTCCATTCAATGATGATTCCATTTGATTCCATTCGATGATGATTCCATTCGTTTCCATTCGATGATGATTCCATTAAATTTCATTCGATGATTCTATTTAATTCCGTTTGATGATGATTCCATTCTATTCCATTCGATGATGATTCCATTCAATTCCTTTCGATGATGATTCCATTCAATTCCATTAGATGTTTATTACATTTAATTTTATCCGATGATTCTATTTGATTCCATTCGATGATGATTCCATTCTGTTCCATGCAATGATTCCATTCTATTCCATTATATGATGATTCTATTCGATTCCATTTGATGATGATTCCTTTTGTTTCCATTCGATGATGATTCCATTCGTGTCCGTTTGATGATTCCACTCGATTCCATTCGATGATGATTCTACACAAGTCCGTTATATCACTCCATTTGATTCCATTGGATGATGATTCCATTCGATGCCATTCCATGATTCCATTCGATTTCATTTGATGATGATTCCATTCGATGATTCCATTCGATGATGATTCCAGTCAATACCATCCGATGATTCCGTTCGTGTCCATTTGATGTTTCCATTTCAAACCATTCGATGAGGATTTCATTCAATTCCATTCATTGGTGATTATATTCAATTCCATTAAATGATTCCATTCCATTCCATTCGTCAATGATTCCATTAGTTTCCATTTGATGATTCCACTTGATTCCATTTGACGATGATTCCATTCGATTCCCTTCATTGGTGATTACATTCAATTCCATTGAATAATTCCATTCCATTCCATAGGAACAATTAAACTATAATATTGTGAACATGTAAACATATACCTTATGTCTATTTTATGTATAAGTACATATGTTTAAAAATATCGTTAAGAATTTTTAAAACTAGTATTATAAAGTAAAAATTAGTTAACTTCTGATGATTATTTGTTAATTCAGATAAAATTATTTTGATTTGGGTGATTTCAAATAAAGAAAAATATTAAATTACATGATAAAAATTCTTTATAAAATGTTTATGACTTTTACATTGGTTATAACACTTTATTCCACTACTTTATTTTAAGGTGACCTGCCTTGCTTAAAACACTGTATTCATCTTAATTAAATTAAATTCCATTTGTAAAAAAATTAACAAGTGATTTGCTCTATTGTACAGTGAGTTTATAAACTGAGTCAGTATCTCATTATTTGATCCCCATTATTATCATCTGTGGCCCTATTTGTTTTATAAATGTATTGTCTTTTGCCATGCCTGTCACATCTCTACAGCTCTTTCATTTTTCTCTTTGTCCCTTATAGGGAGCATTGCCTATCTCCAGATTAAGCGAAAGTAGCATCTTAAAAAAGAACAATAACCTGCTCAATCTTTCTCACACAGAGAAATGTTTGTTAAGTAATTAAAGTGTAGGTGATGATACAAAGTGCTTGATTAAATTAGATGCCAAAGTACCCTTGTGATTCAGAATATGAACGGTATTTAATTTCTTTGAAATCATTAATTGCTGAGTGACATTAATTAATGCCAATATTCCAGAAGTTTTTCTAGTTAGTGAAATGCATACAACATGCAAAAGATTCAGAACTCTGAACGGCAACATTATTCTATAATTAAGAATTAAGGATTAATTCATATTAATTATTGGGGAGAAATAATTATTAAGAATTGACTGAGAAAATGTTTTTATTTTTTATTTAGAAAATTATTTTGTGCATGAGCATTACCACAAGTTGTGCAAGAAACATAAATTTAAAGAAACAATTATGTGCACAAGATGAATTTAATAAAATCTTGATATTTTCCACGATTACAGTATTGTTTGGTAAATTTTTAAATGCACATCATCTAAAGATAATAAATGAATCTTGGAAATATTGTAGGTAAGGTTAAATATTAGGATGCATCCAGTTACATTTACACACACATACAGTTACATTTACACACACATACATGCCTGCAGACTGATACACGTGTGTATACATATATATGAATTTACTAATTGATTTTAACTAATATTTATAAGAGCCAGTTGGATTGATAAATACTGTTGAAACTGAAAAATATTTATTATATACATGTTTAAAATACACACAGAAATAAATAGTAATTACAATAGGCATTTGAAACTGTACTAAAATATAAGCTGTGAATATTTTGTGATCATTACAAATTCTTACACTGAATAAATATTTTTATTTTTACAATATTAATATGTTTGTTATCTGTGTACATTTTTTACAATGTGTTATTTTATTTTTGTCATAGAGTCATGCCATGCATAATAACATTTCAGTCAAAGATGGATTACATATACAAAAGGGGTCCCATGAGATTATAATACATATTTTTACGTACTTTTCAACGTTTAAGTATGTTTAGATACATAAACTCTTACCATGGTGTTCTTATTGCCTTCAGTATTCAGTAGAGTAATGTAGTACACAGGTTTGTAGCCTGGGAGAGAGAGGCTATACCATATGACCTAGACGAGGTAGGCTGTACAATCTCGGTGTTTGTAATATTCTCTGTGATGTTTGCAAAATGATGAAATTGCCTATAGATACATCTGTTAGAACGTATCCCTATCATTCAGTGATGTGTGACTGTACTAAAATGCTCAAGTTAGGTTTCAATGCCCTCCATAAAATTGTTGTACTGTGAAATACAAATCTCTCACCCATGGCCTGAATATGTTTGCAAACTAAGCAGATCATGGGAAGGAGAATGTGCTGGCATCGCTGGGATGATTTTCTCACACTACATGAATAATATCTACAGACTTCGTGAATATGAGCCACTTGCATAGAGTTAAAGTAGGCATGCCTTTGCTGGGAAATTTATCAAATGGGGGTATGAATGGTTTTTAAAAGATACTTGTTTATTTGTAGCTGGTAGGCCTACAGTGGCTCATGACAATGGTTGAGGTTGCTAAGATTTGGTGGCAGAAGGCAAAATGAAATGGCCACTTATATGGTATATGGTATATGGATCACTTGTTTCTGTTGAGTTACAGACTCAGCTGGCTATTTCTCCCAATGTGAGTTATTTGGAGAAAAAAAAACGTGATGGTAATTTTCGGGTAACAAATACAATATTTGATGAAAGCAAATTTATTGAGGGTTAGACAAACTACAAGATGCTTTAGGCTGCAAAGTCAACACGAGACTTCTGGCCCAAATTGTGCAGAGTTTGCGTCCCGCTGCAAAGTTCAAAGGAAGAGGCCATATAAGACGATTCTCAATTCTGACACCAACTGCCAGTTTAGGGGTTTCACCTGAACACCCTCAGTTTCAAGAATTTACTAGGAAGACTCACAGAACTCATTGAATGCCATTGTACTCACAATTTATAATAGAGAAAGGGTACAAATTAGGACCAATTGAAAAGACATATCATATAAGGTGGAATCTAGGAGATTTTGAATGTTAAGTTGCCATTGTCTTCAGGACATATTACCTGTCATTGTTGTACAGCAATAATCATGGAGTATTACCAAACTGGGGAGATCGCCTGATGCTAAAAAGACACTATGTAGAAAATGAAAAGACAAACGAAAGGATGAGATAAGATGACCTTCCACATTAAGGCACTGGAAAGAATAGCAAACTAAACCTAAAGCAAGCAGAAGGAAGAAAATAATAATTAGAGTAATTAATAATTTATAATAATATTTGTTAGTGTTGAATAATTGATATTAATTATTGACTAGTTTTTTAAAATAAAGAAATGTTCACTTCCCAATTTATTCTGTGGGGCCAGTGTTACCTTGATGCAAAAATTAGTCCAAATAGCATAGAAAAGTAAAACTACTATAAGTATAAATGCAAAATTCCTTAAAAAATACAAACAAACCAGATCTAGCAACATATAAAAGAATTATACACTATAACAAAGTGAAATTTATACAAGTAATCCCAGGTTGGTTTAACAGCCCAAAATCCATTAAGGTAATACATCTTATCCATAGAATAAGAAACGAGAATTGCATGATCATCTCAATAGATTCGGAAAAGACATTTAACAAAATCCAAATGTTTTAATGATTAAAAATAAAAATAAAAACTCAATGAACCAGGAATAGAGAACTTTCTACACCAGATACACGGCTCCCGTGAAAAGCCAACAGCAAGCATGCAACTTAATGTTAAAGGATGCTTTCCTGCTATGGTCAGAGATAAGAATAGTATATGTACTTTGACCTCTTCTGGTCAACACTGTACTAAAGTTATTATGCAGGGAAAATCGGCAACTAGAAAAATAAGAGTCACCCATATTGAAAAGGAAGAAATAAAACTTTATTTGAAAATAACATTCTGGTATATAGAAAATTTTAAGGAATCCACTGAAGGATAGAACTAGTAAATTATTTCAGCAATATTACAGCATACAAGATAAATGTACAAAAATCAATTGCACACATCTACAATGAAAACCCCAAAATGAAATTAAGAAAACACTTCAATTTAAAATAGCATCAAAAAAAGACATAATAATTAGTTTGGAAATTGTGATACAAGACTTTACTCTGAAATTTAAAATTTATTGTTTAAAGATTATCTAAATAATCAGCAAACATCTTACAGCCATGAATTGGAAGATTTAATATTGTAGTACTTTACAATTTGAACTACAGTTTTGATGAAATCTCTGCAAGTATCCCAAAAGACTTCTGTCTAGAATCTGACAAGCTGATTCTAAAATACACATGGAATTGTAAGGAACTCATAACAGCCAAAATAATCTTGAAAAAAGAAAACATATTAGGATAATTCACACCCCCATGCTGCAAAACTTACTGCAGAGTATCAGTAATCAAGACAACATAATACTGATGAAGGAAAAATATATAGATTGATGGAAGAGAATTGAGAGTCCATATATAAAGCTATGTGTCTATAGTCAATGGATTCTTACAGTGGTGCCATGTGCAATTCAATGAGGAAGAGACAGTCTTTGAACAAACTGGGTCAACAACGTACACGTGGATGCCCACTTGCAAAATAATAAATTCGAACCCTTACCCCAAAGCATACAAAAATATTAACTCAAATGAATTAAAGACACACATGTAAGAGCTAGAATAAAGCATATGGGAAAATCTTCAGGATTTTGGATCTAGCAAAGAAATAGCTGTAACTCCAAAAACATGAGCAACAAAATAAAAATTAGATATTTAAAATTTCTTAAAAATTAAAGACATTGATGTTTCAAAGGACAACCAAGCAAGTCAAAAGGCAGCTCAAAAATTGTGAGAAGATATTTGAAAAACACGTATCTATAAGTCTGTATATATATGTATCTTAAGTATAGAAAAATCGTTTTAACTCAGTAACAAATATCCCAACTCAAAACTGATAAAGAATAGGAACAGATGTGTTTCCCAAGAAGATACACGAACGGTCAATAATCCCATAAAAAGATACTCAATAGCATCACTCATCAGGAAACTACAAATCAAAACCACAGTTAGATACTCTATGGCTAGAACTGACCACTTTGGAAAATAATTTGATCCTTCTAAATATATTAAGCATTGAATTGTCATATGACCCAGAAATTTATTCCTAGGTATACACACAGATTATTGGAAAGAGGTGTTCAAACACAAATTGTACACAAGTATTTTTAGCAGCAGTATTGAAAATAGCCAAAGGTTGAACACAACTCAAATGTCAATAAAAATATTATTGGATAAACAAAATGTTTTATCCATGAAATTGAATGTTACACAGTTATAAAAAGAAATAAAGTACCAATACTTACATGAAACTTGATAGCATTATGCCAACTGAAAGAAGCCAGGCAGAAAAGGCCACCTATTGTATGATTCTATTTAGATGAAAACAGAATAGGAAAATCTATAGAGACAGAAAACAGATTTGTGGTTGCTTAGGATTGAGCAGGGGATGGGTGCATAGGAGGTAAACAGCTAGAGAAGGTGTGGTTTCTTTTTGAAGTGGTGAAAGTGTTCTAAAATTCATTGTGATGATGGCTCCACTTATCTGTGCATATACTAAAAGCCACTGACTTGTAGACATTAATGTGTGCACTCTACACTATGTAAATTATATCTCAATAAATCCTTTCAAAAATACACAGAAGAGTAAGGGGTTTTGGAATGTTGCAGCTGGGAGGCAGTTTGAAATACTGAATAGGCCTCATCGAGAATGTGAAGTTTCAGTAAAGACTTGAGGAAGTTGAATGAGCTGATGAATGGATATATGGAGGGCTATCTTTCCAAGCCAAGAAATTAACTAGAGTCTTGGTCATATGGCAGCAGCCTGTTGGCATGTACAGAGGACAGTGAGGTGGCCAGGACAACTGGAAAGATCAGAGGTGAAGATATAAAAGAATTTTGGCGGTTAACATGTGGCAGATCATGATGGGCTTGCAGACCATTGTAAGAATTGTTGTTTTTAGTGTACATGAAATGGGGAGACAAATCATTATCCCATTATCAATATTTTAATAAATTGGATCCATGAACCAAATCCAATGAGATTAAATCAATTAATAATAATATGCAAATTTGTATTAAAATTACAAGAATTACTTGCACATTTGAGAACAGGAGAGTCATGATTATTTATCAGCAATAATAAACATTTTAAATTTTAATTGTGATCAGCTAATTGAGATTAATTGCAATAAAACATGCTTTATAATGTGACTGTCCAAAGGAAAATATTATTGTAATCTTATACTACATCTATCAATGTCTTTGATTCATAAGACTATAGAGTACGCCCCTTGTTTTCAAAGCCAACTTATGGGGCAGTGACATCTTACGGAAGTTGGCTGCTTTCTTCCACAGTGATCCTTGGTCAGCTGGCACAAATTGTTATACAAACGCCCCTAGGTCTAAAGATAGTTTGGATCACAATGAACACAGAAACACCTTCACCCCTTAAGAAATACCTATCAATTACTTCCAATACAGAATGAAAAATTGACAAAGGAAATATGTGGATTGTAAAAATGCCAGTTAGCTTCCATCTACATGAAAGAAAAATGCCATTTTTATTACATTAGATTATTGTTTTACATGAGTTTTGGCATAGAACAATGTTGAACCAAGGGCAAAGAGAGATGAATTAATGAAGTCTTAAGATATCAAGAATTTGAAAGAAAAGGCAGGTCATCTTTGAAGGTTAGTGACATAGCATTCATCTTCTGTTGTCACCTTTTCCGTCATTCCCTGTATGCCTGATGGACAGGTTTCACTCAAGTTCAGAGAACAGCATGCAAAATTAGCAACCAATTAATCTTTATGAAGTGAGCTGCATTTCTAGTCAGACTGAGCTTACGTTTTAGCAGGAAGCATTTTTGGGAAATGTTTATGTTAGAGTTTGCCGTTCTTGACAAGGTGAGACATAAATGTCTACTTTAGAGACATGAATTAAGATGGGAAGATATTTGGGGGAATCATTTACTCAAACGCAAAATAATAAAGGTACACAAAGGGCAAATTATACTAGATTTCTTTCCCACTTGTTTTCTATGTCTCATGCAATTCACCTTGATTCCCTTCAGTTTCTGTTTAATGTAGAAAGTGGCATTTTCATTACTTTAAGCTTCTAACACAATGAAAGAATTTCTCTTTTTCATGAACAGGATCATAAATGAAAGGGAGGAAGAGTGTCCTATATCATATTTATTGTTCAACAAAACACTGCTCCACAGCTTAAATTAAGTTTAAAAAAGAGAATTTATTGAACATTTAACACATACATAAAAGGCAGTAAAGACAAATGAGAAGAGGGCAGGATATTGAAGTATACAGACTTCAATGCTGAGTTTTATATCTTAGAAAGTTACTCCACCTTACAGAGGCTCAATTTCCCCTGATTTAGGAAGGCGATGCTAATGGGTATGGCATAGGTGTAAGTATAAAAATGTTGTATTTAAGAGAATCCCACAAGCTTGGTATAAGGCAGAAAATTAATAGATGTGAGATGAATAAGTAGTTTATTACATTTTTATGCTACCTGCGGACTAGAGGAAGCAAGAAACACAGCCACTATGCTTGATTAGCATTATAGAGATGGTACAATGATGGTTGCTAGAAGCTGGGGGGAGGAAGAAATGTGGAAGTATTGTTTAATGGGTATAGAGTTTCAGTTTTACGAGATGAAACGAATTATGGAGATGGATGGTAGGGACGGCCGCACAATGTTATGACTATATTTAGTACCACTGAACTGTAAACTTAAAATGGTTAACAGAGTACATTTTATGTTATGTGAATTTTACCACAATAAAAAAATTAAATACCTTAGGAACATTTTCATGAAAAAGCCCACATAAAATTCATTTTAATGCACGTGTTTATGCATAGCTTTCTATTTTTCTCTTTTCTCTTTATATTCCAAATTCTAATCAGAGAAGGGAATCCCCTCTGTACCTCCAGGATATTCAGTAAAGACCACTGGAGGTTCATGCCCTAGTGACAGTGCTCATTTAGCTCCAAATTACAGATGGCTCTAGAATAACTCTAAAAAGTTTAAAGAGAGGATTTAAAACAACAACAGACAAATACTCATCCTGAAGTTACTGAACTGTCTGCCACAACATTGTTCAAAGGTAGCCAATAAAATCTAGATATTCAATAGCATAATATCAAAATACCCCCAAAAAACTCTGACATGTAAAGAAGTCGTAAGATATATATAATTAAGCTATATATTAACAGGATAAAAATAAGTCATTTATAAATGACAGAAAAGAAGGAAATTTCAAGGTCCTTAAAGTAAATATATTTTATAAATACATATAGATAAATACATATATATGTCAAGGTACTGAAAAGAAAATTGAACATAGGAGAAAAATAGAAGTTATAAAATGAAAAATGTGACATGTCTAGATGAAAAATAAATATTTGAAATAAAAATTCCATGAGATAGAATAAGTAATGGAATTTACCCTAATATCAGAAAATTTATAGAAAAATGTAGAAGCTTTACAAACTAAAGAACAAAGGGTAAACTAAAATAAGAAAGCCAGAAACTCACTGATACTTCAGACAATATGCAGCAGTGTAACATACATGTAATTATTATCTCAAAAAGGATGAGTGGGGGAATTATAGGTGAATAAAGAATGGTACACTCATTCCTGAGGGCACCGAGGAGGGAGGATAGCTTTAGATTTCTAAAGGAGGTTATTATCCATTCATGAAGGTCTAACCCCATGAACAAACACCTCCCAGTAAGCCCCGCCTGCAACATTGGGGATCAAATTTTAACATGAGATTGGGAGGGGAAAGCATTCAAACCATAGCAAGAGTTAAATTTTCTTTTTAAAAAAATCACTGATATGATTCCATTTCACCATAGGTAAAAGCTAGTATTTCAGCCTACCATCGAGTGTGCTTATAGCTCACCAAAAGGGCACTCTGTCTCGGGAATACAGATTTGCCTAGAGGTATCCTAGTGCATTCAAAGAAAGAGCAATGAGGGATAGAAAAGGTTAATGATGGAGACACCAGCGCTTCATTTTGCAACCAACAATGTAAAAATTTTACGGATTGGTTCTGCTAACTTACTACAGTTTACATTCCTGTCAGGTGGGAGAATTGTTGCGTTTTATCTCAAGATAGAAAAGCAATTCATATAATCTGAAATCTCCACAAGAAGGGTAAGAAGCACAGCAGAAAGTATTCTAGGCAGGAAGTCAATCTTTTCAACTGTCTGTGCTCCATAGAAACAATTGTCTGCACTGCGAGTCATATGAAGTACAGACAACAGCCAGACCTCTGATCCTCTCATTAGTGATTTCAGAAGAAATTACCAGTCAACTGAGTAATTCACTGAGTAAAGTAAACATTTGGCACTGAAAGAGGTTAGACGGATAACTATTTGTATCACCATATTCACGAAGCTGGAATATTTTCCATTACTGGTATCACATCCGAATGGAAGATGTTAAAAGGTCTCTCATCTTGTAAGATGGATATGAAAGAACATTTTCTGAGAAATGAAATTATTAAAACACCTGCGAGGTGGATGGAAGAGAAAAAAAAGAATAATCAGCTTGAGTTCTTCTCCTTGATAAGACAACTCACTAAAAACTTAAAGAGAAAAATACAAGTTTAAAATAATTAACCAGAAGAAGACGACTCTAGAGTTTTTAAATTGCTGATAAGATTTTAATTTGCTCCAAGTTGAAAATAATTATATTGCTTGTGTTTTAAGGCACATAATGAGCAATTATATCACACATGATAGTTTCAGCAGTAAAATATGATCCATTAACAGCTGGAACTCATAAAAGCATAGCACAATGTGAAGATGGAATTTGCTAAAATAAACCATCAGCTGAAAACTACTATTCTGCAAATTTAAAAATAAAGTTTAAATGTTATTTGTCTTATTTAATAGGTCTGTGAAAAAAATGACCTCTTATAAAAGTAGCTGCTACCTTAATTAATTCTTTATATCAGACGGCTGGTGACAGTAATGCACAGTAAGGTGCTAAATAGATATACTGCTAAGTTTTCTGCATATACTACGTATTTGGCTTAAATTATTTGAAATTTTATAGTTAAAATAACAAATGTATATTTAAATGTTTTGACACAAATAGCAAATATACCTTAATAAAGTGTCTTACACTCTAAATATTATTTGTCACCTATATATTTGTCTTTTCTCTATAGGAAAGTTTAAATTTTTCCCTTGAAGCTTTAATTATTTGAGTCTATATACCAAACTGATAATGTACAAATTAACAGGAAAGAAAGGTTTACAGATATGTGCACAAGTATGCACTTGCAGTTTACATATTATATATAAATATATCTATACAAATATTTGTATATTATAAAGAGATATACAAATATATACTATATATATAAAAACTTCAGGAAAGGCAAGGTAGTCAGCACGCCTATGCTGTCTTGAGGTTACAGAAAACACAGAGCTGTAGGTTGGTAAATCAGGCTTTGCGGAAGACAGGTGAGGACAAGGAAGAAAGAGGAGCCTGGCAGCAGAGGTGGTCTTGTTACATGGATGAAACCTCACAGGGAGCAGCCCTCCTCTTGGGAAGTATAGATAGGAAATGGTTTTTAGAAATGTAAACATGCCAGGCTCAGTTAATGTTTCCTAAACCCAGACAAGGGAGTATCTCAGGGAAAGCCTGTCTATATCAATGCAGATTTTCTCTACAAATGCAAATCTCCCCAACAAACAGAGCTTTTCAGCTATTCTTGTAGAAGAAGCTATCTCCAGTCTTCCGAGTAGCCATCTTGAAATATGTCAAAAAGCTACACAGGTGCATGCCTGTAATCCCAGCACTTTGGGAGGCTGAATTGGGTAGATCACCTGAAGTCAGGAGTTGGAGACCAGCCTGACAAACATGATGAAACCCCGTCTCTAGTAAATACAAAAAATTAGCTGAGTGTGGTGGTGCATGCCTGTAATCTCAGCTACTTGGGAGGCTGAGCTAGGAGAATTAGTTGACCCTGGGAGGCTGAGGTTACAGTGAGCCAAGATTGTGCCGTTGCACTCTAGTCTGGGCAATAAAAGCAAAACTACATCTCAAAAATAATGTATTTTAGGGTAATATTTTTAGTATATTTACCTCCATATGAACAATAAATATTATTGTGCTTTTTAATCTGTTCTGTGGAGAAAACACAGGTGTGATTTCTAGTGTAGCTGAACATTGTTTATTTGACAATACTGCACTTGTGTGTGGGTGTGTGCATTTGTAGCTACTCTTTAATTTTGTTCTCACATAATGATTATATATTAACAATTAATTCAGTAACATGTATGTTTTGCAATATTTCTCCATGTTATCATGCTTTAAATTAGTTTAATCATGCCCCTATAATGTGTACATTTTAACCTTTGACTATAGGTCTCAGTCTTACTTGGTTCCTGTATTTGAATTTTTGCTAATAAAGTCCTACAACTAAAAAAGATTATATGAACTTATGTACATTTTTACTAGTATTCTGGTGTCATTTTAAGTTATGTAATGAAATCAAATTTTAATTTGGATTTTTATTATCTGAGTTAAGGATCTAAATTTTTAGTTTTCTTGTAAATATTACATAATTATTTCTGAACCATATATTGACTAATCTGCCCTTTATATGATGTGTATTATAAGAGCTTGGGATTGTTTCATTTGCAAAGATGAATGCTTGAGAAGTAGATATTTAATCATAACTTTTCAAAATCTACTGGATAAACCAGAATTGAAAAATAGCCTATAGGTTGAAAAACTCCTCTAGTTAAGAAAGGAAATTACTAATATACAGTGACAATATAAATATTATAAGTATTTATTTTATTATCGCCCTGAAATTTGATAATACAAACATGTAATATCTACATATCATCCATATATCAGGTCATAAAAAATCAATACATTCTTCAAAAATTTAGCATAACAGAAAATGCACTCTCTCTCCTTGATGGAATTAAGTTACAAATAAAAGTAAAAATAAGTAGATAAGTAGATGGAAGTAGATGTTTAAAAACAAAGAAAAGTATTTGTTTTGGATAACATAAAATCTCAATTGACAATTCCAATATTTCCAGAACTTTGGCTGACAACTGGTGGAGAGTTCTCCCCAGGAGACATTTGTCAATGTCTAGGGTTATTGTGGGCATGTCAAGACTGGTGGAGGTGTGAAATTTAGAGGTCAAACGAAACACTTAGCATTGCTAGGGCAGCCTCCCACAACAGAGAATCCTCTGGTCCTAAAGGTAAGTAGCATCAAGGTTGAGAAACCATAATCTAGATAGTAAACATTACGTAGCTATTCCAAGTGCTCAGGAAAACACATCAGTGCCCTCGAGGGGAAAAGTGTAAACATTTTAATTGCTGTACATGGTGACACAAATCCATGTTGTTAATGTAAGTGGAAGGGGCTGACGCACAAAACATAATTCAAAGAGTTTACTTGAGCCACAATGAGGACAGCTGCCTGGAAGAAACAGACCCAAGCAGCCTTGGATATGAACTCCCTTTGGAGCTTTGCAACAAGTAGTTTCTTAAAGGCAAAAAAGGGTCCAGAAGTGGGATGATGCAAAGAGGTTTGTCACAAATTCTCATTGGCTTATGGAGATAACATTTATTAGTGACTGGCTACACACTTTTACACTATTATTGGGTGTGGATTATAGTGTCTGGTGTGGAGTTATTGGTTAATTTATAACTACTGTGGCAACAGCAAGCAGCCTAGATGAACACACAGCTCAAAGAGGAGAAGGACAGAACTGCTATCTCATTTGAATATCTCTCTGGGCCTGATTATTTAAAAGGACTTGCATTTCTCACATGAAAGTTATTTTCTTTTCTCAATGTGCATAAATGAGAATAAATAGACGTAAAATAGATCTTTTCGAGGATGAAGTAAATGGAATGAAAAACAAAACCCAAGCTGACCAGAAATCATAGAGGGAAGAAAAGGTTAAAAGTATATGGATTTTTCAAAGTGATTTTAAGCTATTAGGAATCAGTTAAATGTTGGGGTATTTTGTCTGAGAATGGGCTAAAGGAGAATGTCCCTTTTGCCTTCAGAAGCTTCCCTGAAAATCACGAATAGGAGGCAGATAAATAGTAGAAAAGGCATACAGGTTTCTGCAATGTGTGTACACCGGAGACGTTAGAACTAAGACCCAGACACACGATGCGTGCAGAAGCTTATCTACCACATGAAGTTTACAGAAAGAATGGGGTCTTGGATCACAGGGAAAAAAAAAAGGTTATGTGAGAAAACGACCCTGGCTAGCAACAGTGGACTTATTGCATAGGTGGAATCTCACTAGGAGCAGTCCTCAGAGAGAATAAACAGAAAATGTTTCTTTCAGACCTTTGGAGACCTCAGACTCTCATTTAAGCTTTCCTAGATCCAGACAAAGGGGCAGACCTCAGAGAAAGCCTGGCTGCATCAAGGCAGATTCTCTACCGATGCAAATCTCCCCAAGACAGCTTTGCAGCTAAGTTTGCATTTCCAGCCCTTCTCAATAGCCATTTTGAAATATATCAAAGAAATATATTTAGGGATAAAATATATTAGTTTCCTTCATACAGCTATAAAACATACAAGAATCATTTTTGTCAATGTCTACTACAAATCCAATAGAGCAGTAATTATAAAACCCACCAGATATTGAAAAAAATATATATAGAGTACCACAATTACAAATGTTGATACTAAAATGCCAAATAAAATAAAAATAATGTCCAACAATACTTGAAACAGTAAAACAAGAAATTGGCAAAAAATATAAAACAAATATCCACCTTGGGGATGAAAGTGTGTTTCCAAATTTGGTAATCCAATAATATTAATAATAATATTGATTAGCCCAAATTAAAAATAAATAGGGGATTCTCAGTACATGCTAAAATATATTTGTTAAAAGCCAATATTCATGTCTTTAAAGATTTTAAATGCTGTAAAGGGTCTGATAATCTATATGCAAACACGGGTATGTCCATTAGAAGAAGAGAGGCCTGATTTTCATATGTCACTACATAGAGATAGAGAAGTGGATAGTTTAATTTGCATATGCATAGAGAAAGCATAAAATAGATATTTACTATCATGTTAAAGGAATTTTAATTAAACAATAAAATAATTCAAAGGTAAAATTTTAAATATTTTTTACAGGTACATTCTTAATATTAGATAATATTTATAATAATTGTGAAAATATTCAATGCTAAAATAAGATACAATGTCTAAACATCAGTATTAAAACTGGCATAAATGTTTGATTGTTTATACAAGGAAAATTCAAGCTCGACCTAAAATTATATAGGAAATAAAAGAAAAATTTTAAGGGAGCTCTTTAATAACATAAACATAAATATATACACACACACATATAACATGTATATATGTTATATGGGATAGATATAGATTTAACATGTTATATCTATATTTGTATCTATAACTACAGCTGTATGTATCTACATTTCTATATATTTACTCAGTGATATAAATATAGACTGGAATAAATATAAAGACACATGATTCTTGGATAAAAAGGATTTAGTATCATAAAGACAAATTCTTTCCAAATTCACTTTTGAATTCACAACAATATACAGTTTCATTAGTATAATTTAAAATTTTTAAATAAATTCCAAGATTCATTTAAAGGAATATACATGTATACAAGCAGTCAAGAAAGAAGCAAGAGTGCACTAAACTAACTTGTTATTAAAATACATTATTAAACTTAGTAACTAAAACTGAGTAGTACTGATTTGGAGTACTGGAATTTAGGTATATGGGATCTCAAAAGCACACAGCTCAAAGGAGACGCCTGTATGCACGAGAGCTTAGGATGTGCTTTAGAAGGCATTACCAAACCACGGGCAAAGTTACTTTAGTGTCTTAGTCTTACTAGGTTTGAAAAGGCAGAGAAAAGACTCAAGACCACCATATAAGAACAAAACAAAAGGACAGGGAGAGAATGTGAAGATACTGAAACATTTTACGTAAAGTTGTATAAAACATCCTTTAAAGAAAATATAAAGTTTAGGATATACATCAAAATCAGCAGAGCCACTAAATAAATAAATAGGCATTGTAAAATAGCAAGAGAAAACTTAAGTGGATTTCTAAAAATATTGACAACTATGATTTTTGAAATATGTTTAAGAAATCCCGTATTTCACAGGGCAGCTTTTCACAACACAGACATTTTAGGACATAAAGGTCCTTCAGTTTTTAATTTACTAGTGTGTTAAGGGTTACAAATGTCTTCTACCCTTGTCTTTTGTCTGATGGTGCAAAAAATTTTCATAAGGATGTATTTCTAAATGCCTGATGGATTGACATATATAATATGCTGCTAGTATTAAAATATGCCCAAGACTAGGTAATTTCCAGAAGAAAGAGGTTTAATAGATGCACAGTTCCACATGGCTGGGTAGGCCTCACAATCATGGCGCAAGCTGAAAGGCACGTCTCACATGGCAGCAGACAAGACAAGAGAGCTTGTGCAGGGAAACTCCCCTTTATGAAACCATCAGATCTTGTGAGACTTATTCACGATCAGAAGAACAGCATGGGAAAGACCTGCCCTCATGATTCAATTACCTCCCATCCTTTCCCTCCCACAACATGTGGGAATTCAAGATGAGATTTGGCTGGGGACACAGCTAAACCCTCTTCTCAGCAACCCTCTTCTCTCTGGATCTGTGAGTAATAAACCTACTTCTGTGATATCCCATGTTTGGTCCTTTGGCCTCCATGGGTCTCAGACGACCTAGAATGGAACCTAACTCTCCTTCTGGCCAGGGTCTCTGAGAGTGGCTCTTGTCAGAAATACACAGGACACATGTCAGGCAACAGTCACCAGGCATCTCCTAGTCTCAACAGATGTTCTGTGAGAGGGAGGCCTGGTCGTGGGATGCACACCTGGCCACTGCTGGGGTAAGGAATTGTCCTGTGAAAGGCACATGTTAAGCATCCACAACACCCTGAACAGAAACTCAGAAAGGCAGGGCTCCAATTGACAGTCACTCTCCAGAGACAAACCTCAAGCCCTAACTGGAGGAAAAGAAAACAATGTAAAAAGGTGAATTTATCTTACTATTTCAATGATCCAGTAAAGACTTGCTATGCCTGTACACCACATATTTTTTTCAATTTTGGATATATTTTAGATAGAATTTTAGGTCTGGCTTTCACTTTAGCCTGGTCCCTACCTCAAGCATAAGGTAAAGATTTTCCATGGGTTCTTTTCTCGTACTACTACCTGCCAGTGTGGGGTCATGTCCTAGTCTATCTTGAGGGAATTCCCCTGTTCATTATTGTCAGAGTGAGTCTGTTAAGTCTTGAATTCCCTGGACAACTTCACTGCATGACTTTTAATATGATTTTTTAATATACCCTTTACTGGACAATAAATTAAATAGTTATCTGAGTAAGAGATATGGTCAGGAAGAGGCATTGCCTCATTCAGCTTTTCTCTTTGGTGAACTCGCTTATGTTCTCCTCACCCACCAGTCACCTCTAAACCGTATTGTTCGAAGACAACAAACAGAACTCGAGTGTGTATCTTTCACCACTGGATTTATGTTTGCTCCATAAAGCTTCATGCTTAATAGGGTTTCTGTTAGCATTTTCTCTATTTATTTTCCCATAAAATATCACAGGCCTTCTTCGTATGGAATTAATGGTGATTTCCTTCAATCTGCATCATATCAAGTTTAGGTTCATGTTGACGGAAAGTAAAACATACGTTGAAAATATCAGTAATGATGTTTTCCCCTCCTTTTTAGCACCTGTGTTTGTGATACAAGCACATTTTAATACAATTGTAGTCTCATGCTTTGATCATTCCTATGATGAAAACAACATTTTTAGATAAAATATCTGAGTTTAATGAGGCCTTTAGTATGTGATGTGATAGAATATCAGAAGACCATACTTTTTTCTAGTTTTCCGTGCAGTTCTATAATTGTTTCATCTTTACTGCTACCAGAGTAATTTTCCAAAATAGATATCTTGTCATTCTTCCTGTTGTTATCAGTAAATAAGTGAAATGAAAAGCTAGATTATATAATTTATCTAGAACAAGAAATTAGAATTGAATCTATATTCATTAATGAGACTAACCAGTCAATTACACATATAGGCATTTTACATTTTGGAGATCATATGGACCCATTGTCAGAAATATTATTATTTATGTCTATATGGACATCACCTGTGCATATTTACATAGAAATCAAGGACAGCTGATTTTTATTTTTATTATACATATTTTTTGAGATAGGGTCTTGCATGTTGCCAGGCTAGAATGCAGTGGTGCAATCACTGCTCACTGCAGCCTCAGCCTCCCAAGCTGAAGCAATCCTTCCACCTTGGCCTACCAAATAGCTAGGACAACAGGTGCACCTCACAATGCCCACTTTTTTTTTTAACATTTGATAGAGACGGGGTCTTGCTATGTTGCCCAGGTTACTTTTGAAATCCTGGGCTCAAGGAATCCTCTCATTTCAGCCTCTTCAACTGCTGGTATTACAAGCATGAACCACCATATGGGCTGGAAGCTGAGATCATATAGATGACAGCACCTGAAAAATAGACAACACCAAGCTTTATGTTAAAAGGTGAGAGGGTATCAATATTGTTGTGGCTATTGGGGAGGAAAACATTAGTAAAACCAGTAAGTTAAAGCTCTTGCTTTAAACTTTGGCTTTAATTTAACAAATGTTCTATGGAGTGACAGTATGTATGTAACCATGCTATGCCCATTCACAGATGCAGTAGAGGGAAGAATTTCTCAAAGACAACTGTTCTAAGACTCAAATTAAATCGTACTGAGTTTGAAAAGAGAAAGTCCAGGAATTACCAAATATTTTAGATATCAGATAAAAGAGAATGCCAGGTATGCGATGATAATCAGCAATGCTTGTTCACACAATACATCACATCAGTATTTGAATTAGCTTTTGAATTACAAGGACAAATGGATCAAGTCTAGACTCTTTAGTAGATAAGTCTTATTAGGCTGAGATGTGTTTTCCCCTGGCTTTCCACAAGGAGATTACAAATTTGCAAACCTCAGCTGCTCTCATTTTATGCTCTCACCAAGCCAAAAGCTGAAGTTCATCAATCAGTGTGTCTAAGTGTTCACTGGTTATATACCATTTTGTAGTTTCAGGTATCTTTCCAACTTCCTAAATCATCGCCTTCATTTGATCTTGTTTTTTTCCACTATCACTTCTTTGTTGACCATATAAACAGTATTAGTAAGTTCTTATTTTGTTATTGTTCATTTTAGTCTAATTTCATCAAAAGATCACAATCTTTTAATTTCATTTTAATTTCAAAGATTAAATGAAACCTACATAGAAATGAGTGTAAGATTTGCATTTGCATTATTTTGGCATCAATTTGCTGTCCTCCATCATGCACATAGAGATCATTTCCATTTACGTGATTTCAAACGTCCAAGTGCAGTATTAAAAGCAGTTGTAAATTATGGTTCTCATTTTCATGTTAATATTACAATATAAACTTCCTCTTGCTGCTGTAACCAATTACCACAAACTTCATGTCTTACAATAAAGTGACCGTTAATCCTACAGTTCTGTAGTTCAGAAGCCTTAAATGAAACTCACAGGGCTAACATCAAGTTTTGGGCAGGGCTGCAGTCTTTCTGAGTGCTATGTGGCAGAATTTATTACTTGATTTTTTTCAGCATCCAGAGGCCACTTTATTCCTTGGAACATGACCGCATTCTTATATCCTATTTTTCTTTTTTTTTTTTTGTGATGGAGTCTCCTTCTGTCACCCAGGCTGGAGTGCACTGGCATGATCTCAGCTCACTGCAACCTCTGCCTCCCGGGTTCAAGTGATTCTTCTGCCTCAGCTTCCCGAGCAGCTTGGACTACAGGCACTTGCCAACATGCCCAGTTAATTTTTTGTATTTTCAGTAGGGAAGGGGTTTCACCATGTTAGCCAGGATGGTCTCGATCTCCTGACCTCGTGATAAACCCACCCCAGCCTCCCAAAGTGCTGGGATTAGGCATGAGCCACCGCGCTGGGTCCTCATTCTTGTATCTTAAAAGTGAGTGATGTTGAGTAATTTCTCATGCCACCACCTCCAAGGTTGCCTTTCTTCTGCCTTCTTCTTTCACTTATAAGGAAGTTTGTGATTTCATTGATCCCACACATTTAAGACAAACTCTCTATCATTTTCCCACAACCTTAATTTCACTTGAAATCTAATTTCACACTGCTGTGCAACCAAACATATTTGTATGTTAGACTCTGGGAATTAGGAAATGAAAATTTTTGGGAGGCCATTCTTTTGCCTACAGCAGACATAATCTATTTACCTGCAGATTAAAGCTTTCTTTATTTTTCTGTCTCCCTCTCTTAATTTTTTTAAAATAATATGAATTGTAGTAAAGAGAAAGAAAGAAAAGAAAACAAAGAAAAAAAAAGGAAGGAAAGAAGGAAGGAAGGAAAAAAGAAAGAAAGAAGAAAGAAAAGAAGCAGGAAATGAGGGAAGAAAGGGAGTGAGGGAGAAAGGGAGAAAGGCAGAAAGGGAGAAAAAAGAATGCATGAACACAGGAAAGAAAGAAAGAAAGAGAAAGAAAGAGAGAGAAAGAGAGAAAGAAAGAAAGGAGGAAGGGAGGAATGAAAGGAGGAAGAGAGAATGATAAAAAGGATGAAGGCAAAGAAACAAAGAAAATAAAGAGGCAAAGGAAGGAAGGAAAAAGGGGAAAGAAAGGGAGGGGTGAAGGAAGAAAACGAGGGTGGGAGGAAGGGAGAAAAAAGGAAAGAAAGCAAGAACTTGAGAAAGAAAGAGAGAATATGAGAAAAGAAGCAAGAAAAGGAAGGGAGAAAGGAAGAGAGGGAGGAGGGAAGGAGGAATAAGAGGAAAGAAAGAAAGAAGGAAAGAAGGAAGGAAGGAGAATAAAAGAAAGAAGAGAAAGAAAGGAAAAGAAAAAAGAAAAGAAAAGGAAGAGGGAAAGAAGAAAGGAAGGAAGAAGGCAAGGGAAGGGAAGAGAAGAGAAAGGAAGATGGAAAGAAGGAAGGAAGAACGCAAGTATTAGAAATTCTGGGTTTGTTAGAGAATATGCCATACAATTTTTTTTTCACTTGAAAGGAAAGAGTATCTGCCATTGATGATTGGATGTCTTGTTGGTGATATTGTTGTTCTTATCTTCCACATGATTACTGAGTTTGTGCCTAGTGTTTCCATTACTAAGACAAAAGTGTTGAAGTCTGCAAATATAATTTTGGATTTTTGTAGTTCACCTTTGAATTCTTTCCTGTTTTACCGCATGTATTAGCAGGTTCTGTTGTTAGCTGCATACCCTAATTAGTAGGATGTTTACATCTTCTTGAGAATTCATTATTGTATTATCTATTATCTCTCATCTCCGATAGTATTTCTTGTTCCAAACTCTGTTGCGTCTAATATCAATGTAGTCCTTCCACAGCCTTATTTTAGTGTTTCCATGATATTTCTTTCTCCATATCTTGATGATTACCTATTTATATCTCTGTATATTTGGAGCAAGATATAAAATTTAGACTTGATTTTTTAAAGATTTTTCAAGATGCAATTCTTATTTCTTTTTGTTCTATTTGACATTCTCTGAGTTTCCTATATCTGAAGTTTGATTTTCCTTCACTTATTTTAGAATATTTTTGGCAGTTATTTTGAAAAATATTTCTTTTGCTCCATTATTTTTCCCTCTTTTCTTTTTGGGATTTCAATCATAAGTAGAGTAGGTAATTTCATCTCAGTCTTACGCAGGTACTTTTTCTCATGGTCTCAGGAATGTAGCCTTCTCACACTTCTGTTCTTTTCCTGGCTGTGTTGGTGAGCTCAGTGATATTCCTCCTTCACCTTCAAGAGCAGTTTTGTTTTGTTTTTCCTGTTTTCATACTCCCAGCATCAGGAGTATCCTAAGTGTGGCTGTTTTTGTTGTCTTCCCCTACATATTAAGCAGAATATCTTGGTCTATTTGGACTCTTATAACAAAATAACATAAACTGGGTGACTAAAAAACAACAAATTTTTTTTCACACTTCTTGAGGCTGTAAGATGTCAGGTCAAGATGCTCACAAATTCAGTGTTGATGAGAGCCAATTTCATGCATCATAGATGGTGCCTTCTTTCTATGTCCTCACATAGTGGAAGGTACACAAGAACTCCGTTGAGCTTCTTTTATAAAGGCACTAATCACATTCATAAGGGCTCGGCCCCCAAGATATGGTCACCTTCCAAGTGTTCTGCTCTCCCTGATCTGTGTCATATACAGACTCTCTTGGATTCCTTACCAATTGTTTGAGAGATTGCAGTGGGTTTGTGCAGAAAAAGTTTTCAAGATGATGGATCTTTCCCAACTTCTGCAGCTGTCAGCGGTCTCCCAATCTCACCAGCCCCACTTTGTCTTTAGGAATTTATTGATTATTCCAGCTTTACTTGTCATAGTGGTGTCTATTTGCATCTGTCCTATGTAAGTGCATCTGTCCTTTTTCTCCTTGTAGTTGCAAGTACTCAGGAGTACACTGTTGTTACTACTTACTCAGTATTGGTTGGTACATTGTCAAAGATCAAAAAACATTTTTAAAGATAAAAAATGTCTTGGAGGGTGTGTAATGAAGGGTTAATTCTGCAGACATGGCTTTTCAAAACCTTGCGCATTCCAGAGGTCTTCAGGACCGGCCCTTGACCAGATCCTGGGAGATGATAACGTAGGAGCCCTTGGTATATGCTGCCTGATGAGAGTCTTTGTATACCTGAAAACGTAGGTCATATCAAATAGCTGATGCTAACAACGTGATTCCTTGTGAGCACCTGTTTCTCTATGCCTATGACTTTGTGTAATGCCATATTAATATGACCTCTCTTAGGGCATAGGGAGGTTGGGAACTACGTAGCTAAGTTCAGTCACAGGACGCTCGATGCATATGTTGTGGAATCCTAATAAAAACCCTGGACTCAAGACTGACTGAGCTTCCCTAGTTGGCAACAATTTCACACATGTTGTCTCACACCATTGTAAAGAAAATTTGTCAGTGTGAGGTCCCCACTATGAAAGGACACCTGTAAGCTCACATCTGGTTTGTCCTGGACTCAACTTTATGTGCTTTTATGCTTCTGATTATTTTAATCTGGTTTCTTTCACTGTTAGAAACTACAACCATAGAAAATATCAGCTTTCTTGAGTTATGTGAATCATTAAACCAAAGGGGGACTTTGGGACCACCAATAGAAAGTATATATGTTCTTAAAAAGAAAAAGAAAACTGGCTATAGCAGATATTTCTGATGAGTTGTCTTCAATGTCCTGGACTCAATGTGTTCACCTGGAATTCATCTGTTTCCAGCTAACTGAGAGCTCCCCACATCCTTCCTGTCTTTCTGATTTTTGGGCCTGCCTGCAAGCTTCTTGAGACTAACCAGTGCGTCTCCACCACACATGGGAACAAAGAAGGAGTTAGGGTTGGAGAGTTAATGATTCTAAGGCAATCCTTAAGCAATAAGAGACGGGGATTCCAGCATCCCCATCTCTTTGTAAAGTTATTTTGAGACAATCTCCATACCTCCATCATTATTGAGCACATAGCAGTAATTACTCATTCACACTGGCTTCGTGTTCTGTTTCATTTTCTCCTTCTGTGCTTTCTCACTCAATTTCTGATTAAAGTATCTGACCCCAGATATTTGTTTCATAGTCTATTTTTGAGGGAATCCAGAGCCAAGACAATAACAATGGGAGCTTTGCAATGAGGGAGGGTGAGTATAATCATCAGAAGGTTACCTACCTCACTGGGAACATGAAGGCCTGGAGAGCTTGCTGTTTCAATGAGAGAAACATGTTGAATCTCAGTTGAATATATATGTATATATATATATATATATATATATATATATATATATATATATATATATATATATATGCAATAAGACGTGCCCTTAACTTATATCAAAGGAAAGTGCTCTTTACCTCTTTTTGTTGTTGTGTTTTTATCACTATTGCCTACACAAGCAGAATATCATACCCAGGATTTAAAGCCCTCTCTACAGGATTTTCAAGCTCATGTTTTTATCATAAGTCACTCTGCTTCCATGGGTTTTAAATCTAATCCTCATTCCTCTGCTTTTACACCAGAGAATTCATCACTGACTTATTTTTGACTCACCTCCTTATAGAGCTGTCAAGTACACAATTTCTGCTGTGACCTTTCTCTTAGAGTTCAGTCATATAGCCTCTCACGAGGTAGCATTTCCTCTTATCTTTCCTAATAATGAATTGTCAGTTAAAACTCAATATTTTTAAGATTGAGCTTACCATCTGCACACACACACACACACACACACACCGTTATTGGTGTATTCTCATAGCCTTGAAACACTAATGTCACGTCGATGTCTGCCTTTTCTTTCTCTGCTACCGCATTCCTCATCCTTAGATTATTCTAAAAGATTCAATTAGATAAAGATGGCTAATTATATTTATGAGATCCTCTCTACCCTTCCCAACATTTCGTTTAACAAAATTTAAAAATTTCTGGCAGGGGACTGTTGAAAGCCCCATGGATGACTGTGGCTTTACTATTTTACCTTTCAGTTTTGATAGGTTTTATATCATGTATTTTGAAGTACTGCTATCGTGCGCATACATATTCCTTATTTACATGACTTCTTGGTGTATTTTCCCCTTTGTCATTTTGAAATGTTATTCTTCATTCCCAGTGATATTTCCTGTTCTGATGTCTACTTTGCTCATCACAGTTTTAGGGGGTTTTGATTTGTTTGTTTTTCTATATGTTGGTTCAAGTAAGTTTCTTATAAATCTGTTTGATTCCTTTTGATGATTCCATTTGATTCCATTCGAGGATTACACTCGATTCCATTTGATGATGATTCCATTAGAGTCCATTCAATGATTCCATTCAAGTCCATTTGATGATTCCATTTGATTCCATTCGATGATGATTCCATTAGAGTCCATTCGATGATTCCATTCAATTGCATTCGATGATGATTCCATTAGAGTCCATTCGAGGATTCCTTTTGACTCCATACGATGATGTTTCCATTCGAGTCCACTCGATGATTCCATTTGAGTCAATTCAATGATTCCATCTGATTCCATTCAATGATGACACAATTCGAGTCCCTTCATTGATTCCATTCGATTCCATTCTATGATGACTGCATTCGGTTCCATTCGATGATGATTCCAACGGATTCCATTCGATTTCTCCATTTGATTCCATTCCTTGCTGATTCAATTCAATTCCATTAGATGATGACTCCACTAGATTCCATTCGATGATAATTTCATTAGATTCCATTCGATGATGGTCCAATTCGATTCTATTCAATGATGATTCTATTCCATTCCATTAAATAATTTCATTCGATTCCATTCAAAGATTCCATTCGATTCCATTTGATGGTGATTCCATTTGAGTCCATTCGATGATTACATTCGATTCCATGTGATGAAGATTCCATCAAGTCCATTCGATGATTCCATTTGATTCCATTTGATTCCATTAGATGATGACTGCATTCTGTTCCATTCGATGATGATTCTAACGGACTCCATTCGATGACTCCTTTCGATTACTCCATTCAATTCCATTCATTGATGATTCCATTCTATTCCATTTGATGTTGCTTCCATTCGATTCCATTCGATGATGATTCCATTCAATTCCATTCGATGATGATTCCATTCGATTCAATTCAATGATGATTCCATTGGATTACATTCAATGATTCCATTGGATTACATTCAGTGATGATTCCTTTCACGTCCATTCGATGATTCCATTCTATTCCATTCGATGATGATTCCATTCGATTTTTCCATTCAACTCCATTTGATGTTTTCTTTCGATCCCACTCAATGTTGGTTCCATTTGAGTCCATTCGATGATTCCATTCGAATGCATTCCATGATTTCATTCGATTCCACTCAATGATGATTCCATTCAATTCCATTCGATGATTCCATTTGATTTCATTCGATGATGATTACATTAGAATCCATTCCATGATTCCATTCGAGTCCATTCAATGATTCCATTGGAGTCCATTAAATGATTCCATTTGATTCCATTCGATGATGACTCCATTCGAGTCCATTCAGTGATGTTTCCATTTGATTCCATTCGATGATTCCATTGGATTCCATTCTTTGTTTTATTTTGATTCGTTTTGATGATGATTCCTTTCAGTTTCATTCAATGATCCCATTCGATTCTATTCAATGATGTTTCCAATCGATTCCATTTGAAGAAAATTCCATTCGATTCCATTGGTGATGATTCCATTCGATTCTATTCGATGCCAATTCTACTTGATTCCATTCGATGATGATTCCATTCAATTCCTTTCGATGATTAAATTAGATTCCATTCAATGATGATTCCATTCAAGACCATTCGATGATTCCATTCAATTCCATTCAATGATTCCATTCGAGTCCATTCGATGATTCCATTCAAGTCCATTCAATGATTCCATCTGATTCCATTCAATGAATCCATTTGATTCCATTCTATGATGATTCGATTCGTTTCCATCCGATGATGATTCCATTCGATTCCATTCAATGATTCCATTCGATTCCATTTGATGATGATTCCAATCAATTCCATTCGATAATTCCATTCGAACTCATTTGATGATGAGTTCATCCATTTGAATTTCATGATATTTCCATTCATTTCAATTCGATGGTGTTTCATTCGATTCTATTCGATATTGTTTCCATTAGTTTCCATTGGATGATGATTCCATTCGAGTCCATTCGATGATGATGACATTCGATTTCATTCCATAACTCTATTCGATTCCATTCAATGATGATTCCATCTGATTCCATTTGATGATCCCATTCGATTCCATTTGATGATGATTCCATTCGTTTCCATCTGATGATGGTTCCATTCAATTCCATTTGATGATTATTCCATTCGAGTCCATTTGATTATTCCATTCAATTCCATTCGATGATGATTGCATTCGAGTCCATGGATTATTCCATTCCATTCCATTCGATGATTCTATTTGAGGCATTCAATGATTCTCTTCAATTACAGTAGATAATTCCATTTGATTCCGTTTGATGTTGATTCCATTTGAGTCCATTCGATGATAATTCCATTCGATTCTATACGATGATTCAATTCTATTCCATTCGATTCCATTTGAAGATGATTCCATTCGAGACCATTCGATTATTCCATTCAATTCATTCAATGACGATTCCATTCAATTCCATTCGATGATTCCATTAGATTCCATTTGATGATGATTCCATTCGATTCCATTCCATGATGATTCCATGCGATTCCATTCGATGATGACTCCTTTCATTTCCATTCGATGATGATTCCTTTTGGTTACATTCGATGATGATTCCTTTGGATTCCATTTGATGATGATTCCATTCAATTCCAATTGATGATGATTCTTTTCAATTCCATTCGATGATGATTCCATTTGATCATGATTCCATTCGATTCCACTCAATGATTCCATTCGATTCCATTCAATGATGATTCCACTCGAGATCATTGATTATTCCATTCTATTTCATTGCATTTGATGATTCCATTCGAGTGCATTTGATGATTCTATTCGATTTCATTTGATAATTCCATTCGATTCCACTTGATGATAATTCCATTCGAGTCCATTCAATGATTATTCCATTCAATTGTATTCAGTGATTCCATTCGATTCCATTTGATAATGATTCCATTTGAGATCATTCGATGATTCCATTCAATTCATTCGATGATGATTCCATTCAATTCCATTCGATGATTCCATTCAATTCCATTTGATGATGATTCCATTCGATTCCATTCGATGATGACTCCTTTCGGTTCCATTCAATGATGATTCCATTCAGTTCCATTCGATGATGATTCCTTTGGATTCCTTTCAATGATGATTCCTTTCAACTCCATTTGATGTTGATTCTTTTCTATTCCATTCGATGATGATTCCATTTGATGCCATTCAATGATGACTCCATTCAATTCCATTCGATGATTCTATTGGATTCCATATGATGATGATTCCATTCGAGTCCATTCGATGATTCCAATCAATGCCATTCGATGATGATTCCATTCGATTCAATTCAATGATTCGATTTGATTCCTTTCGATGATTATTCCATTTGAATCCTTTCGGTGATTCCTTTTGATTCCAACTGATGATGACTCCATTCGATTACATTCGATGATACCATTTGATACCATTCGTTTATGATTCCATTTGAGTGCATTCCATGATACTACTTGATATCATTCAGTGATGAATAAATACGATTTCTCTCGATGATTCCATTCAATTCCATTCTATGATGATTCCATTCGAGTCCATTTGATGTTTCCATTTGACGCCATTTGATGATGGTTCTATTCAATGATTCCATTCTATTCTATTCAATTATGATTCCTTTCTATATCATTCGATGCTGATTCCATTCAATTCTATTCGATTATTCCATTGGATACCATTTGATGATTCCACTCAATTACATTTGAGGATGATTCCAATCGATTCCATTTGATGATTCCATTCAATTCTATTCGACGATGATTCCATTCGATTCCATTTGATGATGACTGCATTTGATTCCATTTGATGATTACATTTGATTCCATTCGATGATGATTGCGATCGATTATGTACGATGATTCCATTCTATTCCATTCGATGATTCCATTTTATTCCATTTGATAATGATTCCATTCAAGTCCATTCGATGATTCCATTCGAGCCCATTTGATAATTCCATTTGAGTCAAATCCATGATTCCATTTGAGACCATTTGATAATTCCATTTTAGTCCATTCAATGATGATTCTATTCGTGTCCATTTGATAATTCTTTTTGAGTCCATTCGATGATGATTCCATTTGAGTCCATTCGATGATTCCATTTGATTCCATTCGATGATGATTACATTCGAGTCCATTCGATGATTATTACATTCGAGTCCATTCGATGATTACATTTGATTTCAGTCGATGATGATTGCATTTGATTCCATTGAATGATTCCATTCTATTCCATTTGATGATGACTCCATTCGAGTCCATTCAATGATTCCATTAGCTCCATTTAATGATTCCATTGAGTTCAATATGATGATTATTACATTGGCTTCCATTCTATGATTACATTCGATTCCTTTCATTGATAATTCCATTCGATTCCATTTGATGATGATTCCATTTGATTTCATTCTATGATTCCATTTGATTCCATTCTATGAAGATTCAATTCTATTACATTGGATGATTCAATTTGAATCCATTCGATGATGATTCCATTCAATTACATTGGATGATGAATCCGTTAGATTCCATTCGATGATGATTCCATTCTATTCCATTTGATGATGATTCCATTCAATTTCATTCGATGTTTCCATTCGATCCCATTCAATGATCATTCCATTCTATTCCATTGGACGATTCCATTCTATTCCATTCGACGATTCCATTCTATTCCATTCGATGATGATCCCATTTGATTCCATTTGATGATTATTCCATTCGATTCCATTCGATGATGATTCCCTTCTATTCCATTCGACGATGATTCCATTCACTTGAATTCGATGATGATTTCAATTGAGTCCACTCGAAGATTCCATTTGATTCCAATCAATCATGACTCCATTTGAGGCCATTCAATGATTCTATTCCATTCCATTCCATTATGATTCCATTCGATGCCATTCGATGATTCCATCTGATTCCATTCGTTGATGATTCCATTCGAGTCCATTTTCTGATTCCATTTGAAGATGATTCCATTCGAGTCCATTTGATGATTCCATTTGATTCCATTCGATGATGATTCCTTTCGAGTCCATTAGATGATTCCATTCGAGTCCATTTTATTATTCCCTTAGATACCATGCTTTGATGATTCTATTCGATGCCATTCAATGATTCCATTTGGTTCCATTTGATGATATTTCCATTTGAGTCCATTCGATGATTCCATTGGATTCCATTCAATGATGATTCCATTCGTGTTCATTCAATGATTCCATTTGATTCCATTCAATGATGATTCCACTCGAGTCCATTCGATGATTCCATTTGATTCCATTCGATGATGATTCCATTCAAATCCATTCGATGATTCCATTCGATTCCTTTCGCCGATTCCTTTCAACCCAATTTGATGATTCCCTTTGATTCCATTTGATGATCACTCCATTCAATTCAGTGATCACATTGGATTCCATTCGATGATGATTCCATTAGATTCCACTCCATGATGGTTCCATTTGTTTCCATGTGATGATGATTCCATTCAATTCCATTCGATCATAATTCCATTCAATTCCATTCGATGATGATTCCATGGGATTTCATTCGATGATTCTATTTGATTCCATTCGATGATGATTCCCTTCTATTCCATTAGATGATTCCATTCGATTCCATTCTATGATGATTCCATTCAAATCCATTTGATGATGATTCCATTTCATTCCATTCGATGATGATTCCATTCGTGTCCATTCGATGATTCCACACAATTCTACTCGATGATGATTCCAAACGAGTCCGATTGATGATTCCATTTGATTCCATTGGATGATGATTCCTTTCAATGCCATTCGATGATTCCCTTCAATTTCATTTGATGATGATTCCATTAGATTCCATTTGATGATTCCATTTGATGATGATACCATTTGATGCCATTCGATGATGATGACATTCGATTTCATTCAATGATTCTATTTCATTCCATTCTATGATGATTCCATTCTATTCAATTCTATGATACCATTCGATTCCATTCGATGATGATTACATTCGATTTCATTCGATGGTGGTTACATTCGATACCATTCTATGGTGATTCCATTCAATTGCATTCGATGATGATTCCATTTGGGTCCATTCGAAGATTCCATTTGATTACTTTCCGTTCAAGTCCATTCGATGATTCCATTCAACTCCATTAGAAGATGATTCCATTCGATGATATTCTATGATTCCGTTCGATTTCATTCGATGATGTTTCCGTTCGAGTCCATTCATTGATTCCATTCGACTCCATTTGATGATGATTCCATTAGATGTTATTCTGTGATTCCATTTGATTTCATTTGATGATGATTCCATTCAACTCCATTCGATGATTCCATTCTAGTTCATTCGATTATTCCATTAGATTCCATTCGATGATGATTCCAATCAAATCCATTTGATGATTGCATTCAATTCCATTTGATGATGATACTATTTGAGTCCATTCGATGATGAATGCGTTCAATTCCATTTGGTGATTCCATCTTATTCCATTCAAAGAGGATTTTGTTCGATTCCATTCGATGATTCCATTCAATTCCATTTGATTATTCCATTTCATTCCATTCCATAATGATTCCATTCGTGTCCATTAGATGATTCCATTCGAGCCCATTCAGTAATTACATTTGATTCCAATCCATGATTCCATTCGATTCCATTTGATCATTCCATTTGAGTCCATTCAATGATGATTCCATTCGAGTCCATTCAGTGATTTCATTCGAGTCCATTCGATAACTCCATTTCAGTCCATTCAATGATGGCTTTTGATTCCATTCAACGATATTCCTTTTGAGTCCATTCAATGATTCCATTCGATTCTATTCGATGATGATTCCTTTCATCTCCATTCGGTGACTCCATTCAATTTCATTCTATGATGATTCCTTTCGAGTGTATTAGATGATTGCTTTCGAGTCCATTAGATGATTCCTTTCAATTCCATTAGATGAGGATTCCATTCGAGTCCATAGAGTCATTCAATTCGATTCCATTCGATGATGAATCCATTTGAATCCATTCGATGATTTCATTTGATTCCATTCGATAATGATTTCATTCGATTCCATTCGATAATAATTTCATTCGAGTCCATTAGATGATTCCATTTTATTACATTCGATGATGTTTCCATTCAATTCCAATCGATGATTCGGTTTGACTACATTCAATGATGATTTCATTCGGGTCCATTCGATGATTCCATTGGATGCCATTCAATGATGATTCCATTCGAGTCCATTTGATGATTCTATTCAAATCCATTTGATAATTGCTTTTGATTACATTCGATGATGATTCCATTCGAGTCCATTCAATGATTCCATTCGATTCCATTCGATGATGATTCCATTCGAGTCCATTTGATGTTTCTATTTGATTCCATTCTCTGATGATTGCATTCGAGTCCATTCGATGATTCCACTCGATTCCATATGTTGATGATTCTGTTCGATTCCATTCGATGAATCCATTCTATTCCAATCAATGATGATTCCATTCAAGTACATTAGATGATTCCATATGATTCCATTCGATGATGATTCTATTCGTGCCCATTAGATGATTCCACATGATTCCATTTGATGATGATACACTTCGAGTCCATTCGATGATTCCATTTGATTCCCTTCAATGATGATTCCATTCGATTCCATTCATTGGTGATTCCATTCATTTCCATTCATTGATTCCATTCCATTCCATTCGACAATGATTCCATTTGATTCCATTCAATGATTCCACTCAATTGCCCTTGACGGAGATTCCATTCTATGATTCCATTTGATTTCATTCAATGATGATTGCCTTCAATTCCATTCTATGATTGCCTTCAATTCCATTCGATGATGATTCCTTTCGATTCCATTTGATGATTCCATCTGATTCTATTCGAGGATTCCTTCCGATTCCATTGGATGATAATTCCATTCAAATCCATTCGATGACTTCATTCAAGTCCATTCAATGATTACATTCGAGTCCATTTGATGATTTCATAAGATTCCATTTTATGGTGATTCCATTAGAGTCCATTCGATGACTCCATTCGAGTCCATTCAATGATTCTATTCAATTCCATTTGATGATTCCATTCGAGCCCATTTGATCATTACATTCGAGTCCATTCAGTGAATCCATTGGATTTATTTTCATGATGATCCCATTCGATTCCATTTCATGATGATCCCATTTGATTCCATTCGATGATGATTCCATTCGAGTCCATTCGATGATTTCATTGAATTCCATTCAATGATGATTCCATTCGAGTCCATTCGATGATTCCATTCGATTCCATTTGATGATTCCATTGGAGTCCATCCGATTATTCCATTAGAGTCCAATCGATGATTCCATTTGATTCCTTTTGATGATAATTCCATTTGAGTCCATTCGATGATCATTCCCTTCGATTCCATTCAATGATTCTGTTTGATTCTATTTGATGATCCCCTTCGATTCCTTTCCGTAATGATTCCATTGCATTCCATTTGATGATTCCGTTTGATTCTATTCCATAATGATTCCTTTCGAATCCATTTGCTGATGATTCCATTCGATTCAATTCGATGACGACTGCATTCGGTTCCATTGAATGATGATTCCAAAGGACTGTATTCGATTTCTCCATTTGATTCCATTCGTTGATGATTCCATTCGATTCCATTACATGATGATTCCATTTGATGATGATTCCATTTGATTGAACTCGAAGACAAATCCATTCGATTCCATTCAATGATGATTCCATTCGATTCCATTCGATGATTCCATTTGGTTTCGTTTGATGACTATTCCATTCGAGTCCATTCAATGATTCCATTCAAGTCCATTTGATGATTCCCTTCAATTCCATTCAATGATGATTCCATTCGAGTCCATTCCATGATTCCATTTGATTCCATTCGATGATGATTCCATTCAAGTCCATTCGAAGATTCCATTCGATTGCATTTGATGATTCCATTCTATTCCATTCGATGATTATTCCATTTGAGTCCATTTGATGATTCTATTGGAGTCCATTTAATGATTCCATTGGGTTGAATTCGAAGATGACTACACTGGATTCCATCCTATGATTCCCTTCGATTCCATTCGTTGATGATTCTGTTTGATTCCTTTCGATGACTCCCTCCAAGTCCATTCGATGATTCCATTTGAATCCATTCAATGATGATTCCTTTGGATTCCATTTGATGATGATTCCATTCGACTCCATTTGGTGTTGATTCTTTTCGATTCCATTCGATGATGATTCAATATGATTCCATTTAATGATGCCATTCAAGTCCGATTGGTCATTCTATTCGATTCCATTTGATGATTATTCCATTCGATATGATTCGATGATTCCATTAAATTCCTTTAGATGATTATTCCATTCAAGACCATTCGGTGACTTATTTTGATGCCAATTGAAGATTATTCCACTTGATTCCATTCGATGATACCATTCATTGATGATTCCATTCGAGTACATTCGATGATACTATTTGATTCCACTCGATGATAATTCCGTTCGATTCCATTCGATGATTCCATTCAATTCCATTCTATGATGATTCCATTCAAGTCCATTTGATGATTTCATTGGACTCCATTTGATGATGATTCCATTCAATGATTCCATTCGATTCTATTCGATGATGATTCCATTCGGGTCCATTCAATGATTCCATTTGATTGTATTTGATGATGATTCCATTTGATTCCTTTCAATGGTGATACCATTCGTGTCCATTGGATTATTCCATTCGATTGTATTTGATGATAATTCCATTCGACTACATTCAAGGATTCCATTCAACATCATTGGATAATTTCTTTTGATTCCATTCGATGATGATTCCATTCGAGTCCATTCAATAATTCCATTCAAGTCCATTGGATGATTCCTTTCGATTCCATTCAATGATGTTTCCTTTCGAGTCCATTCGATGATTCCATTCAAGTCCATTCTATGATTCCATCTGTTTCCATTCGATGATGATTCCATTGAAGCACAGTTGATGATTGCATTCGTGTCCATTTGATGTTTTCATTTGATTACATTCAATTAAGATTCCATTCAATTCCACTCGATGATGATTCCATTCGGTTCCATTAGATGATGATTCCATTTGATTTCATTCAATGATTCTTTTTGATTCCATTCGATGATGATTCCATTCGATTCCATTCAATGACGATTCTATTCGATTCGATTTCATGATGATTCCATTCAATTCCATTCGGTGATGATTCCGTTTGTGTCCATTCGATGTTTCCTTTCGATTCCATTCAATGATTATTCCATTCGTGTCCGTTAGATGATTCCACTTGATTCCATTCAATGATGATTCCGTTTTGTGCCATTCAATTATTCCATTTGATATCATTTGATGATGATTCCACTGATTTCGTTTGATGATTCCTTTCCATTCCATTTGATGATTATTCCGTATGCGTCTATTCAATGATTCCATTCGATTCCATTTGATGATGACTCCGTTCGTGTCAATTCCATGATTTAATGCAATTTCGTTTGATGATTATTACATTTGAATCTATTTGATGATTCCATTCGATTCCATTTGGTGATGATTCCATTCGAGTCCATTCGATGATTCAATTTCAGTACATTTGATTATTATGTTCGATTCCATTTGATGATGATTCCATTAGATTCTATTCGATGATACCATTCAATTCCACTTGATGGTGATTCCATTATTGTCCATTCCATGATTCCATTGGATTCCATTCGATGGTGATTCCTTTCAAGTCCATTCAGTGATTCCATTCAAGTGCATTCGATGATTCCTCTTGATTCCATTCAATGATGATTCCAATCGAGACCATTCGATGATTCCATTTGATTTCATTCAATGATGATTACATTGGATTCTGTTCAATGATTCCTTTCTATTCCATTCAATGATGATTCCATTTGAGTCTATTCGATGATTACATTTGACTCCAGGTAATGATAACTTTGTGTTCAATTCGATGATGATTACACTGGATTGCATTCAACGATTCCATTCGATTCCATTCGTTGATTATTCCATTTGATTCCTGTCAATGATGATTCCATTTGATTCCATTCAATAATGATTCGATTTGATTCCATTCGATGATGATTCCATTCGATTCTATTCAATGATGATTCCATTCGATTTCATTAGATGATTCTATTCGATTCCATTCTATGTTGATTCAATTCTATTCCATTCGAGGATTCCATTCGATTCCATTCGATGACGATTCCATTCGATGATGATTCCCTTCCATTGCATTTGATGATTATTCCATTCGAGTGCATTTGAAGATTACATTCGATTCCATTCGATCATGATTCCATTCGAGTTCATTCGAAGATTAGATTTGATTCCATTCGATGATGATTCCGTTCGAGTCCATTCGATGATTCCATTCCATTCCATTTGTTGATGATTCTGTTCGATTACATTTGATGATTATTCCATTCGATTCCATTCGATGATGATTCCATTTGATTTCATTCGATGATTCCATTTGTTTCCATTTGGAGATAATTATATTCCATTCGATGATTCTATTCAGTTCCATTCGATGAGGACTCTATACAATTCCATTTGATGACGACTCCATTTGATTCCATTCCATAATGATTCAATTCGTGTCTATTTGATGTTTCTTTTCGATTCCATTCGACAATGATTCCATTCACGTCTGTTAGATCATTCCATTCGATTCCATTTGATGATGATTCCATTCGATGATTCCTTCCTATTTCATTCGATGATGATTCCATTCAAATCCATTTGATGATTCCATTCCATTCCATGATGATTCCATTAGAGTCCATTCGATGATTCCATTCGATTCCATTCGACGATGATTCCATTCGAGTCCATGCAATAATTCAATGCAATTTCATTCGATGATGATTATATTCGATTCTATTCAATGATTCCATTCAATTCCATTTGATGATCGCTCCATTCGAGTCCATTCGGTGATTCCATTCAATTCTATTCGAAGATGATTCCATTGGATTCCATTCCATGATTCCATTCGATTTGATTCGATGACCACTCCATTCAAGTCCATTCAATGATTGCATTTGATTTCATTCGATGATGATTCCATTTGAGTCCATTGAATGTTTCCATTCGAATCCATTTGATGATTGTTTCAATTATATTCGATGATGATTCCATTGGAGTCCATTCGTTGTTTCCATTCGATTCCATTCGATGATGATTCCATTCGGGTCCATTAGATGATTCCATTCGATTCCATTTGATGATAATCCAATTCGAGTCCATTTGATGATCCCATATGATTCCATTTTATGATTCCATTCGGGTACAATAGATGATTCCATTCGATGATGTTTCTATTGCAGTCCATTAGATGATTCCATTCAATTCCATTCAATGATGATTCCATTCTATTCAATTCTATGGTGATTCCGTTCGGATCCATTTGATGATTCCTTTGGATACCATTCAATGATGATTTTATTCTCTTCCATTCAATGATGATTCCATTCGTGTCCAATAGATGATTCCATTTGATTCCATTCGATGATGATTCCATTCTATTCCATTCGTTGATCATTCCATTCATGTAAATTAGATGATTCCATTCTATTCCATTCTATGATGATTCCATTCGATACTATTCTGTGATTACATTCGATTCCATTCGATGTTGATTCCATTCGATTTCATTTGCTGATTCTATTTGATTCCGTTCAATGATGAAATCCATTCGATTTCATTTGATGATTCCATTTAATTACATTTGATTATGATTCCATTTGATTCTATTCTATGATTCCATTTGATTCTATTCGATGATGATTCCATTCGTGTCCATTCGATGATTCCTGCTGATTCTATTCGATGATGATTCCTGTTGAGTCCATTCAATGGTGATTAAATTCGATTCAATTCGATGATTCCATTCGATTCCTTTCAATGATGATTGCCTTCTATTCCATTCATTGATTCCATTCGATTCCATTCAAAGATGATTCCATTCGATTCCATTACATAATTCCATTTGATTCCATCTGATGATTCCAATGGATTCCATTCGATGATGATTCCTTTCGAGTCCATACAATGATGCCATTCAATTCCATTTGATAATGATTCCATTTGTGTGCATTCGATGATTCCAATCGATTCCATTCAATGATGATTCCATTCAAGTCCATCCGATGACTCTTTTCAATTCCATACTATAATGATTCCGTTCGAGTCCATTTGATGGTTTGATTCGAGTCCTTTCAATGACTCCAATCGATTCCATTCGAAGCTGATTGGGTTTGAGTCCATTCGACGCTTCCTTTTTGGTCCATTTGATGATTTCATTCGAGTCCAACTGATGATTCCATTCAATTCCATTTTATAATGATTCAGTATGATTCCATTCCATGAGTCCAACTGATGATTCCATTCAATTCCATTTTATAATGATTCAGTATGATTCCATTCCATGATGATTCCATGTGATTCCATTCGATGATGATTCTTTCAGTAATATTTGATTATGATTCATTTCAAGATCATTCGATGATTCCAAATGATTCCATTCAGTGATGACTCCATTCGAATCCATTTGATGATTCCATTTGATTCCATTCGATGATGATTCCATTCGAGTTCATTCGATGACTCCATTCCATTCCATTCAACAATACTTCCATTCTTGTCCAATCGATGATTCCATTCTATTCCAATAGATTATGATTCCATTCAAGTCCATTCAATGATTTCATTCGAGTCCTTTTGATGATTCCATTCGATTCTATTTGATGATGATTCCATTCGAGTCCGTTCAATGATTGCATTCCATTCCATTCGAGGATGACTGCATTCTGTTCCAATCGATGATTCCATTCAATTCCATATGCAGATTCCATTTGATTCCATGTGACGATGATTCCATTCAATTCCATTCTATGATTGCATTCGATTCCATTCGATGATGATTCGATTCAAAATCATTCGATTATTCCATTCTAGTGCCTTCGTTGATTCCATCCAATTCCATTTGATGATGATTCCATTCGAGTCCTTTCGATGATTCCATTCAATTACATTTGATGAAGATTCCATTCGAATCCATTAAATGATTCCATTCGATTCCATACATTGATGATTCCATTTGATTCCCTTCGATGATTCTACTCTATTCCATTCAATGATGATTACATTCGATTCATTCTCTGATTACATTCGATTTCATTCGATGATGAATCCATTCGAGTCCATTCCATGATTCCATAAGATTCCACTTGATGATGATTCCATTCAAGTCCATTCGATGATCCCATTCGTTTCTATTTGATGATGATTCCATTGGATTTCATTCAATGAATCCATTCGATTCCATTCGTTGTTGATTCCATTCGATTACATTCGATGATGATTGCATTTGATTCCCTTCATGGATGATTCCATTGGATTTCATTCAATGAATCCATTCGATTCCATTCGTTGTTGATTCCATTCGATTACATTCGATGATGATTGCATTTGATTCCCTTCATTGATGATTCCATTGGATTCCATTCGATGATGATTTCATTCGACTCCATTCGATGATCATGCCATTCGATTTCTATCAATGATTCCTTTGGATTCCATTTGATGATTCCATTCGATTCCATATGATTATTCCATTCGATTCCATTCGATGATGATTCCATTCAATTCCATCCAATGATGATTTCATTAGATTCATTTCGATGATGATTCCATTCGAGGCCATTCGATGATTCCTTAAGAATCCATTTGATGATGATTCAATTCGAGTCCATCAATGATTCCATTCGAGGCCCTTCATTGATTCCATCCGATTCCATTTGATGATGATTCCATTCGAGTCCATTTCATAAATCCATTCGATTCCATTCGATGATTCCATTTGAGTCCATTCGTTTATTCCATTCGAGTCCATTCGATGATTCCTTTCGATTCCTTTCTGTGATGATACCATTCGAATCTATCCGATGATGATTTCATTCGATTCCATTCGATGATTATTCCATTCTAGTCCGTTCGATGATTCCATTCGAGCACCTTCGTTGATTCCATCCAATTCCATTTGATGATGATTCCATTACAGTCCAATTGATGATTCCATTCGATACCATTCGATGATTCAATTCGAGCCATTCGATTATTCCATTCGTGTCCATTTGATGATTCCATTTGATCCCATTCGATGATGATTCCATTCAATTCCATTTGATGATTCCGTTCATTTCCATTTGATGATTCCCTTCGATTTATTTCAATGATGATTTCATTCAATTCCATTTGATGATTCCATTCGATTCTATTTGATCATGATTCCTTTCGATTCCATTTGATGATGATTCCTTTAGATTCCATTTGATGATGATTCCTTTTGATTCCACTCGATGATGATTGCATTTGACTCCATTTGATGATAACTGCATTCGGTTCCATTCTATGATGATTCCAATGGATTCCATTTGATTTCTCCATTCGATTCCATTCATTGATGATTCTATTCGATTCCTTTAGGCGATAATTCCCTTAGATTCTATTCGATGATGATTCCATTGGATTCCATTCAATGATCATTCCATTAGATTCCATTCAATGATGATTCCATTTGATTCCATTAAAAGATTCCATGTGATTCCATTCGATGATGATTACATTCGTGTCCTTTCGATTATTCCATTTGATTCTGTTTGATGATGGTTTCATTTGAGTCCGTTCAATGATTCCATTCAAGTCCATTCCATGATTCCTTTTGATTCCATTCGATGATGATTCCATTTGAGTCCATTTGATGATTCCATTAGATTCCATTCGATGATGATTCCATTCGACTCCATTCAATCATTCCATTTGATTTCATTGATGATGATTGCATTCGATTCCATTTGATGATTCCATTCGATTTCATTCGATGATGATTCCATTAGGGTCCATTTAATGATTCCATTCGAGACCATTCGATAGCTCCATTGGAGTCCATCTGATGATTCCATTCTAGTCCACTCGATGATTCCATCCGATTTCATTTGATGATGATTCCATTCGAGTTCATTCAATCATTCCATTCGATTCCATTCAGTGATTCCATTTGTGTCCATTTGATTATTCCATTTGAGTACATTCAATTATTCCACTCGAGTCCATTCGATGATTCCATTCAATTCCATTTGATGAAAATTGCATTGGAGTCCATTCAATGATGATTCCACTCGATTCCATTCCATGATTCCGTCCGATTCCATTCTATGATTCCTTTCTATTTCTTTTGATGATGATTGCATTCGATTCCATTCGATGATGACTGCATTCATTTCCATTCGATGATGATTCCAGCAGATTCCATTCAATTTCTCCATTTGATTCCATTCGTTGATGATTCCATTCGATTCCATTAGATGATGATTCCATTAGATTCCTTAGATGATTATTCCATTTGTTTCCATTCGATAACGATTCCATTTGATTCCATTCAATGATGATTCCATTCGATTCCATTCTGATTCCATTCGGTTCCATTCGATGATAGTTCCATTCGTGTCCATTCGATGATTCCATTGAATTTCATTCGATGATGATTCCATTCTAGTCCATTCAATGATTCCATTCAAGTCCATTTGATGATTCCTTTCAATTCCATTCGATGATGATTCCATTCGAGTCCATTCAATGATTCCATTCGATTCCACTCAATGATGATTCCATTCGAGTCCATTCAATGATTCCATTTGATTTCATTCGATGACAATTCCATTCGATTCCTTTTGATGATTCCATTGTATTCCATTCGATGAAGATTCCATTCGTGTCCATTTGATGAATCCATTTGAGTCCATTTGATGATAATTCCATTCAATTTCATTAGATGATTCTATTCGATGGTGATTCACTTCTATTACATTGGATAATTCCATTCGATTCCATTCGATGGTGATTCCATTCAATTCCATTCGTTGATGATTCCATTTGATTCCATTCGATTATTATTCCATTTGATTTCATTCGATGATTCTATTCGATTCCATTCGATGATGATTCAATTATATTCCATTGATGATTCCTTTTTGTTCCTTTCGATGATGACTCCATTCGATTCCAAACTATGATTATTCCATTCAATTCCACTCGATGATGATTTTATTCGATTTCATTTGATGATTCTATTTGATTCCATTCGATGATGATACAATTCTTTTCCATTGGATGATTCTATTTGATTCCATTCGATGATGGTTCCATTCGATTCCATTCGATGATGATTCTATTTGATTGCATTTGATGAAGATTTCAATGGAGTCCACTCGTAGATTCCATTTGATACCATTTGATGATGATTCCATTCAAGTCCATTAGATGATTCTATTCTATTCCATTCGATGATGATTCCATTTGATGCCATTTGATGATTCCATTCAATCCCATTCGATGATGATTCCATTCAAGTCCATTCTAACATTCAATTAGTTTCCATTTGACAATGATTCCATTCGAGTCCATTTGAACATTCCTTTCGATTCCATTCGATGAAGATTCAATTTGAGTCCATTCGAAGATTCCATATGATGATGATTCCACTCGGGTCCATTCGATGATTCCATTCGAGACCATTCGATTATTCCCTTAGATTCCATTCATTGATGATGCTATTCGATGCCATTCAATGGTTCCATTTGACTCCATTCGATGATGTTTCCATTTGAGTCCATTCGATGATTCCACTTGAGTCCACTCAATGACACCATTCGATTCAATTTGATGATGATTCCTTTCGAGTCCATTCGATGATGATTCCATTCAAGTCCATTCAAAGATTCCATTTGGTTGCATTTGAACATGATTCCATCGGATTCCATTCGATGAATCCATTCGATTCCACTCGTTGATGATTCCATTTGATACCATTTGAAAGTGATTCCACTCGATTCTCTTAATTTATGATTCCAATAGTTTCCATTCGATGATGATTCCATTCGACTCCATTCGATGGTGATTCCATTCGATTTCATTTGATGGTTCCATTAGATTCCTTTCGATGATGATTCCATTCGATTCCATTTGATCATTCCATTTGACGCCATTTGATGATGCTTCCATTTGTTTCCATTAGATGATTCCATTCAACTCCATTCGATGATGAGCCATTCAATTCAATTCCATCATGATTCCATTTGATTCAATTCGATGATGTTTCCATTCGATTCCATTCGATGATGATTCCATTAGATTGCATTCCACGATGATTCCATTCGAGTTCATTCATTGATGATTCCATTTGAGTCCGTTCATTGATGATTCCTTTGGTTTTTGTACGATGCTTCTATTTGATTCCATTCGATGATGATTCCATCTCATTCCATTCGATTATTCCATTCGATTCCATTCATTGATGATTCCATTCGAATCCATCGGATGATGATTTCATTTGATTCCATTCGATGATGATTCCATTAGAGTCCATTTGATGATTCCATTTGTGTCCCATCGATGATTCCATTTGATTCCATTCAATGATGATTCCATTAGAGTCCATTCGATGATTCCATTCAATTTCATTTGACGCTGATTCCACTCGAGTCCATTTGATGATTGCATTCAATTCCAATTGATGATGACTCCATTCGTGTCCATTCGATTATTCCATTCGATTCCATTCAATGATGACTCCATTCGATTGAGTTAGATGATTCCATATGATTCCATTCGATGATCATTCCATTTGAGTACATTCAATGATTCCACTTGATTCCATTCGATGATGATTCCATTCGATTCCATTCAATGATGATTCCATTTGGGTGCATTCAATGATTCCCTTTGATTCCATTTGATGATGATTCCATTCGAGTCCATTCAGTGTTTCCATGTGATTCCATTTGATGCTGATTGCATTGGAGCCATTTGATTATTCTATTTGAATCCATTTGATGACTGCTTTCAATTATATTCGATGATGATTTCATTCGAGTCCATTCAATGATTCCATTTGATTCCATTCGATGATGATTCCATTCGGGTTCATTAGATGATTCCATTCGATTACACTCGATGATGATTCCATTCGAGTCCATTCGATGATTCCATTCGAGTCCATTCTATGATTCCATTCGATTCCATTCTCCGATGATTACTTTCGAGTCCATTCAATAATTCCACTCGATTCCGAACAATGATGACTCCATTCAATTCCATTTGATGTTTCCTTTCTATTCCATTAGATGATGATTCCATTCGTGTTCTTTGAATGATTCCATTCAAATCCATTCAATGATGATGCTATTGGTGTCCATTAGATGATTCCATTCGGATCCATTTGATGATTCCTTTGGATTCCATTCGATGATGATTCCATTATATTCCATTTGACGATGATCCAATTATGTTCCATTCAATGATGATTTCATTCGGGTCCATTAGATGATTCCATTTGATTCCATTCGATGATTATTCCATTATATTCCATTTGATGATGATTCCATTCTATTCCATTCAATGATGATTCCATTCGGGTCCATTAGATGATTCCATTTGATTCCAATTGATGATGCTTACCATTCTATTCCATTCAATGATGACTCCTTTCGGGTCCATTAGATGATTCCATTTGATTCCATTCGATGATGCTTACCATTCTATTCCATTCAATGATTATTCCTTTCGTATAAATTAGATGATTCCATTCTATTCCATTCAATGATGATTCCAATTGGGTCCATTCGATTATTCCATTCTACTCCATACCATCAAGATTCCTTTCAAGTCCATTCGATGTTTCTATTCGAGTACATTCAATGATTTTTTTCAAGTACATTCGCTATGGTTCCTTTCGATTCCATTCGATGATGATTACATTCGATATCATTCTGTGATTCCATTCAATTCCATTCGATGGTGATTCCATTCGATTTCATTCTCTGATTCTATATGATTCCATTTGATGATGATTCCATTTGATTCCATTCAATGATTCCATTTAATTACATTTGAGGATGATTCCATTCAATTCCATTCTATGATTCCGTTTGATTCTATTCAATGATGATTCCATTCGAGTCCATTCGATGATTCCTTCTGATTCAATTCAATTATGATTCCATTTGAGTCCATTCAATGGTGATTAAATTCGATGCCATTCAATGATTCCACTCGATTCCATTCAATGATGATTGTATTCGATTCCATTCGATGATTCCATTCCATTCCATTCAAAGATTATTCCATTAAATTCCTTTTGATATTTCCATTGATTCCATCCGATGATTCCAATGGATTTTATTTGATGATGATTCCATTCGAGACCATTCACTAATGCCATTCAATTCCATTCAATGATGATTCCATTCGAGTGCATTAAATGATTGCAATCTGTTCCATTCAATGATGATTACATTCAAGTCCATCTGATGATTCTATTCGATTCCATTCTATAATGATTCTGTTCGAGTCCATTTGATGGTTCGATTCGAGTCCTTTCGATTATTCCATTCGATTCCATTTGATGATGATTCGGTATGATTCAATTTGACGCTTACCTTTGAGTCCATTTGATGATATCATTCGATTCCATTCTATGATGATTCCGTATGATTTCATTCGATGATGATTCCATGTGATTCCATTCGATGATGATTCCTTTCGATGCCATTCAATTATGATTCATTTCGAGTTCATTCGCTGATTCCACATGATTCCATTTGATGATGATTCCATTCGAATCCATTCAATGATTCCATTCGATTCCATTCGATGATGATTCCATTGGAGTTCATTCTATGATTCCATTCGATTCCATTACATGATAATTCCATTCGAGTCCATTTGATGATTGCATTCTATTCCATTTGATGACGATTCCATTCGAGTCCATTCGATGATTGCATTCGAGTCCATTCGATGATTCTTTTCGATTGCATTCGATGATGATTCCATTCGAGTTCGTTTGATGATTCCATTCAATTATATTCAATGATAATTCCGTTCAAGTCCATTCGATGATTCCATTCTATTACATTCGATGGTGAGTCCTTTCAAATATATTCTATGATTGCATTCGTTTCCAGTCGATGATTCCATTCGATTCCACTCGATGATGTTTCCGTTCGAGTCCGTTCGATGATTCCATTTGATTCCATTCGAGGATGACTGCATTCGTTTGCATTTGAATATTCCATTCGTGGTTGACTGCAATCGGTTCCATTCGATTATTCCATTCGATGATTCCATTTGATTCCATGCAATGATGTTTCCATTTGATTCCATTCCATGATTCCTTTCGATTCCATTTGATTATGATTCCATTCGAATCCATTTCATGATTCCATTCTAGTCCCTTCGTTGATTCCATCTGATTCCATTTGATGATGATTCCATTCGAGTCCATTAAATGATTCCATTCGATTCCATTCATTGATGATTCCATTTGATTCCATTCAACGATTCTATTTTATTCCATTCAATGATGATTCCATTCGATTCCATTCTATGATTACATTCGATTTCAATCGATGATGAATCCATACGAGTCCATTCGATGATTCCATAATATTCCATTCGATTATGATTCCATTCATTTCTATTTGATGATGATTCCATTGGATTTCATTCAATGATTCCATTTGATTCCATTCATTGTTGATTCCATTCAATTCCATTCAATGATGATCCCATTGGATTCCATTCGATGATTCCATTCGAGTCCATTCAAAGATTCCATTTGAGTCCATTCTTTGACCCCATTCGATTCCATTCTATGATGATTGCATTCGAGTCCATTTGATGATTCCATTTGATTCCATTTGATTATTTATTTTGATTCCGTTTCATTATGATTGCATTCGATTCCATTCAATGTTTCCGTTCCATTCCATTCGATGATTCCTTTCAAATCCATGTGATGATTCCTTTCGATTCTATTCGATGATGATTCCATTCGAGACCATTTGATGATTGAATTCAAGTCCATTCAATGATTTCATTTGAATCCACTCGATGATGATTCCTTTCGTGTCCATTTGATGATTACATTCGAGTCCAAGGGATGACTGCATTCGATTCCATTGAATGATGATTCAATTCGTGGCCATTCGATGATTCCATTCAAGTCCATTCGGTGATTCCCTTTGATTCCATTTGATGAGGACTCCATTCAAGTCCATTCGATGATTCCATTAGATTCCATTCAATGATGATTCCATTTGAGTACATTCAAAGATTCCTTTCTAGTCCATTTGATGATTCCATTCAATTCCACTTGATGATGATTCCTTTTGAGGCAATTCAATGATTCCCTTCGAGTACATTTAATGATTCTATTAGATTCCATTGAATGATGATTCCATTTGAGTCCATTCAATGATTCCATTCCTGTTGAATTCAATGATTCCATTCGATTTCATTCGATGATGTTTCCATTTTAATCCATTCAATGATTCCATTTGATTGCATTCGAGGATGTTTCCATTTGACTCCATTCGATGATTCCATTAGATTCCCTTTCATGATGATTCCTTTCAATTCCATTCGATGATGATTCCATTCTATTTTTTTGATGATGATTCCATTCGATGATCCCATTCGATTCCATTCGAAGATGATTCCATTTGAGTCCATAGATTATTCAATTCAATTCTATTCGATGATTCCATTCGAGTCCATTCGATGATTCTATTCGATTCTATTAGATAATTCCATTCGATTCATTTGATGTTGATTCCATTCGAGTCCATTTGATCATTATTCCATTCGATTCTATTCAATGATTCCATTCGATTCCATTTGATGAGGATTCCATTCGAGACCATTCGATGATTCCATTTAATTCATTCGATGATGATTCCATTCAATTCCTTTCAATGATTCCAAGAGATTCCATTAGATGATGATTCCATTCGATTCCATTCAATGATGATTCCATCAGAATCCATTCGATGATGACTACTTTTGGTTCAATTCGATGATGATTCCATTCGGTTCCATTCGATGGTGATTCCTTTGGATTCCATTCGATGATGCTTCCATTTGATTCCATTTGATGATGATTCTTTTCGATTACATTCGAAGATGATTCCATTCGATTCCATTCGATGATTCCTTTCGATTCCATTCAATGATGATTCTTTCGTGTTCATTGATTATTCCATTCCATTCCATTTGATGATTCCATTTGAGTCAATTCGATGTTTCTATTCGATTCCATTCAATAATTCCTTTCGATTCCATTTGGTGATTATTCCATTCGCGTCCATTTGATGATTATTCACTTCAATTCTATTCGGTGAATACTTTCATTTCCATTAGATACTAATTCCATTCGAGACCATTCGATGTTTCCATTCAATTCATTTGATGATGATTCCATTCAATTCCATTAGATGATTCCATTAGATTCCATTTGAAGATGATTCCACTCGATTTCATTCGATGATGATTCCATGCAATTCCATTCGATAATGACCCCTTTCGTTTCCATTCGATGACGATTCCATTCGGTTCCATTTGAAGATGATTCCTTTGGATTCCATTCGATAATGATTCCATTCGACTCCATTTGACGTTAATTCATTTAGATTCCATTCGATGATGATTCCATTCGATTCCATTCGATGATTCCATTCGATTCCATACGATGATGATTCCATTCTAGTCCATTCAATGATTCCTTTCTAGTCCACTCAGTGATGATTCCATTCGATTTCATTCAATGATTCCATTCGATTCCTTTTGATGATTATTTCATTCGAGTCCATTCGGTGATTACTTTCGATGCCAATTGAAGATTATTCCATTCAATTCCATTTGATGGTACCATTCAATACCATTCATTGATGATTCCATTAGAGTGCTTTCGATGATACCACTCGGTTCCATTTGATGATGAATCCATTCGATTCCATTTGATGATTCCATTCAATTCCATTCTATGATGATTCCATTCGAGACCATTTGGTGATTCCATTGGACTCCATTTGATGATGATTCCATTCGATGATTCCATTCTATGATTCCATTCGATTCTATACTATAATGATTCCATTCGATTTCGTTCAATGTTGATTCCATTCAATTCCATTTGATGATTCCATTTGATTCCATTGGATGATTCCATTCGATTACATTCGATGATGATTCCATTCACTTCCAATCGATGATTCCATTTGATTCTATTCGATGATGATTCCACTCGATTCCATTCGGTGATGACTGCATTTGATTCCATTTGATGATTCCATATGATTCCATTCGATGATGACTCTGATCATCTGCATTCAATGATTCCATTCGATTCCATTTGATGATTCCATTTGATTCCATTTGATAATGATTCCATTGGAGTCCATTCAATGATTCCATTTGAGGATATTCAATAATTCCGTTTGAGTCCAATTGATGATTCCATTCGAGACCATTCGATCATTCCATTTGAGTCCATTCGATATTGATTTCATTCCAGTCCATTCGATAATTCCATTGGAGTCCATTCGATGATTGCTTTTAATTCCATTTGCTGATATTCCAGTCGAGTCCATTCGATGAATCCATTTGGTGCTATTAGATGATGATTCCATTCGTGTTCCTTTGGTGATTCCATTCAATTTCCTTCAATGATGATTCAATTCGTGTCCATTCAATGATTCCATTCAAGTCCATTTGATGATTCCTTTCAGTTCCATTCGATGATGATTCCATTCGAGTCCATTCGATGATTCCATTTGATTTCATTCAATGATGATTCCATTTGATTCCATTCGATGATTCCATTATATTCCATTCGATGATGTTTCCTTTCGAGTCCATTTCATGATTCCATTCGAGTCCATTTAATGATTCCATTGGGTTCAATTTGATGATGATTACGTTGGATTCCATTCTATGATTCCATTCGATTCTGTTCATTGACGATTCGATTCCATTCAATGATGATTCCATTTGATTTCATTCGATGATTCTATTCGATTCCATTCGATGGTGATTCAATTCTATTGTATTCGAAGATTCCATTCGATTCCATTGGATGATGATTCCATTCGATTCCAATGGATGATGATTCCATTCGATTCCATTCGATGTTGATTCCATTCGATTCTATTTGATGATGATTCCTTTCAATTTCATTCGATGATTTTATTTGACTCCATTCGGTGATGATTCAATTTTCTTCCATTGGATGATTCCATTTTATTCCATTCGATGACGACTCCATTCAATTCCATTCGATGATTCCATTAGATTCCATTCGACAGTGAGCAATTCGATTCAATTCCATGATGATTCCATTTGATTCAATTAGATGATGTTTCCATTCGATTCCATTTGATGATGATTCCATTGGAATCCATTCAACGATGATTCCATTAGAGTCCATTCGATGATGTTTCCATACGAGTCCGTTCGATGATGATTCAATTCAATTTCATTCGATGCTTCTGTTTGATTCCATTCAATGATGATTCCGGCTGATTCCATTCTATGATTCCATTCGATTCCATTAGATGCTTCTATTTGATTTCATTCGATGATTCCTTTCAATTCCATTCGATAATTCCATTTGATTCCATTCGATGATGATTCCATTAGAGTCCATTTGATGAGTCCATTCGAGTCCCTTCATTGATTCCATCTGATTCCATTTGATGATGATTCCATTCGAGTCCATTCGATGATTCTGTTCGATTCCATTCTATGATTCCATTAGAGTCCATTCAATTATTCCATTCGAGTCCTTTTGATGATTCCATTTGACTCTGTTCAGTGATGATTCCATTCGATTCCATCTGATGATGATTTCATTTGATTCCATTCAATGATGATTCCACTCGGGTCCATTGAATGATTCTATTTGATTCCACTCGATGCTGATTCCATTCGAAACCATTCAATTATTCCATTCAACTCACTTCGTTGATTCCAACCGATTCCATTTGATGATGATTCCATTCGAGACCAATCAATGATTCCATTCAGTTCCACTCAATGATTCCTTTCGAGTCCATTTAATTATTACATTCTTGTCCATTTGATGACTCCATTCGATTCCATTCAGTGATGACTCCATTTGATTCCATTTGATGATTCCGTTCGATTCCTTTCAATGATTCCCTACGATTCCGTTCTATGATGATTCCATTCGATTCCATTCGATGATGATTCCTTTCAATTCCCTTTGTTGATGATTCCATTAGATTCCATTTGATGATAATTCCATTCGACTCCATTCAAAGATGATTCCATTCGATTTCATTCGTTGGTTCCATTTGATTCCATTAGATGATTAATCCATTTGATTCCATTCGATGATTCCATTCGGTGGTTCCATTCGATTCCATTTGATGATGAGCCTTTCGATTCAATTCCATGACGATTCCATTTGATTCAATACGATGATGTTTCCATTTGATTCCATTCGATTATGATTCCACTCAATTCCATTCCACGATGTTTCCATTCGAGTCCATTCGATGATGTTTCCATTCGATTCTGTTCGACTATGATTCCATTCGATTTCATTCAATGTTTCTATTTGATTCAATTCGATGATGATTCCATCTCTTTCCCTTCGATGATTCCATTCGATTCCATTCAGAGATGTTTCCATTCAATTCCATCTGATCATTATTTCATTTGATTCCTTTTGATGATGATTCCATTCGAGTCCATTCGATGACTCCATTGGAGTCCAATTAATCATTCTATTTGATTCCATTCGATGGTGATTCCATTCATGTCCATTCAATGATTCCATTCGATTTCATTTGACGATGACTCCCCTCGATTCCATTTGATGATTCCATTCAATTACATTTGATGATGACTCCATTCGAGTCGATTCGATGATTCCATTCAATTCCATTCAATGATGATTCCATTCGAGTCCATTCAATGAATCCATTCTATTCGATTCGATAATGACTCCATTCGAGTACATTCGATAATTCCATTTGATTCCATTTCATGATGATTAAATTCGATTCCATTCGAAGATGATTCCATTAAATTCCATTCGATGAGGATTCCATACGAATCCATTCGATGATTATTCCATTCGATTCCATTCGTTGATGATTCCATTCGATTCCGTTCGATGATGATTCTCTTCTATTCCATTCGATGATTCCGGTCAATTCCATTCGATGATGATTACATTTGAGTCCATTCGATTGTTGCATTCGATTCCCTTCGATGATGATTCCATTCGATTATGATTCCAAATGAATCCATTTGATGATTATTACATTTGATTCCTTTCAATGACTATTCCATTTGATTCCAATCGATGATGATTCTCTTCTATTCCATTTGTTGATTCCTTTCGATTCCATTCGATGATGATTCTTTCGAGTCCATTCGATTATTCTATTCCATTCCCTTCGATGATGATTCCATTCGAGTCCATTCGATGATTCCATCTGACTCAATTTGGTGATGACTCAATTCGATGACATTCGATGACTCCATTCAATTTCATTTGATGATGATTCCATTCGATTCCAATTGATAATTCCATTTAATTCCCTTCTATGATGATTATATTGGTGTCCATTTGAAGATTCCGTTCCTTTCCATTCAGTTATGATTCTATTCATGTCTATTCGAAGATTCCATTCAATTCCATTCAAGGATGATTCGATTCAATTCCATTCGATGATTATTCCGTTAGATTCCATTAGATGATTACATTAAATTTTATTCGATGATTCCATTTAATTCCATTCAATGGTGATTCCTTTAGACTCCATTCGATGATTCCATTCGAGACCATTTGACTATTCCATTCTTTTCCATTCGATGATGATTCCATCTGATTCTGTTCTATGATTCCTTTCCATTCCATTCAGTGATGATTCCATTGGATCCCATCTGATGATGATTTCATCTGATTTCATTCGATGATGATTTCATCTGATTTCATTTGATGATAATTCCATTTGATTGCATTCGATGATGATTCCAATCGAGCCCATTTGAAGTTTCCATACGATTCCTTTCGATGATGATTCCATTCGTGTCCATTCAATGATTACATTCCATTCCATTTGATGATGATTGCATTCTATGCCTTTCGATGATTCCATTCAATTCCATTTGATGATGATTCCATTTTAGTCCATTCAATGATTCCATTAGATTGAATTTGATGATGATTCCACTCGAGACCATTCAATGACTCCATTCGGTTCCATTGGATGATCCCTTTCGATTACATTCGAAGATTCCATTCAATTGTATTCGATGATCCTTCCATTCGATTCCATTTGATTTTTCCAATCGATTCCATTCGTTGATGATTCCATGCGATGACATTGGATGATGATCCCATTCGATTACAGACGATGACGTTTTGATTGCAGTCAATGATGATTCCATTAGAATCCATACGATGATTTCATTCGATTACATTTGATGATTCCATTTGATTCCATTCGATGATTCCCTTTGATTCCATTCGATGATCATTCCATTCAAATCAGTGAATGTTACCATTCGATTCCATTGGATGATGATTCCATTTTATTACATTCCATGATGATTCCATTCGGTTCCATGTGATGATGTTTCCATTAGTTTCCATTCAATGATTCCATGCAATTCCATTTGTTGATGATTCCATTAGATTCCTTTTCATGATGATTCCATTTGATTTCATTTGATGATTCTATTTGATTCCATTCTATGATGATTCCGTTCTATTCGATTTGATGATTCCATTCGATTCCATTCTATGATGATTCTTTTCAATTCCTTTTGATGATGATTACATTTGATTCCATTCAATGATGATTCCACTCGTGTCCATTCTATGATTCCACTCGATTCCATTTGATGATAATTCCATATGAGTCCGTTAGATGATTCCATTTGATTCCATTGGATGATGATTCCATTCGATGCCATTCGATGGTTCCATTCAATTTTATTTGATGATGATTCCATCTGACTCCATTAGGTTATTCAAATTGATGAGCATTCCATTAGAATCAATTCGAAGTTTCCATAACATTCCATTCGATGATGATTCCATTCTTTTCCATTCAATGATTTCATTCGAGTCCATTCGACGATTCCTCTTGAGTCTGTTCAATGACACCATTTGATTCCATTCGATTAAGATTCCATTTGATTCCATTCGATGATGATTCCATTCGAGTCCATTCGATGATGATTCCATTCATGTCCATTTGATGGTGATTCCTTTCGATTCCCTTCGTTCTTATTTCCATTAGATTCCATTCAAGGATGATTCCACTCAACTCCATTCGATGATGATTCCATTTGATTGCATTTGATGATTCCATTCGATTCCCTTCGATGATGATTATATTCGAGTCCATTTGATGATTCCATTCCTTTCCATTCGATGATGATTCCATTCGTGTCTATTCGAAGATTCCATTCAATTCCATTCGATGATGATTCCATTTGATTCCATTCGATGATTATTACTATCAATTCCATTCGGTGATTCCATTCGATTCCATTCGTTGATTACTCCATTAGATTCCATTAGATGATTACATTTGATTTTATTCGATGATTCCATTCAATTCCATTCAGTGATGATTCCTTTAGACTCCTTTCAATGATTCCATTTGAGTCCATTCGATGATTCCTCTCGAGTCCATTTGAATATTCCATTATTTTCCATTCGATGATGATTCCATTAGGGTCCATTCGATGATTCCTTTCGAGTCTGTTCGATAATTCCTTTCAAGTCCTTTTGATCAATCCATTCGAGTCCATTCAATGATTCTATTCGAGTCCATTCGATGATTCTTTTCAATTCCATTTGATGATGATTCCATTCGGGTACATTTGATGATTGCATTCGAGTCCATTCGATGATTCCATATGATTACATTCGACAATGATTCCATTCTTGTCCATTTGATGATTCCATTCATTTCCATTAGATGATGATTCCATTCGAGTGTATTCGATGATTCCATTCAAATCCATTCAATGATGATTCCATTCGAGTCCATTTGATCATTCCACTTGATTCCATTCGATGTCTATTCCATTCGAATCCATTCGATGATTCCATTCGATTCCATTCGATGACAGCATTTGACTACATTTAATGATCCCACTCGATTCCATTTGATGATTATTCCATTGGAGTCCACTTAGTGAATCCTTTAGATTCCACTCGAAGATGATTCCATTCGATTCCATTTGATGATACCATTCAATTCCATTAGTTGATGATTCCATTCAAGTGCATTCGATGATATCATTCGATTCCATTTCGTGATCATTCCATTCGATTCCATTCGATGATTCTATTCAATTCCATTCAATCATGATTCCATTCGAGTCAATTCGATGATTCCATTGGACTCCATTTGATGATGATTCCATTCAATGATTCTATTCGATTCTATTCGGTAATGATTCCATTAGATTCCATTCGATGATTGCATTCGATTCCATTCGATGGTGATTCCATTCTATTCCATTCGATGATTCCATTCTATTCTATTAGGCAATGATTCCATTCGAATCCATTCGATGATGATTGGATTCGATTCCATTGGATGATTTCATTTGATTCCATTCAATGATGATTCCAATCAATTCCATTCAATGATTCCATTCGATTCCATTCGATAGTGATTACATTTGAGTCGACTCGATGATTCCATTTGAACCCTTTCAGTAATTCAATTTGAGTCCTATCAATGTTTCCATTCACTTCCATCCAATGATTCCATTCGAATCCATTCGATCTTTCTGTTAGGTTCCATTCAATGATGATTCCACTGGAGGGTATTTGATGATTCCATTCGAGTCCATTTTATGATTCGATTTGAGTCCTTTCGATGATTCCATTCGATTCCATTCGATGATGATTCCATTCGAGTCCATTCGACGCTTCCAATTGATTCCATTTGATTATTCCATTCGAGTCCAATTGATGATTCCATTCAATTCCATTCCATGATGATTCCGTACGATTCCATTTGGTGATGATTCCATGTGCTTGCATTCAGTGATGATTCCTTTCGATTCCATTTGATTATGATTCCTTTCGTGTTCATTCGATGGTTCCACAGGTTTCCATTTGATGATGATTCCATTCGAGTACATTCCATGATTCCATTCTATTCCTTTCGATGATGATTCCATTTCGATTCCGTTCCTTGGTGATTTCATTCAATTCCATTCAATGATTCCATTCCATTCCTTTCGACAATCATTCCATTAGGTTCCCTTTGATGATCCACTTGATTATATTTGACGATGATTCCATTAGTGTCCATTCGATAATTCCATTCGATTCCATACAATGATGATTACATTCGAATCCATTCAGTGGTGATTCCATTCAATTCCATTCGATGATTCCATTCGATTCCATTTGATGACGATTGCATTCGATTCTTTTGATGATTCCCTTCAATTCCATTCAAAGTTGATTCCATTTGAGTCCATTCGATAATTCCATTTGATTCCATTCCATTATGATTTCATTCGAGTCCATTCGATGCTTCCATTCCATTCCAGTCAGTGATGATTCCATTCGATTCCATTCGATGATTCCATTGGATTCCATTCGATGATGATTAAATTCAAATTCATTCGATTATTCCATTCGAGTCCATTCGATGATGATTCCATTTGAGTTCATTCGATGATTCCATTCTGTTCCATTCAATGATAATTCCATTCGAGTCCATTCGATGATTCCATTCTAATCAATTCGATGATTATTCCATTCGTGTCCATTTGATGATTCCATTCGATTCCATTCGATGATGATTCCATTCGATTCCATTTGATGATGAGCCATTCGATTCAATTTCATGATGATTCCATTTGATTCATTTCGATGATGTTTCCATTCAAGTCCATTCAATGATGATTCCATTAGAATGCATTAGACGATGATAGCATTTGAGTCCATTCTATGATGATTCCATTCAAGTCCATTCATTGATGATTCCATTTGATTTCATTTGATACCATTCAATTCTATTCGTTGATGATTCCATTCAAGTGCATTCGATGATATCATTCAATTCCATTTGATGATGATTCCATTCGATTCCATTCAATGATTCTATTTGATTCCATTCAAAGATGATTCCATTAGAGTCAATTCGATGATTCCATTGGACTCCATTTGATGATGATACCATTCAATGATTCCATTCGACTCTATTCAATAATGATTCCATTCGATTCCATTCGATGATGATTCCACTGGATTCCATTTGATGATTCCATTCAATTCCCCTCGACGATGATTCCATTCTATTCCATTCAATGATTCCATTCTATTCTATTGGATGATGATTCCTTTCGAATCCATTCCATAATTCCATTAGATTTTATTTGATGATGATTCCATTCAATTCCATTTGATGATGACTGCATTAGTTTCCATTGGATGATTCCATTTGATTCCATTTGATGATGATTCTGATCGATTCCAATTGATGATTCTATTGGATTCCTTACGATGATTCCATTTGATTCCATTTGATAATGATTCCATTCAAGTCCATTCGATATTTCCATTCCAGCCCATTAGATAATTCCATTTGGGTCCATTCGAAGATTCCATTCGAGTCCATTCTATCATTCCATTTGAGTCCATTCGATGATGATTCCATTCGTGTCCTTCCGATGATTCCATTCTAGTCCATTCGATAATTCCATTTGATTCCATTAGATGATAATTCCGCTTGAGTCCATTCGATGATGATTCCATTCGAGTTCATTTGATGAATCCTTTCTATTCCATTCGATGTTGATTCCATTCCAGTCCAATTGATGATGATTCCATTTGATACCATTTGATGATTCAGTTCGATTCCATTCGATGACTCTCTTTAATTCCTTTTGATGATGATTGCATTCAATTCCATTCGATGATTCCTTTCAATTTTATTCGATGATGATTCCATTTGTTTCCTTCTGATGATGCTTCCTTTCGATTCCATTTGTTGATGATTCCATTCGTTTCTTTTCGATGATGATTCCTTTTGATTCCATTTGATGATGATTCCATTCGATTCCATTGAGGATGATTGCATTTGATTCCATTCGTTGATTTCATTTGAGTCCATTCAAAGATGATTCTATTTGATTCAATTCCAAGAATATTCCGTTTGAGTCCATTCGATGATTCCGTTCGATTCCATTCCATGATTCCATTCGTTTCCATTTCATGATTCATTTTAATCCGTTTGATGGTGATTCCATTCAATTGCATTAGATGATGATTCCATTCGATGCCATTCGATGATGATTCCATTCGAATCCATTCAGTGATGACACCGTTAGTTTCTATTTGAGGATGATTCCATTCAGTTCCATTCAATGATGATTCGCTTAGATTCCATTCAATAATTCCATTCCATTCCATTCATTGATGATTCCTCTGGAATCCATTTGATGATGATGCTTTTGGATTCCATTCAATGATGATTCCATTCGAGTCCATTTGATGTTGATTCCATTGGATTCCATTCGATCATCATTCCATTCGACTCATTTGATGATTCTATCTACTTCCATTCAACTCTGTGACTTGAATGCAAACATCACAAAGAAGTTCCTGAGAATGCTTCTGTCTACTTTTTATATGAAGATATTCCCGTTTCCAACGAAATCCTCAAAGCTATCCAAATATCCACTTGCAGATCCTACAAAGAGAGTGTTTCAAAACTGCTCTATCAAAGGAAAGGTTCAACCCTGTTAGTTAAGTACACACATCATAAACAAGTTTCTGAGAATGCTTCTGTCTAGTATTTATGGGAAGATATTTCCTTTTTCACCATCGGCCTCAAAGTGCTCCAAATGTCCACTTCCAGATACTACAAAAAGAGTGTTTCAAACCTGCTCTGTGAAAAGTAATGTTAAACTCTGTGACTTGAATGCAAACATCACAAAGATGTTTCTCAGAATGCTTCTGTCTACTTTTTACATGAAGATATTCCCGTTTCCAACGAAATCCTCAAAGCTATCCAAATATCCACTTGCACATTCTACAAAAAGAGTGTTTCAAAACTGCTCTATCAAAAGAAAGGTTCAACTCCGTTAGTTGAGTACACACATCACAAACAAGTTTCTGAGAATGTTTCTGTCTAGTTTTTATGGAAAGATATTTCCTTTTTCCCCATAGGCCTCAAACCGCTCCAATTGTCCACTTCCAAACACAACAAAAAGAGTGTTTCAAACCTGCTCTATGAAAGGGAATGTCCAACTCTGTGACTTGAATGCGAACATCACAAAGTTGTTTCTCAGAATGCTTCTGTCCAGATTTTATAAGAAGGTATTCCCGTTTCCAACGATATCCTCAAAGCTATCCAAATATGCACTTGCATATTTTACAAAAAGTGCTTCAAAACTGCTCTATCAAAAGAAAGGTTCAACTCCGTTAGTTGAGTACACACATCACAAACAGGTTTCTGAGAATGTTTCTGTCTAGTTTTTATGGAAAGATATTTCCTTTTTCCCCATAGGCCTCAAACCGCTCCAATTGTCCACTTCCAAACACAACAAAAAGAGTGTTTCAAACCTGCTCTATGAAAGGGCATGTTCAATTCTGTGACTTGAATGCAAACATCACAAAGGTGTTTCTGAGAATGCTACTGTCCACTTTTTATATGAAGATATTCCCGTTTCCAACGAAATCCTCCAAGCTATCCAAATACCCACTTGCAGATTCTACAAAAAGAGTGTTTCAAAACTGCTCTATCAAAAGAAAGGTTCAACTCTGTTAGTTGAGCACACACATCACAGACAAGTTTCTGAGAATGCTTCTGTCTAGTTTCTATGGGAAGATATTTCCTTTTTCACCATAGGCCTCAAAGCGCTCCCAATGTCCACTTCCAGATACTATAAAAAGTGCGTTTCATACCTGCTCTATGAAAGCGAATGTTCAACACTGTGACTTGAATGCAAACATCACAAAGAAGTTTCTGAGAATGTTTCTGCCTACTTTTTATATGAAGATATTCCCCTTTCCAACGAAATCCTCAGAGCTATCCAAATATCCACTTGCAGATTCTACAAAAAGAGTGTTCCAAACCGCTCTATCAAAACAAAGGTTCAGCTCTGTTAGTTTAGTACACTCATCACAAGCAAGTTTCTTAGAAGGCTTCTGTCTAGTTTTTTGGGAAGATATTTCCTTTTTCACCATAGTCCTCAATGAGCTCCAAATGTCCACTTCCAGATTCTATAAAAAGAGTGTTTCAAACCTGCTCTATGAAAGGGAATATTCAACTCCGTGTCTTGAATGCAAACATCACCAAGAAGTTTCTGAGAATGCTTCTGTCTGCTTTTTATATGAAGATATTCCCGTTTCCAATGAAATCCTCTAATCTATCCAAATATTCACTTGCAGATTCTACAAAACGAGTGTTTCAAAACTGCTCTATGAAAAGAAAGGTTCAACTCTGTTAGTTGAGTACACACATCATAAACAAGTTTCTGAGAATGCTTCTGTCTAGTTTTTATGGGAAGTTATTTCCTTTTTCACCATCGGCCTCAAAGTGCTCCAAATGTCCACTTCCAGATACTACAAAAAGAGTGTTTCAAACCTGTTCTATGAAAGGGAATGTTCAACTTCGTGACTTGAATGCAAACATCACAAATGTGTTTCTGAGCATGCATCTGTCTAGATTTTATATGAAGATATTCCTGCTTCCAACGAAATCCTCAAATCTATCCAAGTATCCACTTGCAGATTCTACAAAAAGAGTGTTTCAAAACTGCTCTATCAAAACAAAGTTTCAGCTCTGTTGAGTACACTCATCACAAACAAGTTTCTGAGAATGCTTCTGTCTAGTTTTTATGGGAAGACATTTCCTTTTTCACCATAGGCCTCAAAGCTCTCCAAATATCCACTTCCAGATACTACAAAAAGAGTGTTTCAAACCTTCTCTATGAAAGGGAATGTTCAGCTCTGTGACTTGAATGCAAACATCACAAAGATATTTCTCAGAATGCTTCTATCTACTTTTTTATGAAGATATTCCCGTTTCCAACAAAATCCACAAAGCTATCCAAATATCCACTTGCAGATTTTACAAAGAGTGTTTCAAAACTGCTCTATGAAAAGAAAGGTTCAACTCTGTTAGTTAAGTACAAACATCATAAACAAGTTTCTGAGAATGCTTCTGTCTACTTTTCATGGGAAGATATTTCCTTTTTCACCTTAGGCCTCAAAGTGCTCCAAATGTCCACTTCCAGATACTACAAAAAGAGTGTTTCAAACCTGTTCTATGAAAGGGAATGTTCAACTTCGTGACTTGAATGCAAACATCACAAAGTTGTTTCTGAGAATGCATCTGTCTAGATTTTATATGAAGATATTCCCATTTCCAACGAAATCCTCAAATCTATCCAAGTATCCACTTGCAGATTCTACAAAAAGAGTGTTTCAAAACTGCTCTATCAAATCAAAGTTTCAGCTCTGTTAGTTGAGTACACTCATCACAAACAAGTTTCTGAGAATGCTTCTGTCTAGTTTTTATGGGAAGAGATTTCCTTTTTCACCATAGGCCTCAAAGCTCTCCAAATATCCACTTCTAGATACTACAAAAAGAGTGTTTCAAACCTGCTCTATGAAAGGGAATGTTCAGCTCTGTGACTTGAATGCAAACATCACAAAGATATTTCTCAGAATGCTTCTATCTACTTTTTTATGAAGATATTCCCGTTTCCAACAAAATCCTCGAAGCTCTCCAAATATCCACTTGCAGATTTTACAAAAAGAGTGTTTCAAAACTGCTCTATGAAAAGAAAGGTTCAACTCTGTTAGTTGAGTACACACATCATAAACAAGTTTCTGGGAATGCTTCTGTCTACTTTTCATGAGAAGAAATTTCCTTTTTCACCTTAGGCCTCATAGCGCTCCAAATGTCCACTTCCAAATACAACAAAAAGAGTGTTTCAAACCTGCTCTATGGGAATGCTTCCAGTATTTGTCATTAGATTCCATTCGATTCCATTCATTGATTCTATTCGATTCCATTGGATGATGATTCCATTCGTGTCCATTCGATTAGTCTGTTCGAATGCATTTGATGTTTTCTTTCGATTCCATTCAATGATGATTCTATTCTATTCCATTTGATTATGATTCCATTCGATACCATTCTGTGATTCCAGTCGTTTCCTTTCGATGATGATTCCATTGCATTCCATTTGATGGTACCATTCGATGAGGATTCCATTCAGTTCCTTTCGATAATTTCCATTCGATTTCATTCGATGATATTTCCGTTTGAGTCCATTTGATGACTCCATCCGATTCCATTTGATGATGATTCCATTCGAGTCCATACTATGATTCAATTCGATTCCATTCGATGATTCCATTCTCTTCCATTCGATGTTTCCCTTTGATTCCATAAGATGGTCATTCCATTTCATTCCATTTGTTGATTCCATTCGATTCCAATTGTTGATGATTCCATTGGAAGCCATTCGATGATGATTCCATTTGATTACATTCGATGATGATTCCATTACGTTTCATTTGATGAAATGAAATTCCTTTCGGTTCTATTGGATGATGATTCCATTAGTGTCCATTGGATGATGATTCCATTAGTGTCCATTTGATTCCAATTGATTAAATTCGTTGATGATACCATTCAATTCCATTCTATGATGAATTCATTTGATTCCTTTCGATGATGATTCCATTCGATGATGATTCCATTCGATTCCCTTCGATGATAATTCCATTTGATTTCATTAGATGATTCTATTCGATTCCATTTGTTGATGATTCCATTTGATTCCCTTCGATGATTATTCCTTTCCTTTCCATTTGATGATTTTTCCATTCGATTCCATTGATTATGATTGAATGACAGTCCATTCAATGGTTCCATTCGTGTCCATTTGATGATTCAAGTGGAGTCCATTAGACGATGATTCCATTCGATTCTATTCGATGATGATTCCAATTGATTCCATTCGATGATGATTCCATGCAGTTCCATTCGATGATGATTCAATTAAGTTTCACTTGACGATGATACCATTCGTTTCCATTGGATGATGTTTCCATTCCATTCCATTCAATGATTCCATTCCATTCCATTCCTTGATGATTCCATTCGATTCCATTCGATGATGATTTCATTTGATTCCATTCGATGATGATTTCATTTGATTCCATTCGATGATGATTCCATTCGATTCCACTTGATGATAATTCCATATGATTTCATTCGATGTTTCTATTCCATTCCATTTGGTGATTATTCCTTTCGATTCCATTGATAATGATTGCATAAGATTCCATTCAATGATTCCATTCGTGTCCATTTAATGCTCCCATTCGAGTCCATTCGAGGATGATTCCATTCGATTCTATTCGTTGATGATTCCATTCGAGTCCATTTGATGATTCGTTTCATTTCCATTCGATGAGGATTTCATTCCATTTCATTAGATGATTCCATTTGATTCATTTCGATTATATTTCCATTCGGTTACATATGTTGATTTGATCAGATTCTGTTCAATGATGATTCCATTCTTGTCCATTCAATTATTCTATTCAAATCCATTTGATAATTGCTATGGATTCCATTCGATGGTGATTCCATTCGATTCTATTTGATGATAATTCCATTCAAATCCATTCTATGATTCCATTTGATACCATTCGATGATTCCATTCGATTCTATTTGATGACTCTATTTGATTCCATTCAATGATGATTCCTTTTGATTTCATTTGATGATTCAATTTGAGTCCATTTGATGATGATTCCACTCGATTTCATTCCATGATTCCATTCGATTACTTTCAGTGATGATTCCATTCCATTCCATTCAATTATTCTATTCAATGAGGATTCCATTCGATTCCTTTCATTGATTCCATTCAATTTCATTTGATGATGTTTCTATTTGATTATTCCATTCGATTCCATTCGATGTTGATTCCATTCGAGACCATTCAAAGTTTCCATTAGATTCCATTCGATGATGATTCCATTATTGTACATTCGATGATGATTCCATTCGATGATGATTCCTTTTGATTTCATTCGATGATTCAATGTGAGTCCATTTGATGATGATTCCACTCGATTTCATTCCATGATTCCATTCGATTACTTTCAGTGATTATTCCATTCCATTCCATTCAATGATTCTATTCAATGAGGATTCCATTCGATTCCTTTCAATGATTCCATTCAATTTCATTCGATGATGCTTGTATTCGATTATTCCATTCGACTCCATTCAATGTTGATTCCATTCGAGACCATTCAAAGTTTCCATTAGATCCCATTCGATGATGATTCCATTAGATTCCATTCGATGAAGATTTCATTCGATGATGATTCCTTTTGATTCCATTCGATGATGACTCCATTAATTTCCATTTGATGAAGATTCCATTCGATTCCATTTGATGATGATTCCATTTGATTCCATTTGATGATTCCATTCGATTCCATTCATTGATGATTCCATTCAATACCTTTCGATGATGATTCCATTCGATTCCATTCGAAGATGATTCCTTTCGATTTCATTCGATGATTCTCTTCTATTCCATTCAATGATTCTGTTCGATTCCATTAGATGATGATTCCATTCAATTCCATCCGATGATGATTCCATTTGAGCCCATTCAATAATTCCATTCAATTCCATTCGCTGATGATTGCATTTGAGTCTATACGATAATTCCATTTGATTCCATTCGATAATGATTCCATTCGTTGTCATTCATTGATTCCATTCGTTTTCATTCGATTATAATTCCATTCAATTCCATTAGATGTTTCCACTTTTTTCCATTCGTTCATGATTTCATTCGAGTCCATTCAATGATTCCATTCGATTGCATTCGATGATTATTCCATTCATGGCCATTCAATGATTCCATTCGAGTCCATTCAATGATTCCATTCGAGTCCATTTGATGATTTCATTCGAGTCCATTCGAGGATGATTCCTTTTGATTCCATTCCATGATTATTACATTCGATTCCATTCAATGATGATCCCATTCGGGGTAATTCAAAGATTCCATTCAATTCCATTCAACGATTCCATTAGAGTCCATTCGATGATTTCATTCGTGTCCATTCGAGGATGATTCCTTTTGATTCCATTCCATGATTATTCCATTTGAGTCAATTCGATGAAGATTCCATTCGATTTTATTTGATGATTCCATTCGATTCCATTTGATGATGCTTCTGTTCAAGTCCATTCAATGATTCCATTTGATTCCATTCAAAGATGATTCCATTCCTGTCCTTTACATGATTCCATTAGATGATGATTCCATTTGATTCCTTTCAAGGATTAAATTCAATTTTATTCAATGATGTTTCCATTCGAGTCCATTCTATGATTCCATTCGATTCCATTCTATGATAATTCCATTCAAGCCCACTGGAAGTGTCCATTTGATTTCATTAAATGAATATTCCATTCGAGTCCATTTGATGATTCCATTCGATTCCATTTGATGATTCAATTTGATTCCTTTCTATGATTCTCTTCAATTCCATTTGATGATAATTCCATTCGATCCCATTCGATGATTCCATTTGATTCCATTCATTGACGATTCCATTGGACTGCTTTCGATGATGATTCCATTTGATTTCATTTGATGATGATGGCATTCCATACCATTCTATGATTCCATTTGACTCCATTGGATGAGGATTCCAATGGAGTCCATTTGATGATTCCATTTGATTCCATTTTTTGATTCAATTCAATTCCATTCGATGATTCCCTTCTATTCCATTCGATGAGAATTCCATTTGAGTCCATTAAATGAATTCATTCAATTCCATTCGGTGTTGATTCCATTCGAGACCATTCGAGGATGATTCCATTCGAGTTCATTCCATGATTCCATTCGATTCCATTCGGTGATGATTCTATTCGATTCCATTCGATGGTTATTCAATTCGATTCCATTCGATGGTTATTCCTTTCATTTCCATTCAATGATTTCATTCAATTCCATTTGATGATTTCATTCGATTCCATTTGATAATTCCATTCGATTCCATTTGATGATTCCATTCAATTCCATTCGATGATTTCATTCGTTTCCATTCAATAATTCCATTCGATGATGATTTCATTTGAGTCCATTCGCTTATTCCATTCTATTCCTTTAGATGATGATTACATTCGAGTCCATTCCATGATTCCATTCAATTCCATTAGATGATTACTCCATTCAATTCCATTCGATGATGATTCCTTTAGATCCCATTCCATGATGATTCCATTTGATTCCATTTGATGATGATTCTATAAGTTTCCATTCAATGAGGATTCCCTTCGATGTTGATACTATTCAATTACTTTCGATGATTTTTTTTATTCCTTTCGATGTTGATTCCATTCAATTCCACTGGATGATTCCATTCCATTCCATTCGATGATTATTCCATTTGATTCCATTCATTGATGAGTCATTTTGATTCCATTCGATGATGATTTCATTCAATTGTATTTGATGATGATTCCGTTTGATTCCATTCAACGATGATTCCTTTCTAGTCCATTTGATGATGATTCCGTTACAGTCCATTCGATGATGTTTCCATTCGAGTCCATTCAATGATTCCATTCAATTCCAATCGATGATGATTCCATTAGAGTCCATATGATGATTGCATTCAATTCCATTCGATGATGATCCCATTCGACTCTTTTCAATGATTCCCTTCGATTCCATTGAATGATGATTCCATTCTAGTCCTTTCCATTCGATTCCATTAGATGATGACGCCATTCAATTCCATCCAGTGAAGATTCCCTTCAATTCCTTTTGATGATTATTCCATTCAATTCCATTTGATGATGATTCCATTCGATTCCATTTGATGATGATTCGATTCGATGACGATTCTATTCAATTCCATTTGATGATTATTCCCTTCCATTCCTTTAGATGACGATACAATTCTATTCCATTTGATGATGATTCCATTCGATTCCATTCAATGATGATTCCATTTGACGCCATTCGATGATTCCATTCGATTCCACTTGTTGATGACTCCATTCAATTCCATGTGATTATGATTCCATTCGATTCCATTCGATGATGATTCCGTCTGAGTCCATTCGATGATGATTCCATTTGAGTTCATTTGATGATTGCATTCGATTCCATTCGATGATGATTCCATTTGATGCCATTAGATGGGGATTCCATTCGATTTCATTCAATGATCATTCCCTTTGATACCATTCGATGATTCGTTTCGATTCCACTCAATGATGATTCCATTTCAGTCCATTCGATGATTCCATTTGATTCCATTCGATGATGATTCCATTCGGGTACATTCCATGATTCCAATTGATTCCATTCGATGGTGATTTCATTCAATTCCATTCGATGACGATTCCTTTTGATTCCATTCTATGATGATTCCATTTGATTCCATTCGATGACAATCCCTTTCGATTCCATTCCATAATGATTCCATTTGATTCCCTTGGATGGTTAAATTCAAATCCTTCTGATGATGATTCCATTAAATTCCATGCGATGATTATTCCACTCAAGTCCATTCGATGATGATTACATTCCAATCTACTCAATGATGAATCCACTCCAGTCCATTCGATGATAAAATTCGATTCCATTCGATGATGATTCCTGTCGGGTACATTCCATGATTCCAATCGATTCCATTCGATGATAATTCCATTCAATTCGATTCGATGATGATTCCTTTTGATTCTGTTCGGTGATAATTCCTTTTGATTCCATTCAATGATGATTCCTTTTGATTCCATTCAATGATGATTCCTTTCAATTCCATTCGATGATGACTCCATTAGGTTCCATTTGATCATGATTCCATTCGGTTCCATTTGATGATGATTCCATTTGATTTCATTCGATGACTCCATTCGATTCCATTCATTGATGATTCCATTCGATACCATTCAATGATGATTCCATTTGATTCCATTCGATGATGATTCCATTCGTTGATCATTTCATTCGATTCCATTCGAAGATGATTCCATTCGATTTCATTTGATGATCCTATCCGATTCCATTCGATGATTCCTTTCGATTCCATTCGATGATGAATTCATTTGATTCCATTTGATGATGATTGCATTCGAGCCCATTCAATGATTCCATTCAATTCCATTCGCTGATGATTGCATTCGAGTCTATTCGATGATTCCATTTGATTCCATTCGATGATGATTCCATTCAATGTTGTTCAATGATTCCATTCGTTTTCATTCGATTATTATTCCATTCAATTCCATTCAATGATTCCATTTGATTCCATTCGATCATGATTCCATTCGAGTGCATTCAATGATTCCATTTGATTCCATTCGATGATTCCATTTGATTCCATTAGATCATGGTTACATTCGAGTGCATTCAATGCTTCCATTCGATTCCATTTGATGATGATTCCATTCGGGGCCATTTGAAGATTCCATACAATTCCATTTGATGATTCCATTCGAATCCATTCGATGATTTCATTCGAGTCCATTCGAGGATGATTCCTTTTGATTCCATTCCATGATTATTCCATTCGAGTCCATTCGATGAAGATTCCATTCTATTTTATTCGACGATTCCATTTGATTCCATTCAATGATGCTTCTATTCAAGTCCATTCAATGATTCCATTCGATTCCATTCGAAGATGATTCCATTCCAGTCCTTTAGATGATTCCATTAGATGATGATTCCATTTCATTCCTTTCAATGATTAAATTCGATTTCATTAGATGATGTTTCTTTTCGAGTCCATTCAATGATTCTATTCGATTCCATTCTATGATAATTCCATTCGAGCCCACTGGAAGTGTCCATTCGATTCCATTCGATGATGATTCCATTCGCGTCCATTTGATGATTCCATTCGATTCCATTTGACGATTCAATTCTATTCCTTTTGATGATTCCCTTCAATTCCATTCAATGATAATTCCATTAGATCCCATTCAATGATTCCATTTGATTCCATTCATTGACGATTCCATTGGCCTGCATTTGATGATGATTCCATTTGATTTCATTTGACGATGATGGCATTCCATACCATTCTATGATTTCATTTGATTCCATTGGATGAGGATTCCATTGGAGTCCATTTGATTATTCCATTCGATTCCATTTGATGATTCAATTCAATTCCTTTCAATGATTCCCTTCTATTCCATTTGATTAGAATTCCATTTGAGTCCTTTCAATGTGTTCATTCGATTCCATTCAGTGTTGATTCCATTCGAGTCCATTCGAGGATGATTCCATTCGAGTTCATTCCATGATTCCATTCGATTCCATTTGGTGATGATTTTATTCAATTCCATTCGATGGTGATTCAATTCAATTCCATTCGATAGTTACTCCATTCGATTGCATTCGATGATTTCATTCAATCCATTCGATGATTTCATTCGATTCCATTCGATAATTCCATTTGATTCCATTTGATGATTCTGTTCAAATCCATTCAATGATTTCATTCGATTCCATTTGATAATTCCATTGGATTCCATTCGATGATGATTCCATTTGAGTCCATTCGCTTATTCCATTCTATTCCATTAGATGATGATTACATTCGTGTCCATTCCATGATTCCATTCAATTCCATTAGATGATTACTCCATTCAATTCCATTCGACGATGATTCCTTTAGATCTCATTCCATGATGATTCCATTCGATTCCATTTGATGATGATTCTATTAGTTTCCATTCGAAGAGGATTCCATTCGATGATGATTCTATTCAATTACTATTGTTGATTTTTTTTATTCCTTTCAATGTTGATTCCATTCAATTCCACTGGATGATTGCATTCCATTCCATTCGATGATTATTCCATTTGATTCCGTTTGATGATGAGTCATTTTGTTTCCATTCGATGATGATTCCATTCAATTGCATTTGACGATGATTCCTCTTGGTTCCATTCAATGATGATTCCATTAGGGTCCATTCAATGATGATTCCATTAGAGTCCATATGATTATTCCATTCGATTCCATTCGATGTTGATTCCATTCGAGTCCATTCCATGATTCCATTTGATTCAATTCGATGACATTTCCATTTGAGTCCGTTCAATAATTCCACTCAATTCCATTCGAACATGATTCCATTGGAGTCCTTTCAATGATTCCATTCAAATCCATTCAATGATGATTCCATTTGATTCCATTCAATGGTGATTCCATTCATTTCCATTTGATGATTCCATTCGATTCCATTCAATGATGATTTCATTCAATTCCATCCAATGATTCCATTCCATTCCATTTGATGATGATTCCCTTACAGTCCATTCGATGATGATTCCATTAGAATGCATTCAATGATGATTCCCTTACTGTCCATTCGTTGATGATTCCATTCGAGTCCATTCAATGATTCCCTTTGATTCCATTCTAAGATGACTCCGGTGGAGTCCATTCGATGATTCCATTTAGTTCGATTTGATGATGATTCCACTCGAGTCCACTCGATGATGATTCCGCTCAATTCCATTCGATGATGATACCACTCGAGTCCATTCGATGATTCCATTTGTTTCCATTCGATGATGATTCCATTCCATCCCATTCAATGGTGATTCCACACATTTCCATTCGTGATTCCCTTCGAATCCATTCGGTGATGATTACATTCAATTTCATTTGATGATTCTATTGGATTCCACTCCTTGATGATGCCATTCAATTCCATTGTATGATTCCATTCGATTCCACTAGATGATGATGCCATTCGATGCTATTCAATGATTACTGCATTCAATTCCATTCGATGATGACTCCTTTCAATTCCATTCGATGATGATTCCATTCTATTCAATTTGATGATGATTCAATTTGATTCCAGTGAAGAGGATTCCTTCGAATGATGATTCCAATCAATTCCATTCAATGAGGATTCCTTTTGATTTAATTCGATGTTGATTCCATTCAATTCTATCCCATGATGATTCCATTCAATTCCATTTGATGATGATTCCAATCGGGTCCATTCAATGATTCCTTCTGATTCCATTCGATGATGATTCCATTCGAGCCCATTCAATTATTCCATTCTATTCCATTCGATGATCATTCCATTTGACACTTTTCAATGATTCCATGGGATTCTATTAAATGATGATTCAATTCGAGCCCATTCGATGATTCCATTCAATTCCATTTGATGAAGATTCCATTCGATTCCATTCAATGGTGATTCCATACTATTCCATTCGACGATTCCATTCTATTCCATTTGATGATGATTTCATTCACTTCCATACGAGGATTCCATTCGATTCCATTCGAAGATGAGTCCATTCACTTCCATTCATTGATTCCATTCAATTCAATAGAATGATTTTATACAATTTCTGTCGTTGATGGTTGCATTCGATTCAATTTGATGATGATTCCAATCGAATCCACTCGATGATGATTCCATTTGATTCCATTCGATGATGATTCTATTCGATTCAATTCGATTCCATTTGAGGATGATTCCATTAGAGTCCATTCGATGATGATTCCATTCTCGTCCATTAGATGATTCCATTTGATTCCATTCGATGATGATTCCATTGAAGTCCTTTAAATGATTTCATTCCATTCCATTTGATGCTAATTAAATTTGGTTCCACTCAATGATGATTCCATTCAATTCCTTTCGAGGACAATAATATTCGATTCCATTCGAGGATGATTGCATTAAAGTGCATTCGATGATTCCATTCGAGTCCATTTGATGATTCCATTCAATGACATTCAATGATGATTCCATTCGTTTCCATTCTTTGTTACCATTTGATTCCATTCGATGATGATTCAATTTGATTACATTTGTTCATGATTTCATTTGGTTCCATTTGATGATGATTCCATTCGAGTCCATTCAATGATTCCATTCTATTCCACTTGGTGATGATTCCATTAGAGTCCATTTGATGATTTCATTTGATTCCGTTTGATGATGTTTCCATTCCAGTCCATTCAATGATTCCTCTCAATTCCATTCGATGATTATTTCATTCGATTCCATTCAATGGTGATTCCATTCAATTCCAGTCGATGATTCCATTCGATTCCATTCAATGATGATTTCATTCGATTCCATACAATGATTCCATGCGATTCCTTTCAATGATGATTCCATTTGATTGCATTTGATGATGATTCCATTTGATTTCATTCAATTTTGATTCCATTCAATTCCATTTGATGATGATTCCATTAGAGTCCATTCGATGATGATTCCATTAGTGTCCATTCGATGATGATTCCATTCGAGTCCATTGAATGATTCCATTCGATTCCATTTGATGATGATCCTGGCCGAGTCCAATCGATGATTCCATTCGGTTCGGTTCAATGATGATTCCACTCGAGTCCACTCGATGATGATTCCACTCAATTCCATTCCATGATGATACCACTCGTGTCCATTCGATGATTCCATTCGATTCCATTTGAAGATGATTCCATTCGATTGCATTCAGTGGTGTTTCCAGTCATTTCCATTCGTGATTCCCTTCGATTCCATTCCATGATGATTTCATTTGTTTCCATACGATGATTCCTTTTGATTCCATTTGATGATTATTCCGTTCAATTCCATTTGATGATTCCATTCGATTCCATTCAATGATTCCATTCGGTTCCAGTCGTTGATTGTTCCATTCTATTCCATTCAACGATGATTCCACTACATTTCATTTGATGATGATTCCATTCGATTCCATTCAATGATGATTCCACTCGATTCCATTCGATGATGATTCCATTCAGTTTCATTCAATGATTCTATTGGATTGCACTCGATGATGATGTCATTCAATTCCATTGGGTGATTCCATTCGAATCCACTCGATGATGATGCCATTCGATTTCATTCGATGATGATTCTATTCTTGCCCATTAGATGATTCCACACAATTCCATTCGATGATGATTCTATTCGAGTCCATCCAATGATTCCATTCGATTCCATTCGATGATGATTCCATTCCATTCCATTCTTTGGTGATTCCATTCAATTCCAATCATTGATTCCATTCCATTCCATTCGACAATTATTCCATTCGATACCATTTAATGATTACACTTGATTCCTCTTGATGGTGACTTCATTCGATTCTTTTCGATGATTCCATTTGATTCTATTCAATGATAATTCCATTTGATTCCTTTTGATGATGATTGCTTTCAATTACATTCAAAGATTCCATTTGATGATGATTCAATTTGATTACATTTGATGATTCCATTTGATTATATTTGAGGATTCCACTCGATTCAATTTGATGATCATTCAATTCGAGTCCATTCAATGATTCCATTCCAGGCCATTTGATGATTCCATTTGATTCCATTCGATGATGTTACCATTGGATTCCATTCGATGATTCCATTCGATTCCATTGGATGATTCCATTTGAGTCCATTCGATTATTCCATTCGAGTCCATTTGATGATCCCATTCGATACCATTTGATGATAATTCCTTCAAGTCCATTCGATGATGGTACCTTTCAATTACATTGGGTTATTCTATTCGATTCCATTCAGTGATTCCCTTAGATTCCTTTTGATGATGATTCCATTTGATTCCACTCGATGATGATTCCGTTTGATTCCGTTCGATGACGACTGCATTCGGTTCCTTTCGATGATGATTCCAATGTATTCCGTTCGATTTCTCTATTCGATTCCATTCATTGATGATTCCATTCGGGTCCGTTAGATGATGATTCCGTTAGGTTCCATTCGATGATGATTTCGTTGGATTCCATTCGATGATTATTCCTTTCGATTCCATTCAATGATGATTCTGTTAGATTCCATTGGATGATTCCACTCGATTCCATTCGATGATGATTCCATTCATGTCCAATCGATGACTGCATTTGATTTCATTCGATGACAATTCCATTCAGTTCTTTGAATGATTCCATTGAAGTCCATTTGATGATTCCTTTCAATTCCATTCAATATGATTCCATTCGAGTCCATTCGATGATGATTCCATGCGATTCCATTCGATGATAACTCCTTTTGGTTCCATTCGATATTGATTCCATTTGGTTCCATTCGAAGATGATTCCTTTGGATTCCATTTGATGATGATTCCATTCGACTCCATTTGATGTTGATTCTTTTCAATTCCATTCAATGATGATTCCATTTGATTACATTCGATGATGATTCAATTCGATTCTATACGATGATCTTTCCATTCGAGTCCATTCGATGATTCCATTCGAGTCCATTCATTGATTCCATTCGATAATTCCATTCGATTCCTTCTAATTATTATTCCATTAGTGTCCATTCGGTGACTCCTTTTCATCCCAATTGAAGATGATTCCATTCGATTACATTTGATGATACCATTCAATACCATTCGTTGATGATTCCAATCGGGTGCATTCGATGATACCATTCGATTCCATTCGATGATTCCATTCAATTCCATTCTACGATGATTCCATTCGAGTCCATTTGATGATTCCATTGGACTCCATTTGATGATGATTCCATTCCAATATTCCATTCGTTTCTATTTGATGATGATTCCATTCAATTTCATTCGATGCTGATTCCATTCAATTCCATTCGATGATTCCATTTGATTCCATTCAATGATGATTCTGATCGATTCCATTCAATGATTCCATTCGATTCCATTCTTTGATTCCATTTGATTCCATTAGATGATTCCATTTGATTCCATTCGATAATGGTTCTATTTGAGTCACTTGATGATTCCGTTTGATTCCATTCGATGATGACACGAATCAATTCCATTCGATGACTCCATTCGATTCCATTCAATGATTCCATTAGATTTAATTTGATAATGATTCCATTTGATGATGATTCCAATCAATTCCATTCGATGATTCCATTCGATTCCATTCAATGATTCCATTTGATTCCATTCGATAATGATTCCATTCGAGTCCATTCTATGTTTGCATTCGAGCCAATTTGATAATTCCATTTCAGTCCAACCAATGATTCCATTCGAGTCCATTCGATCATTCCATTTGAGTCCATTCGATTATGAATCCATTCAGGTCCATTCGATGATTCCATTCGAGTCCATTCTATAATTCCATTTGAGTCCATTCGATGATGATTCCATTCAATTCCATTCATTGGTGATTCCATTCAATTCCATTCATTGATTCCATTCCATTCCATTCGACCATGTTTCCATTCGATTCCATTCGATGATTCCACTCAATTACACTTGACGAAGATTCCATTGGATTCCATTCGATGATTCCATTTGATTCCATTCGATGATTGCCTTTGATTCCATTAGATGATTCCATTCGATTCCATTCAATGATGGTTCCGTTCAATTCCATTTCATAATTCCATTTGATTCTATTGGAGGATTCAATTTGATTCCACTGAAAGACGATTCCATTCAATTCCATTTGATGTTTCTATTCGAGTCAATTCAATGATTCCATTCGAGTCCATTTGATGATTCCATTAGATTCATTCAATGATGATTGCATTAGGGTCCATTTGATGATTCCATGTGAGACCATTTGATAATTCCATTTGAGTCCATTTGATGATTCCATTAGAGTCCACTCGATGATTCCATCCGATTCCATTTGATGGTGATTCCATTCGAGTTCATTCGATCATTCCATTCGATTCCATTCAATGATTCCATTTGAGTCCATTCGATTATTCCTTTCGAGTTCATTCAATTATTCCATTCGAGTCCATTCGATGATTCCATTCAATTCCATTCGATGATAATTGCATTCGTGTCCATTCGGTAATGATTCCATTCGATTCCATTCGATAATTCTGTTCAATTCCATTCTATGATTCCTTTTGATTCCTTTCGATGATGATTCCATTCGATTCCATTCAATGATGACTGCATTCGTTTCCATTCGATGATGATTCCAGCAGATTCCATTCGATTTCTCCATTCGATTCCATTCAATGATGATTCCATTCGATTCCATTAGATGATGATTCCATTAGATTCCATTGGATGATGATTCCATTCGATTCCATTCGATAACGATTCCATTTGATTCCATTCAATGATGATTCCATTTGTTTCCATTCGATGATGATTCCATTCATGTCCATTCGATGATTCCATTCAAGTCCATTTGATGATTCCTTTCAATTACATTCATTGATGATTCCATTCGAGTCCATTCAATGATTCCTTTCGATTCCACACAATGATGATTCCATTCGAGTCAATACGATGATTCCATTTGACTTCATTCGATGATGATTCCATTCAATTCCATTTGATGATTCCATTCGAGTCCATTCGGTGATTATTCCATTCGAGTGCATTAGATGAATCCATTCGAGTCCATTTGATGATGATTCCATTCGATTTAATTTGATGATTCTATTCGATGATGATTCACTTCTATTACATCGGATGATTCCATTTGATTCCATTCGATGATGATTCCATTCGATTCCATTCTATGATGATTCCATTTGATTCCATTGGATTATTATTCCATTCAATTTCATTCGATGATTCTATTCGATTCCATTCGATGATGATTGAATTATATTCCATTGGATGATTCCTTTTTATTCCATGCGATGATGATTCCATTCGACTCCAAACTATGATTATCCCATTGAATTCCACTCGATGATGATTTTATTTGATTTCATTCGATGATTCTATTTGATTCCATTCGATGATGATACAATTATATTCCATTGGATGAGTCCTTTCGATTCCATTCGATCATGGTTCCATTCGATTCCATTTGGTGATGATTCCATTCAATTGCATTCGATGAAGATTTCAAGCAAGTCCATTCGTAGATTCCATTCGATACCATTCGATGATGATTCCATTCATGTCCATTGGATGATTCCATTCTATTCCATTCGATGATGATTCCATTCGATACCATTTGATATTTCCATTCGATCCCATTCAATGATGATTCCATTCAAGTCCATTCGAAGATTCCATTAGATTCCATTTGACAATGATTCCATTTGAGTACATTTGATGATTCCATTCGATTCCATTCAATGAAGATTCCATTTGAGTCCATTCGAAGATTCCATATGATGGTGATTCCACTCGAGTCCATTCGATGATTCCATTTGAGTCCTTTCAATTATTCCCTTAGATTCCATTCATTGATGATGCTATTCGATGCCATTCGATGATTCCATTTGACTCCATTCGGTGATGTTTCCATTCGAGTCCATTCGATGATTCCACTTGCGTTCACTCAGTGAAACCAATTGATTCAATTCGATGATGATTCCATTCAAGTCCATTCGAAGGTGATTCCATTCAAGTCCATTCCATGATTCCATTCGGTTCCATTTGCTGATAATTCCATGGGATTCCATTCGATGAATCCATTCGATTCCACTCGTTGATGATTCCATTTGATAACATTCGATGATGATACCATTCAATTCTCTTAATTGATGAATCCAATAGATTCCATTCGATGATGATTCCATTCGACTCCATTCGATGGTGATTCCATTCGATTTCATTCGATGGTTCCATTCAATTCCTTTTGATGATATTTCCATTCGATTCCATTCGATGATTCCATTCGATGGCATTTGATGATGATTCCATTTGATTCCATTCAATGATTCCATTCGATTCCATTCGATGATGAGCCATTCAATTCAATTCCATCATGATTCCATTTGATTCAATTCAATGATGTTTCCTTTCGATTCCATTAGATGATGATTCCATTCAATTGCATTAGATGTTGATTCCATTCGAGTCCATTCGTTGATGATTCCATTTGAGTCCGTTCATTGATGATTACTTTGGATTTCATACGATGCTTCTTTTGGTTCCATTCGATTATGATTCCTTCTCATTCCATTCGATGATTCCATTTGATTTCATTCATTGATGATTCCATTCAATTCCATCGGAAGATGATTTCATTTGATTCCATTCGATGATGGTTCCGTTAGAGTCCATTTGATGATTCCATTCGTGTCCAATTGATGATTCCATTCGATGATGATTCCATTAGAGTCCATTCGATGATTTCATTCGATTTCATTTGACGCTGATTCCACTCGAGTCCATTTGATGATTCCATTCAATTCCAATTGATGATGACTCCATTCGAGTCCATTCGATGAATCCATTCAATTCCATTCTATGATGACTCCATTCGAGTCAGTTAAATGATTCCATATGATTCCATTCGATGGTCATTCCATTCAAGTACATTCAATGATTCCATTTGATTCCATTCGATGATGATTCCATTCTATTGCATTCAATGATGATTCCATTTGGGTGCATTCAATGATTCCCTTTGATTCCATTTGATGATGATTCCATTCGAGTCCATTCAGTGATTCCATTTGATTCCATTCGATGATGATTCCATTCGAGTCCATTCGATGATTACATTCGATTCCATTCGATGACAATTCCACTCAACTCCATTCAGTGATTCCATTTGATTCCATTCGATGATGATTCCATTCGAGTCCATTCGATGATTACATTTGATTCCATTCGATGACGATTCCATTCAAGTCCATTCAATGATTCCATGTGATTCCATTCGATGCTGATTCCATTTGAGCCATTTGATGATTCCATTTGAATCCATTTGAAGATTGCTTTCAATTATACTCGATGATGATTTCATTCGAGTCCATTCAATGATTCCATTCGATTCCATTTGATGATGATTCCATTCAGGTGCATTTGATGATTGCATTCGATTACACTCATTGATGATTCCATTCGAGTCCATTAGAGGATTATTCCATTTGATTCCATTCCCTGATGATTACTTTGGAGTCCATTAGAAGATTCCACTCGATTCTATATGGTGATGACTCCATTTGATTCCATTCGATAATTCAATTCTATTCCATAAGATGATGATTCCATTCGAGTACAGTAGATGATTCCATTCAATTCCATTCAATGGTGATGCTATTCGTGTCCTTTAGATGATTCCTTTCGATTCCATTTGATGATGATTACATTCTATTCAATCCAATGATGATTCCATTCGTGTGCATTAGATGATACCATTTGATTGCATTCAATGTTGAAACCATTTTTTTCCATTCAGTGATGATTTCATTCGGGTCCGTTAGATGATTCCATTTGATTCCATTTGATGATGATTCCATTATATTCCATTTGATGTTGATTCCGTTCGAGTCCATTCGATGATTCCTTTCAATTCCGTTTTCTGATGATTACTTTCAAATCCATTCGATAATTCCACTCTATTACATGCGACGACTCCTTTCGATTCTACTTGATGATTCCATTCTATTCCATTAGATGTGATTCCATTCGAGTACATTACATGATTCCATTCGATTCCATTCAATGATGATGCTATTCCTGTCCATTAGATGATTCCATTGGATTCCATTCGATGATGATTCCATTTTATTCAATCCAATGGTGATTCCATTTGGGTCCATTAGATGATTCCATTAGATTTCATTTGATTATGATTCCATTTTATTCCATTCAGTGATGATTCCATTCGGGTCCATTAGATGATTCCATTTGATTCCATTCGATGATGATTGCATTATATTCCATTCGATGATGATTCCATTTGAGTCCTTTCGATGATTCCATTCAATTCAATTTGATGATGATTCCATTCGTGTCCATTCGATGATTCCATTGTACTCCATTCAATGATGATTCCATTCAAGTCAATTCAATGATTCTATATGAATCTATTCAATAATTGCTTTTGATTCCATTCGATGATGATTCCATTTGATTCCATTAGATGATGATTCCATTCGATACAGTTCTATGATTCCATTCGATTCCATTCGATGGTTATATTCGATTCCATTCAATGATGATTCCATTCGATTCCATTTGATTATTCCTTTTGATTACATTTTATGATGATTATATTCAATCCCATTCAATGATTCCTTTCGATTCCATTCGATGATGATTCCATTCGAGTCCATTCACTGGTGATTCCAGTCGATTCCTTTCAATGAGTCTATACGATGATTGCATTCGATTGCTTTCGATGATTCCATTCGAATCCATTCAAAGATGATACCATTTGATTCCATCCGATAATTCCATTCCATTCCATTTGATGGTTCCAAAGGATTCCATTTGATGATGATTCCACTCGAGTCCATTCGATGATCCCATTCAATTCCAGTCAATGATGATTCCATTCGAGTGCATTCGATTATTCCTATCGATTCCACTCAATGATGATTCCATTCAAGTTCATCCGACTACTCTATTCGATTCCATTCTATAATGATTCCGTTCGAGTCAATTTTATGATTCGATTAGAGCCCTTTCGATGATTCCATGTGATTCCATTCGATGATGATTCCATTCTAGTACATTCGATGCTTCCATTCGATTCCTTTTGATGATTCCATTCAAGTCCATTTGATGATTCCATTCAATTCCATCTGATGATGATTCTGTATGATTCTATTCCATGATGATTCCATGTGATTCCATTCGATGATGATTCATTTTGATTCCATTCGATTATGATTCTTTTCGTGTTCATTCAATGATTCCACACGTTTCCATTCGATGATGATTCCATTCGAGTCCATTTGATGAATCCATATGAAACCATTCGATGAGGATTCCATTCGATTCCATTCATTGGTGACTCCATTCAATTCCATTCAATGATTCCATTAGATTCCATTTGATGATGATTCCATTCTATTTCATTCGATGATGATTCCTTGGAATTCCATTTGATAATGAGCCCTTTTGGTTCCATTTGATGATGATTCCATTCGGTTCCATTCAATGATGATTATTTTGGGTTCCATTCGATAATGATTCCATTCCATTCCATTTGACGTTAATTCATTTTGATTCCATTTGATGATGATTCCATTTGATTCCATTCGATGATGATTCCATTTGATTCCATTCAATGATGATTGCATTTGATTCCATTCGATGATGATTCCATTCAATTCCATTCGATCATTCCATTCGATTCTGTACGATGATGATTCCATTTTAGTCCATTCAGTGATGATTCCATTCGATTCCATTCCATGATTCCATTTGATTCCTTTCGATGATTATTCCATTCTTGTCCATTCGGTGATTCCTTTTGATGCCAGTTGAAGATTATTCCATTCGATTCCATTCAATGGTACCATTCGATAACATTCAATGATGATTCCATTAGAGTGCATTAGATGATACAATTCGGTTCCATTTGATGATGATTCCTTTCAATTCTATTTGATGATTCCATTCAATTCCATTCTATGATGATTCCATTCGAGTCCATTTGATGATTCCATTGGACTCTATTTGATGATGATTTCATTCTATGATTCCATTCGATTCTATTCTATGATGATTCCATTCGATTTTGTTCGATGCTGATTCCATTCAATTTCAATCGATGATTCCATTTGATTCCATTCGATGATTCCATTGGATTACATTCGACGATTATTCCATTCACTTCTATTCAATGATTCCATTCATTTCTATTTGATGATGATTCCACTCGATTCCATTCGATGATGACAGCATTCGTTTCTATTTGATGATTCCATTTGATTCCATTCAATGATGATTCCGATCAATAGCATTCGAGAATTCCATTCGATTCCATTTGATGATTTTTTTGATACCATTCGATAATGATTCCTTTCGAGTCCATTCAATGATTCCATTCGAGGATATTTGATAATTCCATTTGAGTCCAATCGATGATTCCATTCGAGACCATTTTATCATTCCTTTTATTCCTTTCGAGTCCATTCAATGATTCCATTCGAGGATATTTGATAATTCCATTTGAGTCCAATCGATGATTCCATTCGAGACCATTTTATCATTCCTTTTGATTCCATTCGATAGTGATTCCATTTGAGTCCATTCGATAATTCCATTGGAGTCCATTCGTTGATTGCTTTTAATTCCATTCGATGATATTCCATTCAAGTCCATTCGATGATTGCATTCGATGCTATTAGATGATGATTCCGTTCGTGTCCATTTGGTGATTCCATTCGATTTCATTCAATGATGATTCCATTCGAGTCCATTCAAAGATTCCATTCGAGTCCATTTGATGATTCCTTTCAATTCCATTCGATGATGATTCCATTCGAGTCCATTCGATGATTCCATTCAATTCCATTCGAGTCCGTTAGATGATTCCATTTGATTTCATTCGATGATGATTCCATTCGAGTCCATTCGATGATTCCATTCGAGTCCATTTAATGATTCCATTGGGTTGAATTCGATGATGATTACATTGGATTCCATTCTATGATTCCATTTGATTCCATTGGTTGATGATTCGATTCCATTGGATGATGATTCCATTTGATTTCATTCGATGATTTTATTTGATTCCATTCAATGGTGATTCAATTCTAATATATTGGATGATTCCATTTGATTCCATTCTATGATGATTCCATTCGATTCCATTTGATGATGATTCCATTCGATTCCATTTGATGTTGATTCCATTCGATTCTATTCGTTGATGATTCCATTCGATTTCATTCGATGATTCTATTTGATTCCATTCGATGATGATTCAATTCTCTTCCATTGGATGACTCCATTTTATTCCATTCGATCATGACTCCATTCAATTTCCTTCGATGATGATTCCACTTGATTCCATTTGGCGATTCCATTCAATTCCATTCGACGGTGAGCAATTCGATTCAATTCCATGATGATTCCATTTGACTCAATTAGTTGATGTTTCCATTCGATTCCATTTGGTGATGATTACATTCTATTCAATTTGATGTTTCAATTCGATTCCATTCGATGATTCTGTTCGATTACTTTCTATGATGATTCCATTCCATTCCATTCGATGATTCCATTCGATTCCATTCGGTGATGATTCCTTTGGAATCCGTTTGAGTTTTATTTCATTCGATTCCATTGATGATGTTTGCATTCTAGTCCATTCGATGATTCCATTCAAGTCCATTTGATGATTCCATTCAAGTCCGTTCAACAATGATTCCATTCACTTCCATTCGATGAGGAATCCATTCCTGTCCAATAGATGATTCGATTCGATTCCCCAGATAAAGATTCCTTTCAATTCCATTTATTGATTCCATTCAATTCCATTGGATGATGCTTCCATTCATGTCATTTCGATTATTCTGTTCGAATGCATTCGATGTTTGCTTTCTATTCCATTCGATGATGGTTCCATTCTATTCTATTTGATTATGATTCCATTCAATACCATTCTATGACTCCATTCGTTTCCATTCGATGATGATTCCTTTCCATTCCATTCGATGATACCATTCAATGAGGATTCCATTCAGTTCCTTTCGATGATTCCATTCGATTTCATTCAATGATGTTTCTATTCGAGTCCATTCGATGACTCCATCTGATTCCATTCGATGATGATTCCATTTGAGTCCATTCTATGATTCATTTCGATTCCATTCAATGATTCCATTCGATTCCATTCGATGTTTCCCTTCGATTCCATAAGATGGTCATTCCATTTGATTCCATTTGATGATTCCATTTGATTCCAATCGTTGATTATTCCATTGGATTCCATTCGATGATGATTCCATTTGAGTCCATTCGATGATGATTCCATGCAATTCCATTCGATGGTGATTCCATTAGTTTTCATTTGATGATGATTCCTTTCAGTTCCATTGGATTATGATTCCATTAGTTTCCATTTGATGATTGCATTCGATTCAATTCGTTGATGATTCCTTTTGATTCCATTTGATGATGATTTCATTTGATTCCATTTGATGATGATTCCATTCAATTCCCTTCGATGATAATTCTGTTCGATTTCATTTGATGATTCTATTCGTTTCCATTTGTTGATGATTCCATTTGATACCCTTCGATGAAGATTCCTTTCCTGTCCATTTGATGATTTTTCCATTCGATTCCATTGATGATGATTGAATGACAGTTCATTCAATGATTCCATTCGTGTACATTTGATGATTCCAGTCGAGTCCATTAGACGATGATTCCATTTGATTCTATTCGATGATGATTCCAAGTGATTCCATTCAATGATGATTCCATGCGATTCCATTCGATGATGATTCCATCAGTTTTCATTTAATGATGATTCCATTAGTTTTCATTTAATGATGATTCCATTCGGTTCCATTGGATGAAGACTCCATTCCATTCCATTCGATGATTCCATTCAATTTCATTCTTTGATGATTCCGTTCGATTCCATTTGAGGGTGATTTCATTTGATTCCATTTGATGATGATTCCATTCGATGATGATTCCATACGATTCCACTTGATGATAATTCCATTTGATTTCATTAGATGATTCTATTCCATTCCATTTGGTGATTATTCCATTTGATTCCACTGATAATGGTTGCGTAAGATTCCATTCAATGATTCCATTCGTGTCTATTTAATGCTTCATTCGAGTCCATTCGAGGATGATTCCATTCGATTCTATTCGATGATGAGTCCATTCGAGTCCATTCCATGATTCCATTCGAATCTATTCGATGAGAGTTTCATTCCAGTCCATTAGATGCTTCCATATGATTCATTTTGATTATGATTCCCTTTGATTCCATGTGTTGATTTGATCAAATTCCATTCAATGATCATTCCATTAGTGTCCATTCAATGATTCTATTCAAATCCATTTGATGTTTGCTTTTGATTCCATTCGATGGTGATTCCATTTGATTCCGTTTGATGATGATTCCATTCAAAACCATTCTATGATTTCATTCGACACCATTCGATGATGATTCCATTCGATTCCATTTGATGACTCTATTCGATTCCATTCGATGATGATTCCTTTCGATTTCATTCGATGGTTCAATTCTATTCCATGCAATGATGATTCCACTCTGTTTCATTCCATGATTCCATTCGATTACATTCAATGATGATTTCATTCCTTTCCATTTGATGATTCTATTCGATGAGGATTATATTCAATTCCTTTTGATGATTCCATTCGATTCCATTCGATGATGTTTCTATTCAATTACTCCTTTCGATTCTATTCAATGTTGATTCCATTCGAGATCATTCTAACATTCCTATCGATTCCATTCAATGATGATTCCATTAGTGTACATTCAATGATGATTCCATTCGATGATGATTCCATTAGTGTAAATTGCTTTAGATCCCATTCCATGATGATTCAATTCGATTCCATTTGATGATGATTCTATTAGTTTCCATTCGATGAGCATTATATTCGATGATGATTCTATTCAATAACTTTCGATGATATTTTTTATTTCTTTTGATGTTGATTTCATTAGATTCCACTGGATGATTCCATTCCATTCCATTCAATGATTATTCCATTTGATTCCTTTCGATGATGAGTCATTTTGTTTCCATTCGTTGATTATTCACTTTGTTTCCATGCGATGATGATTCCATTCGATTGAATTTGATGATGATTCCGTTTGATTCCATTCAATGATAATTCCATTCGTGTCCATTCGATGATGATTCCATTAGAGTCCATTCAATGATGATTCCATTCGAGTCCATATGATGATTGCATTCGATTCCATTCGATGTTGATTCCATTCGAGTCAATTCGATGATTCCATTTGATTCCATTCGATGATGATTCCATTCGAGTCCATTCCATGATTCCATTTGATTGCATTCGATGTTTCCATTCAAGTCTGTTCGTTGATTCCACTCAATTCCATTCGAACATGATTCCATTTGAGTCCTTTCGATAATTCCATTCAATTCCATTCAATGATGATTCCATTCGATTCCATTCAACAGTGATTCCATTGAATTCCATTCAATGATTCCATTCGATTCCATTCAATGATGATTTCATTCGACTCCATACGACGATTCCATATGATTCCATTTGATGATGATTCCATTCGATTGCATTTGACAATGATTCCATTTGATTATATTCAATGATGATTCCCTTACAATCCATTCGATGATGATTCCGTTGGGTCCATTCAATGATTCCCTTCGATTCCATTCTATGATTACTCCAGTCGAGTCCATTCAATGATTCCTTTCAGTTCTATTTGATGATGATTCCACTCGAGTCCACTCGATGATGATTCCACTCAATTCCATTCGATGATGATAACACTTGTATCCATTCAATGTTTCTATTTCTTTCCATTCGATGATGATTCCATTCCATTCCATTCAATGGTGATTCCACTCATTTCCATTCGTGTTTCCCTTCGATTCCATTTGATGATTATTTCATTTGTTTCCATACGATGATTCGTTTTGATTTCATTTGATGAATACTCCGTTCAATTCCATTTGATGATTCCATTCGATTCCATTCAATGATTCTATTCAATTCCAGTCGTTGATGGTTCCATTCAATTCCATTCAGTGATGATTACATTCGAATCCATTTGATGATGATTCCTTTCAATTTCATTTGATGATTCTCTTGGATTCCACTCGTTGATGATGCCATTGAATTCCATTGGATGATTCCATTAGATTCCACTCAATGATGATGCCATTCAATGCCATTCAATGACTACTGCCTTCAATTCCATTCGATGATGATTCCATTCGATTCAATTTGATGATGATTCAATATAATTCCAGGTGAAGAGGATTCCATTCAATGATGATTGCAATCAATTCCATTCAATGAGGATTCCTTTCAATTCAATTCGATGATGATTCCATTTGATTCCATTCCAAGATGATTCCACTCAGTTCCATTCGATGATGATTCCAATGTGTCCATTCAATGATTCCTTTCGATTCCATTCAATGATGATTCCATTCGTGTCCATTCAATGATTCCATTCTATTCCATTCGATGATGATTCCATTCGACAGTTTTCAATGATTCCATGGGATTCTATTCAATGATGATTGAATTCGAGCCCATTCGATGATTCCATTCAATTCCATTTGATGATGATTCCATTTGATTCCATTCAATGGTGATTCCATAAAATTCCATTTGACGATTTCATTCTATTCCATTCGATGATTTCATTCATTTCCATAACATGATTATATTCGATTCCATTCGAAGATGAGTCCATTTGTTTCCATTCATTGATTCCATTCAATTCCATTGAATTATTTTATTCGATTTCAGTCACTGATGGTTCAATTCGATTCCATTCAATGATGATTCCATTTGAATGCCTTCGATGATGATTCCATGCGATTGCATTTGATGATGATTCTATTCGATTCCATTTGATTCCATTCGAGGATGATTCCATTCTCGTCCGTTAGATGATTCCATTCAATTCCATTCGATGATGATTCCATTCAAGTCCTTTAAATGATTTCATTCCATTCCATTTGATGCTAATTAAATTTGGGTCCTCTCAACCACAATTCCATTTGATTCCTTTTGAAGATGATAATATTCGATTCCATTCGAGGATGATTCCATTAAAGTGCATTCGATGATTCCATTCGAGTCCATTTGATGATTCCATTCGATGACATTCGATGATGATTCCATTCGTTTCCATTCGTTGTTACCATTTGATTCCATTCGATGATGATTCCATTTGATTACATTTGTTCATGATTTCATTTGGTTCCATTTGATGATGATTCCATTCTAGTACATTCAATGATTCCATTCTATTCCATTTGGTGGTGATTCCATTAGAGTCCATTTGATGATTTCATTTGATTCCGTTCTACGATGTTTCCATTCGAGTCCATTTGATGATTCCTCTAAATTCCATTCAATGATTATTCCATTCGATTCCATTCAATGGTGATTCCATTCAATTCCAGTCGATGATTCCATTTGATTCCATTCAATGATGATTTCATTCAATTCCATACAATGATTTCATTCAATTCCTTTCGATGACTCCATTAGATTGCATTTGATGATGATTCCATTTGATTTCATTCAATGATTCCATTCGATTCCATTCAATGATGTTTCCATTCAAGTCCATTGAATTATTCCATTCGATTCCATTTGATGATGATTCCGGTCGAGTCTATTCGATGATTCCATTCGGTTCGGTTCGATGATTATTCCACTCGAGTCCACTCGATGATCATTCCACTCAATTCCATTCCATGATGTTACCACTCATGTCCATTTGATGATTCCATTCGATTTCATTCGATGATGATTCCATTCGATTCCATTCAGTGGTGATTCCATTCATTTCCATTAGTGATTCCCTTCGATTCCATTCGATGATGATTTCATTTGTTTCCATGTGATGATTCCTTTTGATTCCATTTGATGACTATTCTGTTCGATTCCATTTGTTGATTCCATTCGATTCCATTCAATGATTCCATTGAATTCCAGTCTTTGATTGTTCCATTCAATTCCATTCGATGATGATTCCACTACATTCCATTCGATGACGATTCCATTCAATTCCATTCAATGATGATTCCACTCGATTCCATTCGATGATGATTCCATTCAATTTCATTCAATGATTCTATTGGTTTGCACTCGTTGATGATGCCATTCAATTCCATTGGGTGATTCCATTCGAATCCACTCAATGATGATGTCATTCGATTTCATTCATTGATTCCATTACATTCCACTCGATGATGATTCCATTCGATGCCATTCAATAATTACTGCATTCAATTCCATTCAATGATGATTACTTTCGATTCCATTTGATGATGATTCCATTCGATTCAATTTGATGATGATTCATCTTGATTCCATTCAAAGAGGATTCCATTCGATGATGATTCCACTTGATTCCATTCGGTGATGATTCCATTCGATTGCATTTGATGATGATTCCGTTCGTGTCCATTTGAAGATGCCATTCGATTACATCCCATGACAATTCCGTTTGAGTGATTTGATGATTCCATTCGACTCCAGTTGATGATGTTTCCATTCGATGCTATTCAATGATTCTATTCAATTTCATTCGATGATGATTCCATTCGAGTCCATTCGACGATTCCATTCGAGTCCATATGATTATTACGTAAGATTCCATTCAATGATGATTCCATTCGATGCCATGCGATGATTCCATTTGATGCCATTCGATGATGATTCCATTCGATTCCATTCGATGATGACTGCATTCGATTCAGTGCAATGATTCCATTTGATTCCATTTAATGATGATTCTGATTGATTGCATTCGATGATTCCATTCGATTCCATTTGATGATTCCATTTGATTCAATTCGATAATTATTCCATTCGAATCCATTCGATGATTCCAGTCGAGCCCATTCAATAATTCCATGTGAGTACAATTCATGATTCCATTCGAGTCCATTCGATCATTTCATTTGAGTCCATTTGATGATGATTCCATTCGAGTCCATTCGATGATGCCATTCGAGTCCATTCGATAATTCCATTTGAGTCAATTCGATAATTGCTTTCGATTCCATTCGATAATATTCCATTCCAGTCCATTCAATGATTCCTTTCGACTCTAGTCGATGATGATTCCACTCGTGTCCCTTCGGTGATTCCATTCTATTCCATTCAATGATGATTCCATTCGAGTACATTAGATGATTCCATTCGATTCCATTCGATGATGATTCTATTCATGCCCATTAGATGATTCTGCAGGATTCCATTCAATGATGATTCCATTCCAGTCCATTTGATGATTCCATTTGATTCCATTCGATGATGATCCTATTCGATTCCATTCATTGGTGATTCCATTCAATTCAATCCACTGATTCCGTTTGATTCCATTCGACAACGATTCCATTCGATTCTATTCAAAGATTCCAGTCGATTCCACTTGGTGATGATTCCCTTCGATTCCATTCGATGATTCCACTTGATTCCATTAGATGATGATTGCCTTCGATTTCATTCGATGATTCCGTTTGATTCCATTTGATGATGATACCATTCGATTCCATTTGATGATTCCATTTGATTCTATTCGTGGATTCCATATGATTCCATTCGATGATATTTGTATTCGAGTCCATTCGATGATTTAATTCGAGTCCATTCAATGATTCCATTTGAATCCATTTGAAGATTCCATTCAATTCCATTTGATGATGATTCCATTAGAGTTCGTTTGATAACTCCATTCGAGTCCATTTAGTGGTTCCATTTGATTCCTTTTGATGATTCCATTCACATCCATTTGATCATTGCATTTGAGTCCATTCAGGTTGATTCCATTGGATTTGTTTTGATGATGATCCCATTCTATTCCATTTGATGATGATCCTATTCATTTCCATTCGATGATGATTCCAGTCGAGTCCATTCGATGATTCCATTCGATTCCATTCAATGATGATTCCATTTGTGTCTATTCGATGATTCCTTTTGAGTCCCTTCTTTGATTCCATCTGATTCCATTTGATGATGATTCCATTCGAGTCCATTTGATGAGTCCATTGGAGTGCATTCGATTATTCCATTCGATTCCATTCGATGATTCCATTTGATTCCATTCGATGATAATCCCATCTGAGTCCATTCGATGATGATTCCATTTGATTCTGTTAGATGATTCCATTCGATTCCATTCAATGATTCCCTTCGATTCCTTTCCTTGATGATTCCATTCCATTCCATTCGATGATTCCATTCGATTCTATTCCATAATGATTCCTTTTGATTCCATTTGCTGATGATTCCTTTCGATTCAATTCATTGAGGATTCCAATCGATTCCTTTTGATGACGACTGCATTCGATTTCATTCATGATGATTCCAACGGATTCCATTCGATTTCTCCATTCGATTCAATTCTTTGATGATTCCAGTCGATTCTATTACATGATGATTCCATGTGATTACATTCGATGATGATTCCATTCGATTCCATTCAGTGACGATTCCATTCCATTCTATTCAATGATGATTCCATTCGATTCCATTCGATGCTTCCATTCGATTGCATTTGATGATGATTCCATTCCATTCCATTCAATGATGATTCCATTCGATTCAATTTGATGCTTTCATTCGATTCCATTCGATCATAATTCCATTTTTGTCCGTTCGAGTATTCCATTCGTTTCTATTTGGTGATGATTCCATTCGAGAACATTCAGTGATTCCATTCATATCCATTTGATGACTCCTTTCAATTCGATCCGATGATGATTCCATTCGAGTCCATTCAATGATTCCATTCGATTCCACTGAATGTTGATTCCATTTGAGTCCATTCGATGATTCCATTTGATTTCATTCAGTGATGATTCCCTTAGATTGCATTCAATGTTTCCTTTCTATTCCATTAGATGATGACTCCGTTCGATTCCATTTGATGATTCCATTTGAGTCTATTTAATGATTACATTGGGTTCAATTCGAAGATGATTACTTTGGATTCCATTAAATGTTTCCATTTGATTCCATTCATTGATGATTTCATTCGATTCCATTCAAAGATGATTCCATTCGATTTCATTCAATGGTTCTATTCGATTCCATTCGATGGTGATTCAATTCTATTCCATTCGATGATTCCATTTGATTCCATTCGATGATGATTCCATTCGATTGCATTCCATGATGATTCCATTCAGGTCCATTCGATGATTCCATTCGACGCCATTCGACGATGATTCCATTCAATGCTATTCGATGATTCCATTCGATTCCATTTGATGATTATTACATTCGACTCAATTTCATGATTCCATTCGAGTCCATTCAATGATGATTGCATTCGTGTCCGTTCGATGATTCCATTCAATTCCATTCGATGATGATTCCATTCGAGTCCATTCAATGATTCCATTCGATTCCATTCGATGATGATTCAATTTGAATCCATTCAATGATTCCACTCGATTCCATTCGATGACTCCATTCGATCCCATTTGATGATTCCCTTTGATTCCATTTCATGATCTTACCATTTGATTCAATTCGGCGATTCCATTTGATTCTACTCAATGATTGTTCCAATCAAATCTTATAGATGATGATTCCTTTCGATATCATTTGATTATGATTATATACGATTCCATTAATGATGATTCCATTCGAGTCCATTTGATGATTCCATTCGATTCCATTCGATGATGATTCCACTCAAGTCCATTCAATGATTCCATTCGAGTCCATTGGATGATTTCATTAGATTCCACTCGAAGATGATTCCATTCGATGTCATTCATTGATTCCATTCGAATCCATTCAATGATGATTCCATTCGTGTACATTTGATGATTCCATTCGATTCCATTTGATGGTCATTCCATTCGAGTCTATTCAATGATTCCTTTCAATTCCATTTGATGATGATTCCATTCTAATCCATTTGATGATTCCATTCGATTCCATTTGATAATGACTGCATTCTGTTCCACTTGATGATTCCAACGGATTCCATTCAATTTCTTCATTTGATTCCATTCGTTGGTGATTCCATTCATTTCCATTAGATGATGATTCCATTATAATTCATTCGATGATGATTCCCTTCGATTCCATTCAATGATGATTCCATTTAATTCCATTCAATGATGATTTCACTCAATTCCATTCTATGATTCCATTCTATTCCACACGATATTACTTCAATTCGAGTCCATTCGATGATTCCTTTAAATTCCATTTGATGATGATTCCATTCGAGTCCATTCGATGATTGCATTCGAGTCCATTTGATGATTCCATTCAATTCCATGCGATGATGATTCCATCGAGCCCATTCGATGATTCCATTTGATTTCATTCGATGATGACTGCATTTGGTTCCATTCAATGATGATTCCAAAGGACTCCATTCTATGACTCCATTCGATTCCATTCGTTGATGATTCCATTCAATTCCATTCGATGATGTTTCCATTCGATTCCATTCATTGATGATTCCATTCAATTCCATTTGATGATGTTTCCATTCGATTCCATTCGATGATGATTCCATTCGACTCCATTCCATGATTATTCCATTCGGTTCCATTCAATGATGATTCCATTCGATTCCGTTCGATGATTCCTTTTGATTCCATTCGATGATGATTCCATTCGTGTCCATTCAGTGATTCCTTTTGGTTCCATTCGATGATTATTCCATTCGATGATTAGACTCAATTCCATTTGATGTTTCCTTTCGATTCCACTCAATGTTGATTCCATTGGAGTCCATTCGATGATTCCATTCGAGTGCATTGCATGATATCATTTGATTCCATTCGATTATTACTCCATTCGAGTCCATTCGATGATTCCATTATATTCCATTCGATGATGATTCCATTCGATTCCATTCGATGATCTCATTCGACTCCAATGTTTCCTTTCGAGTCCGTTAAATGATTCCATTTGATTCCATTTGATAATGACTCCATTCGAATCCATTCAATGATGATTCCATTTGCTTCCATTCAATGATTCCGTTGGATTCCATTCTTTGTTTTATTTCGATTCTTTTTGATGATGATTCCTTTCTCTTTCATTTGATGATCCCATCCAATTCTAATCCATGATGACTCCATTCGATCCCATTTGATGAAAATTGCATTCGATTTGATTCCACGATGATTGTATTCAATTCTATTTGATTCCAATTCTATTCTATTCCTTTTGATGATGATTGCATTCGAGTCCATTCAGTGATTTCATTAGATTCCGTTCAATCATGATTCCATTCGAGTCCAATCAATGACTCCATTTGATTCCATTTGATGATGATTTCATTCGAGTCCATTCAATGATTCCATTCGATTCCATTAGATGATGATTCCATTCGACTCCATATGATGATTCAGTTCGAGTCCATTCGATTATTCCATTAGATTCCTTTCGATGATGATTCCATTAGATGCCATTCAGTGATTACATTCTCTTCCTTTCAGTGATGATTGCTTTCGTGTCTATTCGAATATTCCATTCAATTTCATTGGATGATGATTTCATTCTGGTCCATTCGATGATGATTTCATTCGCGTCCATTCGATGATGATACAATTCAATTACATTCGATGATTCTATTTGATTCCATTCGATGATGATTCCGTCTGATTCCATTCGATGAATCCATTCAATTCCATTCTATGATGATTCCATTCGTTTCCATTTGATGATGATTCCATTCAATTCCATTCAATGATTCCTTTCGATTCCATTCAATGATGATTGCAATCAATTCCATTTGATGATTCCATTCGAATCCATTCGATGATGAGTCCATTCGTTTCAATTCCGTGATGATTCCATTCGACTCAATTCGATGGTGTTTCCATTCGATTCCATGGGATGTTGATTCCATTGGATTCCTTTGGATGATTATTCCATTCGAGTCCATTCGATGATGATTCCATTGTAGTCCATTTGATGATGATTGAATTCAATTTCATTCGATGATTCTATTTGATTCCATTCGATGATGATTCCATCTGACTTCATTTGATGATTCCATTCGATTCCATTCGATGACAAGTCCATTCACTTCCATCCAATGATGATTCTATTTGATTCCATTCGATGATTATTCTATTCGAGTCCATTCAATGATTCCATTCGATACCATTCAATGATGACTCCATTCAAGTCTGTTCAATGATTCCATTCGATACCATTCAATGATTCTATTCGATTCCATCTGATAATTCCATTCAATTTCATATGATGATTATGCCATTTGAGACCATTTGATGATTATTCCATTCGATTCTATTCGGTGATTCCTTTCGATTCCATTTGATAATGATTCCATTCGAGACCATTCGATGTTTCCATTCATTTCATTTGATGATGATTCCATTTAATTCCATTCAATGATTCCATGTGATTCCATTCAATGATGATTCCATGCGATTCCATTTCATGATGACTCCTTTTGCTTCCATTTGAAGATGATTCCATTCGGTTCCATTCGATGATTATTCCTTTGGATTCCATTCTATGATGATTCCGTTTGACTCCATTTGATGTTTATTCTTTTTGATTCCATTCGATGATGATTCCATTTGATTCCATTCGATGATGTTTCCATTCGATTCCATTCGAAGATTCCATTTGATTCCATATGATGATGATTCCATTCCAGTCCATTTGATGATTCCATTCGATTCCGTTTGATGATGATTCCATTCGATTCCATTCGAAGATTCCATTCGATTCCTTTCGAAGATTATTCCATTCGAGTCCATTCGGTGATTCATTTCGATGCCAATTGAAGATTTTTCCATTCGAGTCCATTCGATGATACCATTCAATACTATTCATTGATGATTCCATTAGAGTACATTTGATGATACCATTCGATTCCATTTGATGATGATTCCTTTCGATTATTCCATTCAATTCCATTCTATGATCATTCCATTCGAGTCCATATGATGATTCCATTGGACTCCATTTGATGATGATTCCATTCAATGATTCCATTTGATTTGATTCGATGATGATTCCACTAGATTTCATTTGATGCTGATTCTATTCAATTCCATTCAATCATTTAATTTGACCCCATTCAATGACTCCATTCGATTCCATTTGATGATTCCATTTGATTCTATTCAATGATGATTCCATTTGATTCCATTCGATATTAACTGCATTCTATTCCATTTGATGATTCCATTTGATTCCATTCGATGATGATCCCATGCAATTCCATTCGAAGATGACTCCTTTTGTTTCCATTCAATGATGATTCCATTCGGTTCCATTCGATGCTGTTTCCTTTGGATTCCATTCCATGATGATCCCATTCTACTCCATTTGGTGATGATTCTTTTCAATTCCATTCGATGATGATTCCATTTGATTCCATTCAATGATGATTCCATTCGAATCAATTCAATGATTCCATTCGTTTCAATACGATGATGATTCTTGTTGAGTCCGTTTGATGATTCCTTTCGATTCCATTCAATGATGATTCCATTCGATTTGATTCGATGATTCCATCTTAATCCTTTCAATGATTATTCCATTCGAGTCCATTCAGTGATTCCTTTCGATGCCAAATGAAGATGATTCCATTTGATTCCATTCGATGATACCATTCGATACCACTTGTTGAGGATTCCCTTCAACTGCATTCAATGATACCTTTCAATTACATTCGATGATGATTCCATTTGAGTCCATTCAATGGTTCTATTCGAATCTACTTGATGATGGCTTTTGTTTATATTTGATGACAATCCCATTCGACTCCATTCGATGATTCCATTCGATGCCATTCGATGTTGATTCCATTTGAGTCCATTTGATGATTCCGTTTGATTCCATTCTCTGATGAATACATTCGAGACCATTCGATGATTCCAGCAATTCCATACGATGATGTTTCTTTTGATTCCATTTGATGATTCCATTCTATTCCATTCAATGATGATTCCATGTGAGTACATTAGATGATTCCATTCGATTCCATTAGATGTTGATTCAATTCATGCCCATTGGATGATTTCACATGATTCCAGTCGATGGTGAATCCATTCGAGTCCATTCAACGATTCCGTTCGATTCCTTTAGATGATGATTGCATTCTATTCCATTCATTGGTGATTCCATTCAATTCCCTTCATTGATTCCATTCCATTCTGTTCGACAATGATTCCATTCGATTCCATTCTATGATTCCATTCGATTCCACTTGATGATGATTCCATTCGATTCCATTCGATGATTCCATCTCATTCCATTCGACGATGATTGCCTTTGATTCCATTTGAAGATTCCATGAGATTCCATTCGATGATGATTCCGTTCGATTCCATTTGATGTTTCCATTTGATTCTATTCGAGGATTCCATTCGATTCAATATGATGATGATTCCAATATAGTCCATTCAATGATTTCATTCAATTCAATTCAGTGATTCCATTTGAGTCCATTTGATGATTCAATTCGAGTCCATTCGATAATTCCATTCGACTCCATTCGATGAGTATTCCATTTGATTTCATTCTATGGTTCCATTTGATTCCATTCGATGATGTTTCCTTTCGATTCCATTCGATTATCAGGCATTCGATTCAATTCCATGATGTTTCCACTTGATTCAATTCCATGATATTTCCATTCGATTCCATTCGATGATGATCCCATTCGATTCCATTTGACGATGATTCCATTCGAGTCCATGTGATGATTAGTCCATCTGAGTCCATTCATTGATGATTACATTCGATTTCTTTTGATGCTTCCATTTGATTCCAATCGATGATGATTCTATCTGATTCCAATCGATGATTTCATTGGAGTCCATTCAGTGATGATTCCATTCATTTCCATCCGATGATGATTTCATTTGATTCCATTCAATGATTCCATTCGATTCCATTCGATGATGATTCCATTCAAATCCATTCGATGATTCCACGTGATTTCATTCGATGACTCCATTCGATCCCATTCGATGAATCCCTTCGATTCCATTCGATGATCATTCCATTTGATTCAATTCGGTGATTCCATTCGATTCTATTAAATTATGATTCCATTCGACTCCATTCGATGATGATTCCATTTGATTCCACGTGATTATGATATAATTAAATTCCCTTTGATTATGATTCCATTCGAGTCCATTCAATGTATACATTCGATTCCATTCTATGATGATTCCATTCAAGTCAACTCGATGATTCCATTCGAGTCCATTCAATGATGCCATTACATTCCATTCGATCATGATTCCGTTGGATGCCATTCGATGATTCCATTCGATTCCATTCAACGATGATTCCGTTTGTGTCCATTCGATGATTCCATTCGATTTCATTTGATGGTCATTCCATTCGAGTCCATTCGATGATTCCATTCAATTCCATTTGATGATGATTTCATTCTAATCCATTTGATGATACCACTCGATTGCATTCGATGATGACTGCATTCAGTTCCATCTAATGATGATTCCAATGGATTCCATTTGATTTCTTCATTTCATTCCATTCCTTGATGATTCTATTCGTTTCAATTAAATGATGATTCCATTAGATTCCAATCGATGATGATTCCATTCGATTCCATTCAATGATGATTCCATTCAATTCCATTTGATGATTCCATTCGATTACATTCGATGATGATTGCCTTCGATTACATTCAATGATTCCATTCAAGTCCATTCAATGATTCCTTAAGATTACATTCGATGATGATTCCATTCGAGTGCATTTGATGATTCCATTTGATTCCACCAAAAGATAACTCCATTCGTGTCGATTAGATGATTCCATTTGGTTCTATGCGATGATGATTCCATCGAGTCCTTTTGATGATACCATTTGATTCCATTCGATGCTGACTGCATTCAGTTCCATTCGATGATGATTCAAAAGACTCCATTCGATGACTCCATTCGAATCCATTCATTGATGATTTCATTTGATTCCATTCGATGATGATTCTATTCAATTCCATTTGATGATGATTCCATTCGACTCCATTCGATCATGATTCCATTCGATTCCATTCCATGATGATTCCTTTCGATTCCATTTGATGATTCCATTCATGTCCATTCGATGATGATTCCATTCGTGTGGATTCGATGATTCCATTCGAGTCCCTTCATTGATTCCATATGATATCATTTGGTGATGATTCCATTCCAGTCCTATCGATTATTCCATTCGATTCCATTCCATGATTCCATTGGAGTCCATTCGATTATTCCATTCGAGTCTATTCGATGATTCCATTCAATTCAATTCGATAATTATTCCATTCGTTTCCATTAGATGATTCCGTTCAATTCCACTTGATGATTCCTTTCGATTTCTTTCGATGATGATTCCATTCGATTCCATTCGATGATACCATTCTATTCAATTCGCTGATGATTCCTTTTGATTCCATTCGATGATGATTCCATTCAATTCCATTTGATGATGACAGCATTTTGTTCAATTCAATGAAGATTCCAAAGGATTCCATTCGATTTCTCCATTCGATTGAATTCGTTGATGATTCCATTCGATTCCATTAGATGATAATTCCATTCGACTCCAGTCGATGATGATTCCTTTCGATTCCATTCAATGATGATTCCATTCAACTCTATTCAATGATGATTCCAATCGATTTCATTCAATGATTCCATTCGATTCCATTCGATGATGATTCCATTCATGTTCATTCGATTATTCCATTTGATTCCATTCCATGATTATTCCATTCGAGTCAATTCAATGATTCCATTCAAGTCCATTCGATATTTCCTTTCGATTCCATTTGATGATGATACCATTCGAGTCCATTCGATGATTCAATTCTATTCTGTTCAATGATGATTCCATTCGTGTCCATTCCGTGATTTCATTCAATTCCACTTGATGATTTCTTTCGAGTCCATTCAATGATTCCATTTGATTTCATTCAATGATGATTCCATTCAATTCCGTTCAATGATTCCATTCGATTCCATTTGATGATTATTCCATTCGAGTCCATTGAAAGAATCTATTCGATTCCATTCTATAATTATTCCGTTTGAGTCCATTTTATGATTTGATTTGATTCCTGTTGATGATTCCTTTTGATTCCATTCAATGATGATTCCTTTCGATTCCCTTTGTTGATGATTACATTAGATTACATTTGATGATGTTTCCATTCGACTCCTTTCGATGATGTTTCCATTCGATTTCATTGATCGTTCCACTCGATTCCATTAGATGTTGATTTCATTCGATTCCATTCGAAGATTCCATTCGATTCTATTTGATGATGAGCCACTCGATTCACTTCCATGATGATTCCATTTGATTCAATTCAATGATGTTTCCATTCGAATCCATTCGATGATGATTCCTTTTGATTCTATTAGACGATGATTCCATTCGACTTCATTTGATGATCGTTTCATTCGAATCCATTCAATGATGATTCCATTTGATTTCATTCGATGCTTCTATTTGATTCCATTTGAAGATGATTCCATTCGATTTCATTCGATGCTTCTATTTGTTTCCATTCGACGATGATTCCATCTCATTCCCTTCAATGATTCCATTCGATTCCATTCAGTGATGATTCTATTCTATTCCATCTGATGATGATTTCATTGATTCCATTCGATAATGATTCCATTCAAGTCCTTTTGATGATTCTATTCGATTTGTCTCGATGATGATTCTATTTGAGTGCATTCGATGATTCCATTCGAGTCCATACAATTATTCCTTTCAATTCCATTTGATGATGATTCCATTCATGTCTATTCGATGATTCCATTCGATTCCATTCGAAGATGATTCCATTCTTGTCCATTTGACGATTCCACTTGATTCCATTCGATGGTGATTCCACTCGAGTCCAGTCAATGATTCCATTCGGTTCCATCTGATTATTCCCTTAGATTCCATTCACTGATGATTCAATGCGATGCCAATTGATGGTTCCATCTGATTCCATAGCATGATGTTTCCATTCGCGTCCATTCAGTGATACCATTCGATTCCATTCAATGATGATTTCATTCGTGTCCATTCGATGTTTCCATTCTGTTCCATTTGGTGATGATTCCATTCGAGTCCATTCTATGATTCCATTCGATTCCATTTGATGATGATTCCAATTGAATCCTTTAGATGATTCCATTCGATTCCATTCAATGATTCCATTGCATCCCATTCGATGATGCCCTTAGATTCCATTTGATGATCATCCCATTCAATTCAGTGATCCCTTTGGATTCCATTTGATGATGATTTCATTCGATTCCAATCCATGATGATTCCATTTGGTTCCATTTGCTGATAATTCCATTAGATTCCATTCGAGGATTCCATGCGTTTCCACTTGTTGAAGATTCCATTCGATTCCATTCAATGATGATTAGTTTTGATTCCATTTGATGATGATTCCATTCGTTTCCATTCGATGGTGACTCCATTCAATTTCATTCGATGATCCTGTTTAATTCCATTCGATGATGATTCCATTCTATTCCATTCGATGATGATTCCATTCTATTCCATTCGATGATGATTCCATTCTATTCCATTAGATGATTATTCCGTTCAATTTTATCTGATGATTCTATTTGATTCCATTCGATGAAGATTCCGTTCTATTCCATTCGAGGATTCCACTCAATTCCATTATATGTTGATTCTATTCAATTCCATTTGTTGATGATTCCTTTTGATTCCATTTGATGATGATTCCATTCGTGTCCTTTAGATCACTCCATTTGATGCCATTGGATGATGACTCCATTCGATGCCATTCCATGATTCCATTCGATTTCATTTGATGATGATTCCATTCGATTCCATTCAATTATTCCATTCGATGATGATTCCAGTCAATGCCATCCGATGATTCCGATAGATTCCATTCGAAGATTCCACTTGATTCCATTTGATGATGATTCCATTTGATTCCCTTCATTGTTGATTCCATTCAATTCCATTCAATGATTCCATTCCATTCCATAAGAACAATTACAATATAATATTGTTAACATGTAAACATATACCCTATGTCTATTTTATATATAAGCATACATGATTAAAAATATAGTTAAGAATTTTTAAACCTAGTATTATAAAATAAAAATTAGTTAACTTCTGATGATTAATTGTTAATTAAGATTAAATTATTTTGATTGGGTGATTTTAAATAAAGAAAAATTTTAAATTACATGACAAAAATTATTTATAAAATGTTTATGACTTTAACATTGGTTGTATCACTTTATTCCACTATTTTATTTTAAGATGACCTGCCTTGTTTAAAACACTGTATTCATCTTAATTAAATTAAATTCCATTTGTAAAAAAATTAATAAGTGATTTGCTCTATTGTACAGTGCTGTTATAACCTGAGTCAGTATATCAAGATTTGATCCACATTATCATCATTTGTGGCCCTATTTGTTTTATAAATGTATTCTCTTTTTCCATGCCTGTCACATCTCTATTGCTCTTTCATTTTTCTCTTTTTCCCTTATAGGGAGCATTGCCTATCTCTAGATTAAGCAAAAGTTGCATATTTAAAAAGCACAATAACCTGCTCAAACTTTCTCACACAGAGAAATGTTTCTTAAGTAATTAAAGTGTTGATGATGATACAAAGAGCTTGAATAAATTAGATGACAAAGAACCCTTGTGATTCAGAATATGAATGGTATTTAATTGCTTTGAATTTATTAATTGTTGAGTGACATTAATTAATGCCAACATTCCAGAAGTTTTTCTAGTTAGTGAAATGTATACAACATGCAAAAGATTCAGAACTCTGAAGGGCAACATTATTCTATAATTAAGAATTAAGAATTAATTCACGTTAATTATTGGGGAGAAATAATTATTAAGAATTAATGACTGAGAAAATATTTTTAATTTTTATTTAGGAAACTGTTTTGTGCATGAGCATTACCGCAAGTTTTGCAAGAAACATAAGTTTAAAGAAACAATTATGTGCACAAGATGAATTTAGTAACATCTTGATATTTTCCACCATTACAGTTTTATTTGGTAAATCTTTAAATGCACAACATTTAAAGATAATCAATGAATCTTGGAAATCTTGTTGGTAAGGGTAAATATTAGGATGCATCCAGTTACATTTACACACACATACAGTTACATTTACAGACACATACATGCATACAGACTGATACAAGTGTGTATATATACATATGAATTTACTATTTGATTTTAACTAATATTTATAAGAGCCAGTTGGATTGATATATATTGTTGAACCTGAAAAATATTTATTATATACATGCTTAAAATACACACAGAAATAAATAGTAATTGCACTAGGTATTTGAAACTGTACTAAAATATAAGCTGTGAAAATTTTGTGATCCTTACAAATTCTTACACTGAATAAATATTTTTATTTTTACAATATTAATATGTTTGATAACTGTGTACATTTTTTACAATGTGTTATTTTATTTTTGTCATAGAGTCATGTCATGCATAATAACATTTCAGTCAAAGATGGATTACATATACAAAAGTGGTCCCATGAGATTATAATACATATTTTTACATACTTTTCTAAGTTTAATTATGTTTACATACATAACCTCTTACCACTGTGTTCTTATTGCCTGCAGTATTCAGTAGAGTAAAGTAGTACACAGGTTTGTAGCCTGGGAGAGAGAGGCTATATCATATAACCTAGACGTGATAGGCTGTACAATCTAGGTGTTTGTAATATTCTCAGTGATGTTTGCAAAATGATGAAATTGCCTATGGATACATCTGTTAGAACGTATCCCTATCATTCAGTGATGTGTGACTGTACTAAAATGCTCAAGGTAGGTTTCAATGCCCTCCACAAAATTGTTGTACTGTGAAATACAAATCTCTCACCCATGGCCTGAATATGTTTGCAAACTAAGGAGATCATGAGAAGGAGAATGTGCTGGCATCGCTGGGATGATTTTCTCACACTACATGAATAATATCTACAGACTTCGTGAATATGAGCCAGTTGCATAGAGTTAAAGTAAGCATCACTTTGCTGGGAAATTTATCAAATGGGAGTATGAAGAGTCTTTAAAAGATACTTGTTTGTTTGTATCTGATAGGCCTACAGTGGCTCATGACAATGGTTGAGGTTGCTAAGATTTGGTGGCAGAAGGCAAAATGAAATGGCCACTTATATGGTATATGGTATATGGATCACTAGTTTCTGTTGAGTTACAGACTCAGCTGGCTATTTCTCCCAATGTTAGTTATTTGGAGAAAAAAAACGTGATGGTAATTTTGGGGTAACAAATACAATATTTGATGAAAGCAAATTTATTGAGGGTTAGACAAACTACAAGATGCTTTAGGCTGCAAAGTCAACACGAGACTTCTGGCCCAAATTGTGCAGAGTTTGCGTCCAGCTGCAAAGTTCAAAGGAAGAGGCCATATAAGACGATTCTCACTTCTGACACCAACTGCCAGTTCAGGGGTTTCCCCTGAACACCCTCAGTTTCAAGAATTTACTAGAAAGACTCACAGAACTCAACGAATGCCATTGAACTCATGGTTTATAATAGAGAAAGGGTAGAAATTAGGACCAATTGAAGAGACATATCATATAAGGTGGAATCTACGAGATTTTGAATGTTAAGTTTCCATTGTCTTCAGGTCATATTACCTGTCACTGTTGTACAGCAATAAACATGGAGTACTACCAACCTTGGGAGCTCACCTGATGCTAAAAAGACACTATTAAGAAAATGAAAACACAAATGAAAGGATGAGATAAGATGACCTTCAACATTAAGGCACTGGAAAGAATAGCAAACTAAACCTAAAGCAAGCAGAAGGAAGAAAATAAAAGTTAGAGAAATCAATAATTTATAATAATAATATTTGTCAGTGTTGAATAATTGATATTAATTCTTGACTAGCTTTTTAAAAAGAGAGAAATATTCACTTCCCAATTTATTCCGTGTGGCCAGTGTTACCTTGACACAAAAAATAGTCCAAATAGCATAGAAAAATAAAACTACTATAAGTATAAATGCAAATTACTTAAAAATACTAACAAATCAGATCTAGCAAAATATAAAAGAATTATACACTATGACAAAGTGAAATTTATACAAGTAATCCAAGCTTGGTTTAACAGCCCAAAATCCATTAAGGTAATACATCTTATCCATAGAATAAGAAACAAGAATTGCATGATCATCTTGATAGATTCAGAAAAGACATTTAACAAAATCCAAAAGCTTTAATGATTAAAAATAAAAATAAAAACACAATGAACCAGGAGTAGAGAACTGTCTACACCAGATACATGGCACCTGTGAGAAGCCAACAGCAAGCATGCAACTTAATGGTAAAGGATGCTTTCCTGCTATGGTCAGAGATAAGAATAGGATATATACTTTGACCTCTTCTAGTCAACACTGTACTAAAGAATTTATGCAGGGTAAATCAGCAACTAAAAAAAAACAGTCACCCATATTGAACAGGAAGAAATAAAACTTTATTTGAAAATAACATTCTTGTATATAGAAAATGTTAAGGAATCCACTGAACGATAGAACTAGTAAATTATTTCAGCAATATTACAGCATACAAGATAAATGTACAACAATCAATTGCACACATCTACAATGAAAACCCCAAAATGAAATTATGAAAACACTTCGATTTAAAATAGCATCAAAAAAAGAAATAATAATTAATTTGGAAAATGAGATACAAGAGTTTACTCTGAAAATTAAAAATTATTGTTTAAAGAATATCTAAATAATTAGCAAACATATTACAGCCATGAATTGGAAGATTTAATATTGTGTTACTTTACAATTTGAACTACAGATTTGATGAAATCTCTGCAAGTATTCCAACAGACTTCTGTCTAGAAACTGACAAGCTGATTCTAAAATACACATGGAATTGTCAGGGACTCAAAATAGCCGAAATAGTCTTGAAAAAAGAAAACATATTAGGATAATTCACACCCCAATGCTCCAAACCTTACTGCAAAGTATCAGTAATCAAGACAACACAATACTGATGAAGGAAAAATATATAGATTGATGGAATAGAATTGAGAGTCCATATATAAAACTATGTGTCTATAGTCAATGGATTCTTACAGTGTTCCCATGTGCAATTCAATGAGGAAGAGACAGTCTTTGAACGAACTGGGTCAACAACGTTCACGTGGATCACCACTTGCAATATAATAAATTCGAACACTTACCCCAAAGCATACAAAAATATTAACTCAAATGAATTAAAGACACACATGCGAGAGCTAGAATAAAGCATATGGGAAAATCTTCAGGATTTTTCATCTAGCAAAGGAATAGCTGTAACACCAAAAACATGAGCAGCAAAATAAAAATTAGATATTTAAAATTTCTTAAAATTTAAAGACATTGGTGTTTCAAAGGACAACCAAGCAAGTCAAAAGTCAGCTCAAAAATTGTGAGAAGATATTTGAAAAACACATATCTGATAAAGGATAGGAATAGATGTGTTTCCCAAAAAGATACACGAACGGTCAATAATCCCATAAAAAGATACTCAATAGCATCACTCATCATGCAACTACAAATCAAAACCACATAGATACTCTATGGCTACAACTGGCCACTTTGGAAAATAATTTGATGGCTTCTAAATATATTAAACATAGAATTGTCATATGACCCAGAAATTTATTCCTAGGTATACACACAGATTATTGGAAAGAGGTGTTCAAACACAAATTGTACACAAGTATTTTTAACAGCAGTATTGAAAATAGCCAAAGGGTGAACACAACTCAAATGTCAATAAAAATATTATTGGATAAACAAAATGTTTCATCCATGAAATTGAATGTTATACAGTTATAAAAAGAAATAAAGTGCCAATACGTACATGAAACTTGATAGCATTATGCCACCTGAAAGAAGCCAGGCAGAAAAGGCCACCTATTGTATGATTCTATTTACATGAGAACAGAATAGGAAAATCTATAGAGACAGAAAACAGATTTGTGGTTGCTTAGGATTGAGTAGGGGATGGTTGCATAGGAGGTTAACAGCTAGAGAAGGTGAGGTTTCTTTTTGAAGTGATGAAAATGCTCTAAAATTCATTGTGATGATGGCTCCACTTATCTGTGCATATACTAAAAGCCACTGACTTGTAGACTTTAATGTGTGCACTCTACACTATGTAAATTATATCTCAATAAATCCTTTCACAAATACACAGAAGAGTTAGGGGTTTTGGAATGTTGCAGCTGGGAGGAAGTTTGAAATACTGAATAGGCCTCATCGAGAATGTGAAGTTTCAGTAAAGACTTGAGGAAGTTGAATGAGCTGATGAATGGATATATGGAGGGCTATCTTTCCAAGGCAAGAAATTAACTAGAGTCTTGGTCATAAGGCAGCAGCCTGTTGGCATGTCCAGAGGACAGTGAGGTGGCCAGGACCACTGGTAAGATCAAGGGTGAAGATATAAAAGAATTTTGGCGGTTAACATGCAGCAGATCATGATGGGCTTGCAGACCATTGTAAGAATTGTTGTTTTTAGTGTACATGAAATGGGGAGTCAAGTCATTATCCCATTATCAATATTTTAATAAATTGGATCCATGAACCAAATCCAATGAGATTAAATCAATTAGTAATATTATGCAAACTTGTATTAAAATTACAAGAATTACTTGCACATTTGAGAACAGTAGAGTCATGATTGTTTATCAGCAATAATAAACATTATTAATTTTAATTGTGATCAGCTAATTGAGATTAGTTGCAATACATCATGCTTTATAATGTGACTGTCAAAAGGAAAATATGATTGTAATATCATACTACATCTATCAATGTCTTTGATTCATAAGACTATAGAGTAAGCCCCTAGTTTTCAAAGCCAACTTATGAGGCAGTGACATCTTATGCAAGTTTGCTGCTTTCTGCCACAGTGATCCTTGGTCAGCTGGCAGAAATTGTTTTACAAACGCCCCTAGGTCTAAAAATAGTTTGGATCACAATGAACACAGAAACACCTTCATCCCTTCAGAAATACCTATCAATTACTTCCAATACAGAATGAAAAATTGACAAAGGAAATATGTGGATTGTAAAAATGCCAGTTAGCTTGCATCTACATGAAAGAAAAATGCCATTTTTATTACATTAGATCATTGTTTTACATGAGTTTTGGCATAGCACTATGTTGAACCAAGGGCAAAGAGAGATGAATTAATGAAGTCTTAAGATATCAAGAATTTGAAAGAAAAGGCAGGTCATCTTTGAAGGTTAGTGACATAGCATTCATCTTCTGTTGTCACCTTTTCCGTCATTCCCTGTATGCCTGATGGACAGGTTTCACTCAAGTTCAGAGAACAGCATGCAAAATTAGCTACCAATTAATCTTTATGAAGTGAGCTGCATTTCTAGCCAGACTGAGCTTACGTTTTAGCAGGAAGCATTTTTGGGAAATGTTTATGTTAGAGTTTGCCCTTCTTGACAAGGTGAGACATAAATGTCTCCTTTAGAGACATGAATTAAGATGGGAAGACATTTGGGGGAATCATTTACTCAAACGCTAAATAATAAAGGTACACAAAGGGAAATTATACTAGATTTTCTCCAACTTGTTTTCTGTGTCTCATGCAATTCACCTTGATTCCCTTCAGTTTCTGTTTAATGTAGAAAGTGGCATTTTCATTATTTTAAGCTCCTAGCACAATGAAAGAATTTCTCTTTTTCATGAACAGGATCATAAAAGAAAGGGAGGAAGAGTGTCCTATATCATATTTATTGTTCAACAAAACACTGCTCCACGGCTTAAATTCAGTTTAAAAAAGAGAATTTATTAAACAACACATACATAAAAGGCAGTAAAGGCAAATGAGAAGAGGGCAGGATATTGAAGTATACAGACTTCAATGCTGAGTTTTATATCTTAGGAAGTTACTCCACCTTACAGAGGCTCAATTTCCCCTGATTTAGGAAGGCGATGCTAATGGGTATTGCATAGGTGTAAGTATAAAAATGTTGTATTTAAGAGAATCCCACAAGCTTGGTATAAGGCAGAAAATAAATAGATGTGACATGAATAAGTAGTTTATTACATTTTTATGCTACCTGCGGACTAGAGGAAGAAAGAAACACAGCCACTATGCTTGATTAGCATTATAGAGATGGTACAATGATGGTTGCCAGAAGCTGGGGGGAGGAAGAAATGGGGAAGCATTGTTCAATGGGTATAGAGTTTCAGTTTTAGAAGATGAAACGAATTATGGAGATGGATGGAATGGACGGCTGCACAATGTTATGAGTATATTTAGTACCACTGAACTGTACACTTAAAATGGTTAACAGAGTACATTTTATGTTATGTGTATTTTACCACAATAAAAAAATAAAATACCTTAGGAACATTTTCATTAAATAGCCCACATAAAATTCATTTTAATGCACGTGTTCATGCATAGCTTTCTATTTTTCTCTTTTCTCTTTATATTCCAAATTCTAATCAGAGAAGGGAATCCCCTCTGTACCTCCAGGATATTCAGTAAAGACCACTGGAGGTTCATGCCCTAGTGACAGTGCTCATTTAGCTCCAAATTACAGATGGCTCTAGACTAACTCCACAAAGTTTAAAGAGAAGATTTAAAACAACAACAGACAAATACTCATCCTGAAGTTACTGAACTGTCTGCCAAAACATTGTTCAAAGGTAGCCAATAAAATCTAGATATTCTAGAGCATAACATCACAATACCCAAAAACAAACTCTGACATGCAAAGAAGCCGTAAGATATATATAATTAAGATATATATTAACAGGAAAAAAATAAGTCATGTATAAATGACGGAAAGGAAGGAAATTTAAAGGTCCTTAAAGTAAATATATTTTATAAATACATATAGATAAATACATATATATGTCAAGGTATTTAAAAGAAAATTGAACATAGGAGAAAAATAGAAGTTATAAAATGAAAAATGTGACATGTCTAGATGAAAAATAAATATTTGAAATAAAAATTCCATGAGATAGAATAAGTAATGGATTTTACCCTAACATCAGAAAATTTATGGAAAATATAGAAGCTTTACAAACTAAAGGACAAAGGGTAAGCAAAAATAACAAAGCCAGAAACTCACTGATACGTCAGACAGTATGCAGCAGTGTAACATACATGTAATTAATATCTCAAAAAGGATGGGTGGGGGAATTATAGGTGAATAAAGAATGGTACACTCATTCCTGAGGGCACCGAGTAGGGAGTATAGCTTTAGATTTCTAAAGGAGGGTATTATCCATTCATGAAGGTCCAACCCCATGAACAAACACCTCCCAGTAAGCCCCACCTGCAACATTGGGGATCAAATTTTAACATGAGATTGGAAGGGGCAAGCATTCAAACCATAGCAAGAGTTAAATTTCCTTTTTAAAAAAATCACTGATATGATTCCATTTCGCCATAGATAAAAGCTAGTATTTCAGCCTAACATTGAATGTGCTTATAGCTCACCAAAAGGGCACTCTGTCTCGGGAATACAGATTTGCCTAGAGGTATCCTAGTGCAGTCAAAGAAAGAGCAATGAGGGTTAGAAAAGGTTAGTGATGGAGACACCAGCGCTGCATTTCACAAGAAATAATGTAAAAATTTTAAGGATTGGCTCTGCTAACTTACTACAGTTTACATTCCTCTCAGGTTGGAGAATTGTTGCGTTTTTTCTCAAGATAGAAAAGCAATTCAGATAATCTGAAATCTCCACAAGAAGGATAAGAAGCACAGCAGAAACTATTCTAGGCAAGAAGTCAATCCTTTCAACTGTCTGTGCTCCATAGAAACAATTTTCTGCACTGGGAGTCATATGAAGTACAGACAACAGCCAGACCTCTGATCCTCTCATTAGTGATTTCAGAAGAAATTACCAGTCAACTGAGTAATTCACTGAGTAAAGTAAACATTTGGTACTGAAAGATGTTAGACGGATAACTATTTGTATCACCATATTCATGAAGCTGGAATATTTTCCATTACTGGTATCACATCCGAATGGAAGATGTTAAAAGGTCTCTCATTTTTTAAGATGGATATGAAAGAACATTTTCTGAGAAATGAAATTATTAGCACACCTGCGAGGTGGATGGAAGAGAAAAAAAGAATAATCAGCTAGAGTTCTTCTCCTTGATAAGACAACTCACTAAAAACATAAAGAGAAAAATACGAGTTTAAAATAATTAACCAGAAGAAGACGACTCTAGAGATTTTAAATTGCTGATAAGATTTTATTTTGCTCCAAATTGAAAATAATTATATTGCTTGTGTTTTAAGGCACATAATGAGCAATTATATCACACATGATAGTTTCAGCAGTAAAATATTATCCGTTGACAGCTGGAACTCATAAAAGCATAGCACAATGTGAAGATGGAATTTGCTAAAATAAACCATCTGCTGAAAACTACTATTGTGCAAATTTAAAAATAAAGTTTAAATGTTATTTGTCTTATTTAATAGGTCTGTGAAAAAAATGCGCTCTTGGAAAAGTAACTGCTACCTTAATTAATTGTTTATTTTAGACGGCTGGTTACACTAATGCACATTAAGGAGCTACGTTGATATATTGCTAAATATTCTGCATTTACTATGTATTTGGCTTAAATTATTTGAAATTTTATAGTTAAAATAACAAATGTATATTTAAATGTTTTGGCACAAATTGCAAATATACCTTTAAAAATCGTCTTACACTCTAAATATTATTTGTCACCTATATATTTGTCTTTTCTCTATAGGAAATTTTAAATTTTTCCCTTGAAGCTTTAATTATTTGAGTCTATAAAACAAACTGATAATGTACAAATTAACAGGAAAAAAGTTTACAGATATGTGAACAAGTATGCACTTGGAGTTTACATAATATATATAAATATATCTATACAAATATTTGTATGTTATAAATAGATATACAAATATATACTATATATATAAAAACTCCAGGAAAGGCAAGGTAGTCAACACGCCTATGCTGTCTTGAGGTTACAGAAAACACAGAGCTGTAGGTTGGTAAATCAGGCTTTGTGAAAGACAGGTGGTGACAAGGAAGAAAGAAGAGCCTGACAGCAGAGGTGGTCTTGTTACATGGATGAAACCACACAGGGAGCAGCCCTCCTCTTGGGAAGTATAGATAGGAAATGGTTTTTAGAAATGTAAACGTGCCAGGCTCAGTTAATGTTTCCTAAACCCAGACAAGGGAGTATCTCAGGGAAAGCCTGTCTATATCAATGCAGATTTTTTCTACAAATACAAATCTCTACAAAAAACCCAGCTTTTCAGCTATTCTTGTAGAAGAAGCTATCCCAAGTCTTCCGAGTAGCCATCTTGAAATATGTCAAAAAGCTGCCCAGGCGCACTCCTGTAATCCCAGCACTTTGGGAGGCTGAAATGGGTAGATCACCTGAAGTCAGGAGTTGGAGACCAGCCTGACCAACATGGTGAAAACCCATCTCTACTAAATACAAAAAATTAGCCGAGTGTGGTGGTGCATGCCTGTAATCTCAGCTACCTGGGAGGCTGAGCTAGGAGAATTACTTGACCCTGGGAGGCTGAGGTTGCAGTGCGCCAAGATTGTGCCATTGCACTCTAGCCTGGGCAATAAAAGCAAAACTCCATCTCAAAAAAAATAAAATTTAGGGTAATATTTTGAGTATCTTTACCTCCATATGTACAATAAATATTATTGTGATTTTTAATCTTTTCTGTGGAGAAAACACAGGTGTGATTTCTAGTGTAGCTGAACATCGTTTATTTGACAATATTGCACTTGTGTGTGGGTGTGTGCGTGTGTAGCTACTCTTTAATTTTGTTCTCACATAATGATTAGGTATTAACAATTAATTCAGTAAAATGTATGTTTCGCAATTTTTCTCCATGTTATCATGCTTTAAATTAGTTTAATCATGCCTCTATAATGTGTACATTTTAACCTTTGACTATAGGTCTAAATCTTAGTTTGGTTCCTCTATTTGAATTTATGCTAATAAAGTCCTACAGCTAAAATGATTATATAAATTTATCTACACTTTTACTAGTATTCTGGTGTCATTTTAAATTATGTAATGAAATCAAATTTTAATTTGGATTATTGTTATCTGAGTTAAGGATCTAAATTTTTAATTTTCTTGTAAATATTACATAATTATTTCTGCATCATGTATTGACTAATCTGCCCTTTATATGGTGTGTATTATAAGAGCTTGGGATTGTTTCATTTGCAAAGATGAATGCTTGAGAAGTAGATATTTAATCATAACATTTCAAAATCTACTGGGTAACCTGGAATTGAAAAATAGCCTATAGGTTGAAAAACTCCTGTAGTGAAGAAAGAAAATAATAATATACAGTGACAATATAAATATTGTAAGTATTTATTTTATTATCACCCTGAACTTTGATAATACAAACATGTAATATCTACATATCATCCATATATCAGGTCCTAAAAAATCAATACATTCTTCAAAAATTTAGCATAACAGAAAATGCACTCTCTCTCCTTGATGGAATTAAGTTACAAATAAAAGTAAAAATAAGTAGATAAGTAGATGGAAGTAGATGTTTAAAAACAAAGAAAAGTATTTGTATTGGATAACATAAAATCTCAATGGACAATTCCAGTATTTCTAGAATTTTGGCTGTCAACTGGTGGAGAGTTTTCCCCAGGAGACATTTGTCAATGTCTACGGTTATTGTGGGCATGTCAAGACTGGTGGAGGTGTGAAATTTAGAGGTCAAACGAAACACCTAGCATTGCTAGGACAGCCTCCCACAACAAAGAATCCTTTGGTCCTAAAGGTAAGTAGCACCAAGGTTGAGAAACCATAATCTAGACAGTAAACACTACGTAGCTATTCCAAGTGCTCAGGAAAACACATCAGTGCCCTCGAGGGGAAAAGAGTAAACATTTTAATTGCTGTACATGGTGACACAAATCCATGTTGTTAATCTAATTGGAAGGGGCTGAAGCACAAAACGTAATTCAAATAGTTTACTTGAGCAAAAATGAGGACAGCTGCCTGGAAGAAACAGACCCGAGCAGCCTTGGATATGAACTCCCTTTGGAGCTTTGCAACAAGCAGTTTCTTAAAGGCAAAAAAGGGCCCAGAAGTGGGATGATGCAAAGAGGTTTGTCACAAATTCTCATTGGCTTATGGAAATAACATTTATTAGTGACTGGCTATACACTGTTACACTATTATTGGGTGTGGATTATAGTATCTGGTGTGACGTTATTGGTTAATTTATAGCTACTGTGGCAACAGCAAGCAGCCTAGAGGAACATACAGCTCAAAGCGGAGCAGGACAGAACTTCTGTCTCATTTGAATATCCCTCTGGGCCTGATTATTTAAAAGGACTTGCATTTCTCACATGAAAGTTATTTTCTTTTCTCAATGTCCATAAATGAGAATAAATAGACGTAAAATAGATCTTTTCGAGGATGAAGTAAATGGAATGAAAACCAAAACCCAAGCTGACCAGAAATCATAGATGGAAGAAAAATTCATAAATATATGGATTTTTCAAAGTGATTTTAAGCTATTAGGAATCAGTTAAATGTTGGGGGATTTTGTCTGAGAATGGGCTAAAGGAGAATGTTCCTTTTGCCTTCTGAAATTTCCCTGAAAAATCACTAACAGAAGGCAGATAAATATTAGAAAAGGCATACAGGTTTCTGCAATGTGTGTACACTGGAGCCCTTAGAACTAAGACCCAGACACACGATGCGTGCAGAAGCTTTTCTACCACATGAAGTTTACAGAAAGAATGGGGTCTTGCATCACAGGGAAAAAAAAATGTTGTGTGAGAAAACGACCCTGGCTAGCAACAGTGGACTTATTGCATAGGTGGAATCTCACTGGGAGCAGTCCTCAGAGAGAACAGACAGAAAATGTTTCTTTCAGACCTTTGGAGACCTCTGACTCTCAGTTAAGCTTTCCTAGATCCAGACAAGGGGGCAGACCTCAGAGAAAGCCTGGCTGCATCAAGGCAGATTCTCTACTGATGCAAATCTCCCCAAGACAGCTTTACAGCTAAGTTTGCATTTCCATCCCTTCTCAATAGCCATTTTGAAATTTATCAAGGAATAATATTTAGGGGTAAAATATATTAGTTTCCTTCATACAGCTATAAAACATACAGGAATACTTTTTGTCAATGTCTACTACAAATCCAATATAGCAGTAATTATAAAACCCACCAGATATTGAAGAAAAGATATGTAGAGTACATCAATTACAAATGTTGATACTAAAATGCCAAATAAAATAAAAATAATATCCAACAATATTTGAAACAGTAAGACGAGAAATTGGCAAAAAAAAAATAAAACAAATATCCACCTTGGGGATGAAAGTGTGTTTCCAAATTTGGTAATCCAATAACATTAATAATCATATTTATTAGCCCAAATTAAAAATAAACAGGGGATTCTCAGTACATGCTAAAATATATTTGTTAAAAGGCAATATTCATGTCTTTAAAGATTTTAAATGTGATAAAGAGTCTGATATTCTATATGCAAACATGTGTATGTCCATTAGAAGAAGAGAGTCCTGATTTTCATATGTTACTACATGGAGATAGAGTAGTGGACAGATTAATCTGCATATGCATAGAGAAAGCATAAAATAGAAATTTACTATCATATTAAAGGAATTTTAATTAAACAATAAAATAATTCAAAGGTAAAATTTTAAATATTTTTAACAGGTACATTCTTAATATTAGATAATATTTATAATAATTGTGAAAATATTCAATGCTAAAATAAGATACAATATCTAAACATCAGTATGAAATCTAGTATAAATATTTGCTTGTTTATACAAGGAAAATTCAAGCTTGACCTAAAATTATATAGGAAATAAAAGAAAAATTTTAAGGGAGCTCTTTAATAACATAAACATATATATATACGCACACACACATATAGCATGTATATATGTTATATGGGATAGATATAGATTTAACATGTTATATCTATATGTGTATCAATAACTACAGCTGTATATATCTACATTTCTATATATTTACTCAGTGATATAAATATAGACTGGAATAAATATAAAGACACTTATGATTCTTGGATATAAAGGATTTGATATCATAAAGACAAATTCTTTCCAAATTCACTTATGAATTCACAACAATATACAGTTTCATTAGTATAATTTAAAATTTTTAAATAAATTCCAAGATTCATTTTAAGGAATGTACATGTATACAAGCAGTCAAGAAAGAAGCAAGAGTCCACTAAACTAACTTGCTATTAAAATACATTTTTAAACTTAGTAACTAAAACTAAGCAGTACTGATTTGGAGTACTGGAATTTAGGTATATGGGATCTCAAAAGCACAGAGCTCAAAGGAGACCCCTGTATGCACGAGAGCTTAGGATGTGCTTTAGAAGGCGTTACCAAACGACGGGCAAAGTTCCTTTAGTGTCTTAGTCTTACTAGGTTTGAAAAGCCAGAGAAAAGACACAAGACCACCATATAAGAGCAAAACAAAAGGATAGGGAGAGAATGTGAAGATAGTGAAACATTTTACAGAAAGTTGTATAAAACATCCTTTAAAGAAAATGTAAAGTTTAGGATAAACATCAAAATCAGCAGAGCCACTAAATAAATAAATAGGCATTGTAAAATAGCAAGAGAAAACTTAAGTGGATTTCTAAAAAATATTGACACCTATGATTTTTAAAATATGTTGAAGAAATCCCGTATTTCACAGGGCAGCCTTTCACAACACAGATATGTTAGGACATAAAGGTCCTTCTGTTTTTAATTTACTAGTGTGTATAGGGTTACAAATGTCTTCTACCCTTGTCTTTTGTCTGATGGTGCAAAAAATTTTCATAAGGATGTATTTCTGAATGCCTGATGGATTGACATATATAATATGCTGCTAGTATTAAAATATGTGATGGAAAACGCATCCAATCTTCTCACTGTTTACATAAATTCTAGGTTTGTCCTATTTACCTCAAGCACCTATGGAGCGAATTCTTACCTTTTAATATTGCCATGGCATTCATATTGAACATAAGTTGAACTCTCTCATATGGTAGCTGGGTTCACATTCCCTTGACAATTTCGAGTTCTAACCCTCACAGTTCCTCAATGTGGCTGGCCCAGATATGGAACCTACACAGTTGCCTCCTCTGGGTGACTACCAGCTATGGAACCATTGAATACAACCTACCTGACACACCCCACAGACCTCACAGCAAACATGGACAGCCCCCACACGCCAGAGTGACCTGATCGGTTGCAGCAGGAGTCAATAAATGTGCATGCTGGAACTCACCCCACCGACTAGTGCCCCGTGGAAAACTTATTTGGGTAATGTTCTGGGCCCAATAAAGGCTGGAGTCCCACAGACCCCTTTTCTCTCTCCTGCTCCCCACTCTTCTTCCCCATTTTGTTAAGCCCTATGAGGTGTGCTACTCTATTAGTCCATTTTCACACCGCCGGTAAAGACATGCCCAAGACTGGGTAACTTCCAGAAGAAAGAGGTTTAATAGATGCACATGGCCTACCCAGCCATGTGGGTAGGCCTCACAATCATGGCGCAAGGTGAAAGGCACGTCTCACATGGCAGCAGACAAGACAAGAGAGCTTGTGCAGGGAAACTCCCCTTTATAAAACCATCAGATCTTGTAAGACTGATTCACTATCAGAAGAAAAGCATGGGAAAGACCTGCCCCCATGATTCAATTACCTCCCACCTGTTCCCTCCCACAACATGTGGGAATTCAAGATGAGATTTGGCTGGGGACACAGCTAAACCCTCTTCTCAGCTACCCTCTTCTCTCTGGATCTGTGAGTAATAAACCTACTTCTGTGATTTCCCATGTTTGGTTCTGTGGCCTCCATGGGTCTGAGCTGACCTACACTGGAACCTAACTCTCCTCCTGGCCAAGGTCTCTGAGAGTGGCTCTTGTCACAAATACACAGGACACAGGTCAGGCAACAGTCACCAGGCATCTCCTAGTCTCAACAGATGTTCTGTGAGAGGGAGGCCTGGTCGTGGGATGCACACCTGGCCACTGCTGGGGTAAGGAAGTGTCCTGTGAAAGGCACATGTTAAGCATCCACAACACCCTGACCAGAAACCCAGGAAGGCAGGGCTCCAATTGACAGTCACTCTCCAGAGACAAACCTCAAGCCCCAACTGGAGGAAAAGAAAAAAATGTAAAAAGTTGAATTTATCTTACTATGTCAATGATCCAGTAAAGACATTCTATGCCTGTACACCACATATTTTCTTCGATTGTGGATTTATTTTAGATAGAATTTTATGTCTGGCTTTCACTTTAGCCTGGTCCGTACCTCAAGCATAAGGTAAAGATTTTCCATGGGTTCTTTTCTGGTACTACTACCTGCCAGTGTAGGGTCATGTCCTATTCTTTCTTGAGGGTATCCCCCTGTTCATTATTGTCAGAGTGAGACTGTTAAGTCTTGATTTTCCTGGACAACTTCACTGCATGACTTTTAATATGATTTTTTAATATACCCTTTACTGGACAATAAATTATATATCTATCTGAGTAAGAGATATGGTCAGGAAGAGGCATTGCCTCATTCAGCTTTTCTCTTTGGTGAACTCGCATATGTTCTCCTCACCCGCCAGTCACCTCTAAACCGTATTGTTCCAAGACAACAAACAGAACTCGATTGTGTATCTTTCACCACTGGATTTGTGTTTGCTCCATAAATCTTCATGCTTAATAGGGTTTCTGTTAGCATTCTCTCTATTTGTTTTCCCATAAAATATCACAAGCCTTCTTCATATGGAATTATGGGTGAATTTCTTCAATCTGCATCATATCAAGTTAAGGTTCATGTTGATGAAAAGTAAAACATACGTTGAAAATATCAGTAATGATGTTTTGCACTCCATTTTAGCACCTGTGCTTGTGATGCAAGCACATTTTAATGCAATTGTATTCTCATGCTTTGATCATTCCTATGATGAAAATAACATTTATAGATAAAATATCTGAGTTTTATGAGGCCTTTAGTATGTGATGTGATAGAATATCAGAAGACCATACTTTTTTCTAGGTTTCTGTGCAATTGTGTCATTATTTCATCTTTACTCCTACCAGAGTAATATTGCAAAATAGATATCTTGTCATTCTTCCTGTTGTTATCAGTAAATAAGTGAAATGAAAAGCTAGATTATATAATTTATGTAGAACAAGAAAGTAGAATTCAATCTATATTCATTAATGGGACTAAGCAGTCAATTACACAGATAGGCATTTTACATTTTGAAGATCATATAGACCCATTGTCAGAAATATTATTATTTATGTCTATATGGACATCACCTGTGCATATTTACATAGAAATCAATGAGAGCTGATTTTTCATTTTTATTATATATATTTTTTGAGATAGGGTCTTGCTTTTTTGCCCAGGCTGGAATGCAGTGGTGCAATCACTGCTCACTGCAGCCTCAGTCTCCCAAGCTCAAGCAATCCTTCCACCTTGCCCTCCCAAATAGCTAGGACAACAGGTGCACATCACCATGCCCACTTTTTCTTTTAACTTTTGATAGAGATTGTGTCTTGCTATGTTTCCCAGGTTGCTTTTGAACTCCTGGGCTCAAGGAATCCTCTCATTTCAGCCTCTTCAACTGCTGGTATTACAAGCATGAACCACCATATGTGCTGGAAGCTGATTTTTAAAATACTGAGATCATATAGATGACAGCATCTGAAAAATAGACAACACCAAGCTTTATGTTAAAAGGTGTGAGAGTATCAATATTGTTGTGGCTATTGGGGAGGAAAACATTAGTAAAACCAGTAAGTTAAATCTCTTGCTTTAAACTTTGGCTTTAATTTAACAAATGTTCTATGGAGTGACAGTATGAATGTAACCATGCTATGCCCATTCACAGATGCAGTAGAGGTAAGAATTTCTCAAAGACAACTGTTCTAAGACTCAAACCGTAATGGGCTTGAAAAGAGAAAGTCGAGGAATTAGCAAATATTTTAGATATCAGATAAAAGAGAATGCCAGGTATGCGATGATAATCAGCAAACGTTGTTCACACAATACATCAAATCAGTATTTGAATTAGCTTTTGAATTACAAGGACAAATGGATCAAGTCTAGACTCTTTAGTAGATAAATCTTATTAGGATGAGATGTGTTTTCCCCTGGTTTTCCACAAGGAGATTACAAATTTGCAAACCTCAGCTGCTCTCATTTTATGCTCTCACCAAGCCAAAAGCTGAAGTTCATCAATCAGTGTGTCTAAGTGTTCACTGGTTATATACCATTTTGTAGTTTCAGCTATCTTTCCCACTTCCTAAATCATCACCTTCATTTGATCTTGTTTTTTTCCACTATCACTTCTTTATTGACCATATAAAGAATATAAGTAAGTTCTTATTTTGTTATTGTTCATTTTAGTCTAATTTCATCAAAAGATCACAATCTTTTAATTTCATTTTAATTTCAAAGATTAAATGAAACCTACATAGAAATGAGTGTAAGATTTGCATTTGCATTATTTTGGCATCAATTTGCTATCCTACCTCATGCACATAGAGATCATTTCCATGTACGTGATTTCAAACATCCAAGTGCAGTATTAAAAGCAGTTGTAAATTATGGTTCTCATTTTCATGATACAATTACAATATAAACTTCCTCTTGCTGCTGTAACCAATTACCACAAACTTCATATCTTACAATAAATTTACCGTTAATCCTACAGTTCTGTAGTTCAGAAGCCTTAAATGAAACTCACTGGGCTAACATCAAGTTTTGGGCAGGGCTGCAGTCTTTCTGAGGGCTATGTGGCAGAATCTATTACTTGATTTTTTTCAGCATCCAGAGGCCACCTTTATTCCTTGGAAGATGACCTCATTCTTATATCCTATTTTTCTTTTTTTTTTTTTTTTTTTGGTGATGGAGTCTCCTTCTGTCACCCAGGCTGGAGTGCACTGGCACGATCTCAGCTCACTGCAACCTCTGCCTCCCGGGTTCAAGTGATTCTTCTGCCTCATCTTCCTGAGTAGCTTGGAATACAGGCACTTGCCACCATGCCCAGTTAATTTTTTGTATTTTTAGTAGGGATGGGGTTTCACCATGTTAGCCAGGATGGTCTCGATCTCCTGACCTCGTGATAAACCCACCCCAGCCTCCCAAAGTGCTGGGATTAGGCGTGAGCCACCGCTCTGGGTCCTCATTCTTGTATCTTAAAAGTTAGCGATGTTGAGTAATTTCTCATGCCACCACCTCCAAGGTTGCCTTTCTTCTGCCTTCTTCTTTCACTTATAAGGAAGTTTGTGATTTCATTGATCCCACCCATTGAAGACAACCTCTCTATCATTTTACCGCAACCTTAATTTCACTTCAAATCTAATTTCACACTGCCGTACAACCTAACATATTTGTATGTTAGACTCTGGGAATTAGGACATGAAAATTTTTGGGAGGCCATTTTTTGCCTACAGCAGACATAATCTATTTACCTGCAGATTAAAGCATTCTTTATTTTTCTGTCTCCCTCTCTTTTTTAAAAATAATATGAATTGTAGTAAAGAGAAAGAAAGAAAAGAAAACAAAGAAAGAAAAAGAAGGAAGGAAAGAAGGAAGGAAGGAAACAAAGAAAGAAGAAAGAAAAGAAGGAGCAAATGAGGGAAGGAAGGGAGGGAGGGAGGATGGGAGAAAGGCAGGAAGGGAGAAAAAAGAATGCATGAACACAAGAAAGAAAGAAAGAAAGAAAGAAAGAAAGAAAGAAAGAGAAAGAAAGAATGAAAGAAAGAAAGAATGAAAGAAAGAAAGAGAAAGAAAGAGAGAAAGAAAGGAGGAAGGGAGGAAGGAAAAGAGGAAGAGAGAATGGTAAAAGGGAGGAAGGCAAAAAACAAAGAAAATAAAGAGGCGAAGGAAGGAAGGAAAAAGAGGAAAGGAAGGGAGGGAGGAAGGAAGAAAAGGAGGGCGGGCAGAAGGGAGAAAAAAGGAAAGAAAGCAAGAACGTGAGAAAGAAAGAAAGAATATGAGAAAAGAAGGAAGAAAAGGGAGGGAGAAAGGAAGAGAGGGAGGAAGGAAGGAAGAATAAGAGGAAAGAAAGAAAGAAGGAAAGAAGGAAGGAAGGAGAAAAAAGAAAGAAAAGAGAGAAAGGAGAAGAAAAAAGAAAAGAAAAGGAAGAGGAAAAGAAGAAAGTAAGGAAGAAGGCAAGGGAAGGGAAGAGAAGAGAAAGGAAGATGGAAAGAAGGAAGGAAGAATGCAAATATTGGAAATTCTGGGTTTGTTAAAGAATATGCCATACTGTTTTTTTTTTCACTTGAAAGGAAAGAGTATCTGCCATTGAAGACTGGATGTCTTGTTGGTGATATTGTTGTTCTTATCTTCCACATGGTTACTGAGTTTGTGCCTAGTCTTTCCATTACTAAGACAAAAGTGTTGAAATCTGCAAATATAATTTTGTATTTTTCTAGTTCACCTTTGATTTCTTTCCTGTTTTACCTCATGTATTTGGAGGTTCTGTTGTTAGCTGCATACCCTAATTACTAGTATGTTTACATCTTCTTGAGAATTGATTATTCTATTATCTATTATCTCTCATCTCTGATACTATTTCTTGTTTCGAACTCTGTTGTATCTAATATCAATGTAGTCCTTCCACAGCCTTATTTTAGTGTTTCCATGATATGGCTTTCTCCATATCTTGATGATAACCTATTTATATCTCTGTATATTTGGAGCAAGATATAAAATTTAGACTTGATTTTTTAAAGATTTTTCAAGATGTAATTCTTATTTCTTTTTGTTCTATTTGACATTCTCTGAGTTTCCTATATCTGAAGTTTGATTTTCTGTCACTTATTTTAGAATATTTATGGCAGTTATTTTGAAAAATATTTCTTTTGCTCCATTATTTTTCCCTCTTTTCTTTTTGGGATTTCAATCATTACTAGAATAGGTAATTTCATCTCAGTCTTATGCAGGTAATTTTTCTCAAGGTCTCAGGAATGTAGCCTTCTCACACTTCTGTTCTTTTCCTGGCTGTGTTGGTGAGCTCAGTGATATTCCTCCTTCACCTTCAAGAGCAGTTTTTTCTTGTTTTTCCTGTTTTCATACTCCCAGCATCAGGAGTATTCTAAGTGTGGCCGTTTTTGTTGCCTTCCCCTACATATTAAGTGGAATATCTTGGTCTATTTGGACTCTTATAACAAAAGAACATAAACTGGGTGACTAAAAAACAACAGATATTTCTTTTTTCACACTTCTTGAGGCTGTAAAGTCTCAGATCAAGATGCTCACAAATTCAGTGTTGATGAGAGCCCATTTCATGGTTCATAAATGGTGCCTTCTTTCTATGTCCTCACATAGTGGAAGACACACAAGAACTCCGTTGAGCTTCTTTTATAAAGGCACTAATCCCATTCATAAGGGCTCGGCCCCCAAGACCTGTTCACCTCCCAAGTGTTCTGCTCTCCCTGATCTGTGTCATATACAGACTCTCTTGGATTCCTTACCAATTGCTTGAGAGATCACAGTGGGTTTGTGGGGAAAAAGTTTTCAAGATGATGGATCTTTCCCAACTTCTGCAGCTGTCAGCCGTCTCCCAATCTCACCAGCCCCACTTTGCCTTTAGGAATTTATTGATTATTCCAGCTTTACTTGTCATAGTGGTGTCTATTTGCATCTGTCCTATGTAGGTGCATCTGTCCTCTTTCTCCTTGCAGGTTCTTGTTTTCCCTCACATTTTGACTCAGTTCTTGGCAACTTCGTTGCTATAAAAGTAAAGTCATGACTTTGAAGTTAGTTTGGTTCTTTCATTGTTGTCAGGTTAAGAACCCTATTCCATCCCAGACCTCCAAAACCCAGACTTTTTGGGGGGTTGAAATTTTAGGCTTTCTCTTTGAATTGTAGTTTTATCTTCTTTCAGTTACCATTTGCATTTTCATAATGATTAATGAGACTAAGCTTTTTTTGTGTAGTTGAATGTACTTTTGGATTTTTTTCCCAAATACCTTTTTATTTCTTCTTTATGGTTTTAGAAAATGTAGTTTACATAATTGCAGCTTGATTTTTTACTCAGTTAATGACTTGCTTAATGGAGAGAAAAAATATTAAATATATTTCCCTTTTTAATTACTGTGCTTTTCTCTTTTTTAAGGAAATGTTTCATTATGTTAAATTTCAGTGTTATTCTACTTAGCTATTCCTTAAATATTATAGTATTTTGGATTTCACATGTACATTTCTATCATATCTTGAGTTTATTATGTATAGAGTAAGGCTATTTTCTCTTTTTTGTTTTTTAAGGTAAAATCACATAATATAAAATTAATAACAACCATTTTAAAGCATACAATGCACTTGCTTTTAGTATGTTCACCATGTTCCTGGGCAATTTCATCATGTCTCTTCCAAAAACCCCTTATGCATAAAGTTGTTATACCCTATTCTGCTTCCCTGAGCCCTAATGACCACTTATCTGATTTATATCCCAATTGATTTGCCAATTCCTGATGTTTCATGTGAATAAAATCAAGTAATATTTGTCCTTCTGTGCACTTAACATAATGCTTTCAAATTTCACCAATATTATACCATATATAAGTACTTCATTCTTTGTTATAGCTGAAAATTGGGTGTCCATTTATGAGTCAACAAGATATGGATTGTTTCCACTTTTTGACTATATGAATATTACTGCTGTAAATATTCAGGCACATGTTTACTTTTTGAGCACCTATGTTTTGTGAGATTAACAGCTGACTTAAGAGAAACAATTGAAGGCAAGAGGCAGTAGAATAATATATTTAAAAGATGCAAAGGAAAAAAAACTCTCAGCCACGAATTCCTTATCCAGCAATTATTTTTCAAAAATGAAGATAACACAAAGACTTACCCAGATAAACAGAAATATTAACTGAAGTTGTTGCTGACCGACCTACCATATAAAAAAAAACTCTAAAATAAATTCCTAAGGCTAAAAGCAAGTTACAGAAGACAGTCACTTGAATCCACATTTTTAAAAAAAGCACTGGTATACGTAATATTGACATTATAAAAGGCAGTAAAAATGCATTTTTTCTCTTTATCATACATTGTTTATTAAATAACATGTGTATAATGGCCGGGCACGATGGCTCACACCTGTAATCTCAGCGCTTTGGGAGGCCAAGGCGGGCGTATTACGAGCCCAGGAGATCGAGACCATGCTGGCTAACACAGTGAAACCCCGTTTCTACTAAAAATACAAACAATGAGCCGGGCGTGATGGCGGGCGACTGTAGTCCCAGCTACTCGGGAGTCTGAAGCAGAAAAATGGCATGAAGCCGGGAGATGGAGCTTGCAGTGAGCAGAGATTGTGCCACTGCACTCCAGCCTGGGTGACAGAGGGAGACTCCATCTCCATGATAATAATAATAATAATAATATGTGCGTAATGTACTGCTGAGTATTTGACATGTAGAAATGTAATACGTCTATAACGTATTTTCCAGTAACATCAAAAAGGAGGGAGCTGGAAGAAAAATGTATTGTGATAAGGTAATAACTCTAGATGGTAAAGTAATAATTACTAAAATGTATTGTTGGCTTTGTAACTTTAATAGATGTAATGTGTAAAGTGATAATACTTTAAAATGGAGGAAATAAAAGAGATTTATATAAGAATGATGTTTCTATGTATTACTAAAATTTACTAGTATAAATTGCAAGATGATTTGAATAATTAATTTTCCATATACCTATATGGTAAACTTACAACAGCAACAAAAATTCTCAAAAATATATAATAAAATAATTCATTAGTAATCTAAAGTTCCATATTTTAGAAAATATTCTTTCATTGCAAAATAAAACAATAAAGAAAAATATTTGAGAAATATATAAAACAAACGGTAAAATGGCAGACATAAATATAATTATACCAATTATAACCTTAAATGTGAGCAGATTAAAATCCATTCCAGAGGCAGAGATTGTCAGACTGGATTAAAACAAGTGATCCCAATATATGCTGAGATGCAAGGATACTAATGGATTGAAAGTAAAAAGATGACAAAAAATATCATGCAAAGAACAATCATAAGAACACTGAACTCATTATACTCATAACACACAATATAGACTATTAAAAATGTGAATAGGATTTTAAAAATTTATATTGTAGTAAAAAGGGGGTCAACGCTTTAGGAAGACATAGCTATTACAATCATGTATGCACAGATATGAGCTAAATTGTTTCCTCTATATAGGTGCTGAAATTCTAACCACTGAATATGACCTCATTAGGAAATAGGTTCTTTGCAGCTGATCAAGTTAAGATCCAATCAGATGAGCCTGAATTCAATATGACTGATGTCCTTATTAAAAGAAGAAATTTGAGTAGAGGGAGACATACACACAGGGAGAGTACTATGTGATTATGAGGGCAGGGATTAGCCAAGGAATGCCAAAGACTGCCACTAAACCACCAGAAGGGAGAAACAAGGCACAGAACATGCTTTCTCTCATAGCCCTTGAAGGGACCATCCCTGCTGAAACCTCAGTCTCAGACTTTTAGCTTCCAGGACTATAAGACTATAAATGTACGTTGTTCAAGGCACCCAGTTTGTGTTACTTGGTTATGGCAGCCCTAGAAAACTAATACATGAACGAATAACAAAGCATAATAACATGAAGCAAAAATTGACAAAAGAGGAGCATCAGCAAAATGGCAGTGGAGACAGCTGCAATCTTTCATTTCCCCACAGAAACATCACACAACTAAGAGAAACTGTCCAAATAATCTTTGCCAAAACTCTGGAAAATGGTCAAAAGATTACAACCAAGTGAAAGCAGACTCAAGAAAAAGACAGCTGGAAAACTTTACGACATTTTTAACTTGCCTTTGCTCCAGGAAATTGGCAGTTGTGAAGTGACAGAAGCCCACGTTCCCAGTGAGGAAGACTGGTACATGGTCCAAAGGAACAAGAGAAGATCTTACCCGCAAATTATTATGTGTCTGTTCTGACTGGTCTGGGGGATACCTAAAGGACTCATGAAAGGCTTTTTTTTTTTTTCTGTGTTGCTAGAATACAGAACAGATAAGGAATGGACATTATTAAGAAACTCTGCAAAGAGACCTAACAAACCACAGATGCTTAGGGCAAAAATTAAAGTTTACACATATAGTAGATCACCTTCAGCACAGCAAGCAAAGTTGGAGAAGAGTATTTCAAAAACTAAGACATGCAAAATCATTCACGTACATGGGAGAGTCTAGAAAGTCACATGTATTTATAGGTTAAGCCACATGCTGACAAATGTCATAAGAAGACACTACGCTTTTACCTTGGCCGATCCCTCCCCTCAGTGCAAGCTCTGTGCAAGAGTGAACTTGAACTTCACTCAGTGCAAGAGTGAACACACACTTTGTGCCGGCTTTAAAGAACCCAGCACAAAGCCAGTCTGCATGGCCTAGAGACATATTTTGCTGGACAATGATTACTTGCTTTTCTTTTTGTTTTTCTTGTATTTGCCTGTTTGGTTCCTGACATACAAGAAAATCACTGTCAAAACATTAGCTTAACATTTGTTAAGGAAACAAAAAGACTTCAGTGACCACACCTTATAAAGCAAACAGTTTTGTAAATCACTTTGGAAAATTTCACTCAAAAAAAAAATCCTTAACGATATAATAAGTAAAGAAAATTTAAAACCACAAAAAATTACTGTGTTTGTAGGGGGGGGTCTGATTTACAGAGTGACCACATAGCAATTATAATTATTAGAATGTCCAGTTTTCAAAAAACTTTACAAGGCATACAAAGAATGGGAAAGTGTGGCTCATTCAAAGGAACAAAACAAATTGACAGAAAATATCCCTAAGGAAACCCAGACATCAAACTTACTAGACAAAGACTTTAAAACAACTCTTTTATTATACTTAAATGTCAAAAGGAAAACATAAACAAAGCAATAAAGGAATCAGAAAAAATATTAAAAAGTAGGAATATCAGCAAAGAGATAACAGAAATTCTGGAGTGGAAAACTACAATGATAAAAATTTAAAAATCACCAGAGGGATTTAAGAGTATATTTGCACACACAGAAGAAGCCATGAACTTGAAGAGAAGAAAATGGAAAATACTGACTCTGAGAAACAGAAAGAATAAAAAATAAACAATGAGCAGAGACTAATGAATCTGTGGGACATCATCAAATAGACCAACATTCATATTCTAGAAGGATAAATTATGTTGTTAAAAAGTTTACCATTCTTTCTTTTCACCTTTCTTCCTTCCTCCATACCCCTCCTCCTCCTTTTTACTTTTCTTCCTCTTCCTTGCTCTTCTTCTTTCTCTCCTTCATTATCCCTTTCGCTGTTTCTTTCTCCCTTTCTCTTTTTTCTTTTCTTTCGATTTTCTCAATTACTAGGAGATGTTTAAGTACCCTTACCATGTTAGTAGATATGGTTATTTCTCCCTTTAGTTCTCTTTTGAGATTTATAGTCACTCTAAGTAAAGAGATAACCCAAACATAAACGTCACAAACAGGCTTTCATACCATTCTTAATTTGGTCCTGTCATTCTTCATTGCTGTATTAACTTTCTGGTGCTTTCAAGGATGTTTTTATAACACATTGTTCAGTTTTTTCCAATGGAACGTTTATTCTGAATTATCTAATTCATATTGTAAGTATAGAGGGAGTTTAATATAAAATTATTAAACTAATATTTGTGAAAGAATGTATTTGTGCATTTAACAAATATGTTAATCCTCAGACTGTTATTGGGCAGCTGAGTATACAGGAATAAAAATAACACAATTTTTATGTGTACAATATGTATGGACTACGTTACTGGACCAAATAAATAATTTAGTTAATAACATGACAAAGAACAGAAATTGTATACACTATAGAGTATAGTAATGGAATAATGAATGATTAAAGTTATTAATATTAGGTAGAAAATGAAGGGTATCTTTGAGAGCAGAACTCAAGGAAGCAAGCAATTCGCCTTATGAGGAAAGAGTTACCTGTGGATAAAGGAGAAATTGAAAAATTTACAAGTCAAGACTTTTTGAGCAAAAACAAAAATATGACTATTAGTCACCAATTCAGTACAGTGAAAAAAAAGTTGAAGAGATATCTTGGAAGTAAACCACGTTGTGGAACAGCATGTAGGGTTTTGATAATCATGGGATGATTCTGAATTAATTTTAAATGCGATAGGAATATATGAGATAATTTCACCAGAGAATAACATGATTGTGTTTGCATTTCAAAGAGGTGTATCTGGTGCACTGTGTAGAATAAATAGGTTATGTGAGCAAATAAATGGGGAGGCTACTCTAATCCAGAGAAAAAAGTTAGTGACTTAGGTGAGAATGCTGTCAGGATGAGTGGTAGTAGTGGTGAGAAGTCGTTAGGCCATGGATGTATTTCATAGGACTGGCCAAGAGAACTGCAGCTAAATTGGAGAGTAGGGAGTGAAATGGAGAACTCAAAGATGACTCTCAGCACTGGAAGGTGACAGCTGTCACTGAAGCATGCTGATGCCTCTTATTAAGAGAGTTACTTGGGAATGGCAAGATCAAAACTTCTCACTTTCAAATTTATGAAAAATATTGTTTTCAGAACGAATGACTTTGGGATCAGAAAGCCACCATTCTAATTGATGGTTCCAAGACTACACGGGCTCACACTCCCAAGAGCAAAAGTAAATCATCACAAAGGTGCTTCTTGCTAATTCTAGAGAATGGAGAATTACTGTAACATCTTTCTGATTTTAGGAGAGGTAGTTGTTCCCTTTTTAGCCTAAAAGCTATTTTTTTAAAGCTCAGCCAAGAGACTCCATTATAATTTTCAAATGTGTGTAACTTAAATTCTCATATGAAATACCACTATGCTTAAATTAGCCAAAACATTTTTCCCATCTACAACTCTATCTTGTCATTGCAATCATTTTCACAAAAGTGACTGCAGCTCACAGACCCTAAAAGGAGAGAATCCAGGGTAGGTTATCTGATCTAGTTAGTTCCAAAGACAGGATCTAGAGATTATTTAATATGAAATAGGTCACCTGAAATGAAGTGTTTACTGAAAACAGCTTGGATCAGCCCAGTTTTCTACCACTGAACCATGCATTTGGTTTAAAAAACACAACAACTCTGGGGAATATCGGCTAATTCCAACTGTGTTGAAGGTGTTAAAGAAAAGAGCATAAAATTAAAAATGATCATCTGAGGCCTTTATAGTCTCTGCTCAAGAGACTAGAGTCTTCCATTCTTAACAAAACACCCAAATATCTTAATAATTGGGCAAAATCTAAACATCAGAGATAATTTTATCTTGAAGATTGTTAAATTATAATGGTGATTCACTACCTCGCCACGTCTCTGAGTCAAAAATTAGGTCTTTGTTTAGGAATCAGTGGTACTCTGCAACTTGGAAATAGGAAGATTTTAGAAGACTCAAACATTGACTTTCTTGTGTGCAAAAAAAAAGACATATTGAGATAAGACAAGTCTTTCCTTGCAAGGATACCTCTAATGCTCATACACCACCTCCCCTAACATTAATATAGCTTCCAGGTCACTAACCAGTTTCAGACAGCAGCCCATGCAACTAGAAATTCAAAAGATGTCGAACATAGGGTCAAGCCTAGAATAAGTAGTCTTAGCTAATTAAATATGCTTTTTTTCCCGAAATACATATTAACAAAAACTTGGATATGTCAGAGAATGCATTCTAAGTTCACTCAACCTAGGAAGGAGAAACATAATTTTAAATTAAGAGCTGAAGCATTCTTGTCCTAACAGAAAGCAAGGAAAACGAAATATCACACCGCAGGAGGGATCTCACAAATTAGTGTCAACATCAAAACCTTAAAATAGTCAAGGAGAATGCAGATTCACAATGAACTCTTGTAGTTGTTTTGTTCAGAGAAGAGATGGTTCTGAGAGAATTACAGTGAACTAACCCCAGCTGGTTTAGTTGGTGCTTTCAACTGCTGCTTCTGATCAACTCCTTTAGCTAGAATAAATTGATGATGATTTTGGCATGTGGTATTGAGATGGTTATTAATTTTTTCCTCTTATTTGCATTGTTCAATGTAGTAAATACTAGCTGTATATGGCTACTTCAATTCAAATTAATTACAATGAAATATACTTCAATATTGAATTTTTTAGTCACTCTTGGTTCATTATTGAATATCTTCAGCTAAGATTTCCCTTCTAAATACACTAAGAGGTGGCTTAATTAACTGGTCGTCCACAAATATTGAAGCTGTTGTTAACTCCTGATATATTCTCTGCAAAGAGAATATTCATGAGCCTCCTCCTGAAATCAGCAGCCTAGAGATAGTTTTATAAATTGGATAAAAGTTGGAAATCTACATACTCTTTAAGTGTTTGAAATATTAGCTTCCCAGGGAAGAAAATCAAATTCATAAGATATGTTAGGACAATTTAACTCCAGATGTTCAAAACTGAAATGACATATTCTACAATATGTGATAAAACCGCCCCCTAACAACTTAAAGCAAAACAGGGATTGACCTTAAAGACCTGCCTTTTCCTCATCCCCCAGCCAATCAGTTTTCAAATCTTGCATTTTATTTTGAAAGGTTCTTATCCCCCTGGTCTCTTGTTTCTAGACTTGGCACATATTTAATTTCGTTACCTCTATCTACTGACTTTTCTCTCTTCAATCAGTATCTATGCCTGCCAAATGTGAACATACAAAAAACAAATCAGAATGTGCCATTCTGATTTAAACTGCTTATTAGTTAATACCCTCAAGATAACATCTGGGTTCTTAGCTGCAATGAGTCAAGCCTACTTACATCTTTTTTTGTCTTTGGCTGCACATTTCCTATCACATCACACTCCAGCAATGCCAAGCTGTGCCGGCCTTCTACCCCATCTCCACTATTTTGCCCTCCGCCGCTGCGGCCTTTTGCACCCCGCCGCCGCGGCTTTTTGCCCCAGCGCCGACACGGCTTTTCCCCCGACCGCCGCCGCGGCTTTTGCCCCCACCGCCGCCGCGGCTTTTTCCCGCCACACCGCCTCAGCTTTTTGCCCGCCACGGCTTTGTGTCCCCTCCCGGAGCCAGGGATTTTTGCCCGCTGCGGCTTTTTGACCCCTCGCCGCTGCGAATTTTGCCACCATGGCTTTTTGCCCCCACCGCCGCCTCGGCTTTTTGCCCCTCGCCGCCGCTTTTTGACACCCGCCACTTTTTGCGCCCCCGCCGCGGCTTTTTGCCACCCGCCACTTTTTGCGCCCCCGCCGCCGCGGCTTTTTCCCCGCTCCCCCCGCGGCTTTTTACCCGCCGCGGCTTTTTGCCCCCACCCCGCCTCGGCTTTTTGCCTGCCACGGCTTTCTGCCCGCCGCGGCTTTTACCCACTGCCGCCGTAGCTTTTTGCCCCACCGCCGCCGCGGCTTTTTGCCCCCACCCCGCCTCGGCTTTTTGCCCGCCGCGGCTATGTGCCCCCCTCGCCGCCGCGGCGTTTTGCCCCCCCGCCGCCGCTGCTTTTTGCCCCCCCGCCGCCGCGGCTTTTCGTCCGCCGCGACTTTTTGCCCCGCTGCCGCCGCGGCTTTTTGCCCCCCTGCCACCGTGGCTTTTTGCCGCTGCTGCTTTTTACCCACCAAGGCTTTTCGCCCCCCCCCCGCTGCCGGGGCTTTTTGCCCACCTTGGCTTTTTGCCCCCCGCTGTCGCGGCTTTTTGCACCCCCGCCGCCGCGGCTTTTTGCCCCCTGCCGCCGCGGTTTTATGCCCGTCGCGGGTTTTTGCCCCCCGCCGCCGCCGCGGCTTTTTGCCCGCCGCGGCGTTTTGCCCCCCTCGCGGCGGCTTTTTGCTCTCCGCCGCCGCGGCTTTTTGCTCCCCCACCACCGCGGCTTTTTGCGCGCCTCGGCTTTTTGTTCCACCGCCGCCGCGGCTTTTTCCCCGCCGCCGCGGCTTTTTGCACCACCGCCGCCGGGGCTTTTTGCCGCCGCGGCTTTTCACCTGCCGCGGCTTTTCGTCCCCCCCCGCCCACTCCGCTGCCGCGGCTTTTTGCCCACCATGGCTTTTTGACCCCCGCTGTCGCGGCTTTTTGCACCCCCGCCGCCGCGGCTTTTTGCCTCCGCAGCTTTTTACCCGCCGCAGCTTTTCGCACCACAGCTGCCGCGGCTTTCTGCCCGCCACGAGTTTTTGCCCCCCGCTGTCGCGGCTTTTTGCCACCCCGCCGCCGCGACTTTTTGCCCGTCGCGGCGTTTCGCACCCCCGCCGCCGCGGCTTTTTGCCTCCCAACGTCGCGGCTTTTTGCCGCCCGCCGCCGCGGCTTTTCGCCGGCCGCGGCTTTCTGCCCCCCCGCCAGCGCGGCTTTTTGCCCCCCGCCGCCGTGGCTTTTTGACGCCCAGCTTTTTGCCCGCCCCGGCTTTATGCCCCCCCGCCGACCCGGCTTTTTGCCCGCTGCGGATTTTTGCCCCCCGACGTCGCGGCTTTTTGCCCACCGCCGAGGCGGCTTTTTGCCCCTCCCCCACTGCGGCTTTTTGCGTCTTTGTGCCCCCGCTGCCGCGGCTTTTTGCCGCGGTGCTTTTTGCCCGCGCCACCGCTGCTTTTGCACCTTTTTGCCCCTCGCCGCCGCGACATTATATGGTTTTTTGCTCCCACTGCTTTTTACCCCCGCCTCCGCGGCTTTTTGCCCCCGCCGCCGCGGGTTTTTGCCCCCCTCGCCGCCGCTTTTTGCCCCCGCCACAGCGGCTTTTTGTCCCCGCCGCCGCAGCTTTTTGCCGCCGTGACTTTTTGCCCCCGTTGCCGCCGCTTTTAGCCGCCGCGGCTTTTTGCCCCCGCCGCCGTGGCTCTGAGCGCGGGAGCAGCAGACTCGGCTGCCAGCTCTACTGGCGTCCTGGCAAGGGCAGCGCCAAGGGGCGCTCCTGGTCCAGCTCTCCTGGCTCAGGGGTTCCTTGCCTAGGCGCTGGTGCCCCGGGCTCCCTGCCTAGGCCCCTGTGGCCTGCATAGAGCGGCGCTGCGCGCGGAGGCGATGGGAGAGAAGAAGGAGGGCGGTGGCGGGAGTGATGCGAAGGCCGCAGAGGGTGGCGCAGGGGCTGCGGCCAGCGGGGCGCTGCAGCAGTGCGGGCAGCTCCAGAAGCTCATCGTCATCTTCATTGGCAGCCTGTGCAGTAAGTGCGCTGTGTCCAGCGACCTCACCCAGCAGGAGATATGGACTCTTGAGGTAAGGGGTTCGGGGACCCGGGCTGGGCTCCAGTAGCGGCCCGGACACCTCCTTCGGGGCCCCAGTTCACTCCTGGCCAAGTTGCATCATTGAGCTCATGTCACCCTCTTGGAGGCTTCCCCTCCCTCCTGCACTTGCTGATGCAGCAGCCAGAGGACCCGGGACCAGCCCTCACCTTGGGCAGGATTTGTGGAGTGGGTGCATGGTGGGAACTGGGATGGAGGCTCCAGGGTCCCGTGGGGGTGGGGGTGGGCTGCGCGCAGACATCCCCTTACCCCCTGAATTTCCATCTAGTCCAGGCCTCTCATCTTGTAGGTGAGGGAACCGAAGGCCTGAGGGAGAACTGACTTGCCAGGAACCCCTGTTAAGGAGAATAAACAAAGTGTTATTAAAGAAGAACTGAGTTGGGAGTCAGACCTGGAGGCCCACACCCTTGGTTAAGGCATTATACCACCTTGAGTCTGGCCTGTTGACTGAGGGTGAGCCACTCCATCCTCGTCTGATTGTGGGGTCTTGACCTCAAGGGGTTTCCTGCAGGAAGAAGCAAATGGGTTTGCTTTCCTAGCTCTATCCAGTACCTTAGGGACCCTGAGGACTGAAGAGATTCTTGGAGAGCCATCTGGTGTATGTCATTGGTGGGCCTTTTTTGAAGGTCAGTCTGCCCAGTGGGCTGGCTCAGCCCGAATGAACTGTCTTGAATCTTTGGAGTTGTCTGTGTACTTTTAAGGGCTTCTCAGCCTTGCACCAAAAGATCCCCCTGGAAATTAGGTGGGAAAACCTTAACTTGTGTAGGGCCTTGTGTTTGTCTTAAAAGTTCATGCACATGGCCAGGTGTGGTGGCTCCCACCTGTTATCCTGTCCTGGATCCCTTAAGTCAAGGAGTTTGAGACCAACCTGGACAATATAGTGAGACCCCATCTCTACAAAAAATAAAATATTAGCCAGGGGTGGTTGTGCGCATCTGTAGCCCCAGCTACTACTGTGGCTGAGGCGGAAGGAGCACTTGATCCTGCACTGAGCTGTGATCTCACCAGTGTACTCCAGCCTGGGCCACAGAGCAAGACCGTGACTCAAAAAAAAAAAAAAAGTCAAGAAAAATTCTTGAAGATTTTGCATTCTCTCCCACTATCCATTGGTTTTCATGTCAAGATAATGTCAGAAATTCTTTACAATTGCTTCCAGAAGGAGTAGCCTTTTGATCTAGTGCACAGGTGTCCAGTCTTTTGGCTTCTCGGGGCCACATTGGAAGAAGAATGCTCCTGGGCCGCACATAAAATACACTAATGCTAACAACGGCTGATGAGCTTAAAGAAAAAAAAAGGTTTGTGCATAATTTTCATGATACCCACCACCACAGATAGGCGGAAAAGTCCTTGTAGTCAAAGGGTTGGACACGGCTGATCTAGTGTCTTGTCGTCCGTTTTGGCTTTCTCCCTGATTCCAGAATGCAGGTAGAGATGTAGAGACATGCTCTCAGGACAGCTGTTGAGATAAAAAAAATTTGTTGTCATTTATTCCCAAGCACAGCTGTTTCTCATTGCATTGAAAAAGTCTCCATTCAAACTGCTGTCACATATAAAATCTATTTATGTAAGTCTGTATTTTTCTGTTGTCTTGGCCTTTGTAGGCAGTAGTGTGTTTTAACCAAGCAAACTGTCCTTCCAAATAATGAAGCTGAAGTCAGCCTACCTGCTTGCCATTTTTCTTCCCCTTCCATTTTTTTAACCTCAGAATAATTGTAAGAATGAATTAAGATTTGTGTTTAAGGCCAGGCACAGTGTCTCAGGCCTGTAATCTCAGCACTTTGGGAGGCGGAGGCGGATGTATCGCTTGAGCTCAGGAGTTGAAGACCAGCCTGGGCAACATACTGAGACTCCATCTTGTATAATCTAATTAAAATTTAAAAAAAGAAGAGAAAAAGACCTGTGTTTAAAATTTAAAAAAAGGGGGGAAAGTGTAATGCAAAATGTGGACTATGCCAGCTATGATTGGGAAAACTAGTTTTTCATACAGCATTATCTGTAGACTTGTATTAGCAGCACACTGGTCATAAGCGTTTTGCTTTCCTCAAATATGATGAGGTAAGCTAATTTAAAGTGTGTTGGGGCTTTCTGCCGCGTGGCTGCTGGAGGTGTTGAGTCCCAATTTAGCCAATTAATTTGGGTTTAGTTTTGATATGGATAAGGGAGACCAGCTTCATTCATGGTGTACACACAGTTTTGCCAATAAGGAAAAAAAAAAAGCCACCTGAATGTTCCTACTCATTAGATGCTATCTGGAGAGCTCCTACCCCACCCCCACCAAGGCCCGGGCCATTAAAAAGACTCAATGCAGCCTTTCTGTATCTCATACTATATTCTGCAAGATACTCCTGTGAAAGAAAGTTGTGCTGCATCAGCCATCTCCCTCCTGAAGATCCCTGCGGATGAGGATTTGTGTTTTGAAGGTTCTGAGAATTCCTGCAACAACAATTCTCAAACTTATTTGTCCAGGGGATCTTTTCTTCCACCGAATGTAGTTGAGGAGACACGGCCTTAAGCCTTGAGCAGAGAAAGAGACAAGAAACTGTTGGCTCACTTACAACCAAGTGTTGTTTTTATGTTTTAGTTTTTTATGAAACTGAGGCGCTGTTTGAGGTTCTAAATGAAATTGGGTGGTTGAAGAGAGGCTGGTATCCCTGTAGACTTAGGAAGCCATGAGAAGTTGCCTTTTGATGAAGGAGGTGTTTTACAAAGGGAAATAGGGTGTCTCCTGGGCATCGCATTAGCACTTAAATACATGTATCACTGAAATGAAATGAAATGATGAAATGATGAAATGAAGAAATGAAATGATGAAATGAAGAAATGAAATAATGAGATGAAATGATGAAAGGATGAAATGAAATGAAATGATGAAGTGGAATGATGAAATGAAATGATGAAATGACATGAAATGGTGAAATGAAATGAAATGAAATAATGAAGTGAAATGAAATGAAATGATGAAATGATGAAATGAAAAGATGAAATGATGAATTGAGGAAATGATATGAAATGATGAAATGAAATGATGAAATGAAGTGAATGATAAGATGATGAAATATTGAAATGAAATGATGAATTGATGAAATGAAATGATGAAATGAGATGAAAAGGTGAAATGAAACGAAATGATTAAATGAAATGAGGAGATGAAAAGATGAAATGAAATGATGAGATGAAATGAAATCATGAGATGAAATGATGAGATGAAGTGAAATGATGAAATGAAATGATGAGATGAAATGAAATAATGCAATGAAAAATGAAATGATGAGATGAAGTGAAATGATGAAATGATGAAATGAAATGATGAAATGGAATGATGAAATGCTGAAATGAAATGGTGAAATGAAATGAGGAAATGAAATGAAATGATGAAGTGAAATGATGAAATGATGAAATGAAATGATCAAATGGTGAAATGAAGAAATGATATGAAATGATGAAATGAAATGAAATGATTAAATGATGAAATAATGAAATGAAATGATGAAATGATGAATTGATGAAATGAAATGATGAAATGAGGAGATGAAAAGATGAAATGAAATGAAATGATGAGATGAAAAGATGAAATGAGATGAAATGATGAGATGAAATGAAATCATGAGTTGATGAAATGATGAGATGAAGTGAAATGATAAAATGATGAAATGACGAAGTGCAACAATTAGAAGAAATGATGAAGTGAAATAATGAAATGAAAGGATGAAATCATGAGATAAAATGATGAAAGGATGAAATGAAATGATGAAATGAGGAAATGAAAGGATGAATTGAAATGATGAAATAATGAAATGATGGAATGAAAAGATGAAATGATGAAATGATATGAAATGATGAAATGATGACATGAAGTCAAATGATGAAATGATGAAATAAATGAAATGATGAAATGATGAAGTGAAATTATGAAATGATGGAATGAAAAGATGAAATGATGAAATGATATGAAATGATGAAATGATATGAAGTCAAATGATGAAATGATGAAATAAATGAAATGATGAAATGAAATGAGATGAAATGATGAAATGATGGATGAAAAGATGAAATGAAATGATGAGATGAAATGAGATGAAATCATGAGATGAAATGATGAAATGAGATGAACTGAAATGACGAAATGAAATGTTGAGATGAAGTGATGAAATGAAATGATGAAATGAAATGAAACAATGAAATGAAGTGAAATGAAATGAGATGAAATAATGAGAGGAAATGATGAATTGATGAAATGAGATGAAAAGATGAAATGATGAAATGAAATGATGAGATGAAAAGATGAAATGATGAGATGAAATGAAATGATGAGATGAAATGAAATGATGAGATGAAATGAAATCATGAGATGAAATGATGAAATGATGAGATGAAGTGAAATGATGAAATGAAATGTTGAGATGAAATGATGAAATGAAATGAAAGAATGAAATGAAATGATGATGAGATGAAATCATGAGATGAAATGATGAAATGATGAGATGAAGAAATGATGAAATGAAATGCTGAGATGAAATGATGAAATGAAATGAAAGAATGAAATGAAATGATAAAATGATGAGATGAAATGATGAAATGATGAAAGGATGAAATGAAATGATGAAATGAGGAAATGAGATGAAATGATGAAATGATAAAATGAAAGGATGAAAGGAAATGACGAAATGAGGAAATGAAATGATGAAATAAAATGAAATACTGAAATGAAACGATGAAATAGATGAACCAAAAATACTTATTCTTTTTTTTTCTTGGCATCCTTCTAAGAGTATTTTAGTGAGGATAATTTCTAAAAATAAATTGCTATTCAATGGCTATACAGTTGGCCTTTGCACCACAGGGGTTTGAACTGTGCACGTCCACTTAGCAAAACCAACAATTCTACATCCTTATCCACACCCTGCCCATGAAAAGGATGAGGATGAAGACCTGTTTGATCATCTGCTTCCATTTAATAACTAGTAAATATATTTTCCTTATGATTTTCTTTTTTCTTTTGTCTGGCATGTTTGTTAAGAATACAGTATATAAGACATATAACATATTAAATATGTGTTAATTGACTGTGTTATTTGTAAGGCTTACAGTAGGCTATTAGTAATTAAGTTTTGGGGGAGTCAAAGTTATAGTGGATTTTCTACTGTGCAGGGGGGCCAGCACCCCAACCTCCGTGTTGCTTAAGGGTCAACTGTACATGTTATTTCCTTTCCTGTAAGAGAAAAATGATGAGAAGGTCTTTTCTCCAATAAGTGTATTCAAAATGTAGCAGATTTTAAATGTGTTGGCGCCACCATTTTGCGTCTCACTTTGAAAACTTATTATTTAAAATTGTACTAAAGCCTACCTTACTTTTCCAACATTAGAAAAAATGTTCCAAAGAAAAGAGGTGAAACCATGCTAGTTTGCCCTGAAATTTGAAATTATCTTTTAAAAATATATTTTTACATTAATTACTTCCAAAATAGAGATCAATTGCATACAAATGGCAGGTCACCCTAATCCACCCTATGACTTCACTTAGATTCATGAGGAATTGTGCCATCTAGAAAGGGCAGAGAAGAGGAATAGAGTGCTCTGCGTCTTGAAATATAAACATGCACATAGCCACATGCTTTGATTCTGTTGTCACTGTGTACTTACTACTAGGAAGAGGGCATGTTTGTGTATTTTTATGCTAATTATTATCCAATTTGTTAATGATTTACGCTTTCAGAACCATATAAAGATTTTTTTTCCTTTCAGATATAAACTATCTTACATTGTTCTTCTGATCATATGAGGGATAAATTTGCCTAAATATTCTTCAGACCATAATATTATGTCCATATAAATGCCAGTAGCAAGAGTAGAATCAACCACAACTGCCTTTGTAATTATTTAAAGCATGTCTGCCTATAAGTAATTGGCATTTTATATAATCAATAATCTTTGATATAATAATCTCTCAACTATTTGAAACATGGCTCACATGTATTAATTTTTTATGCAAATATATATATAATATCCGTGTATATGAAACTAAATTTTGGACTTTAGAACACCTTCTTAGAATCCTGACTTAAATGTCTACAGTAATAGTTGGCTTACAAAAATTTAGCACATTGTCACTATGATGAAAAAAATTACTATAAAGTTATTTAAAAAATTGTTCCACCCTAACATTTAGAATATCCTCACATTTGTGGTTAAAACCTATTGTGATTGTTCTTAGAATTTATATAAAAAATGTTCCAGAAAGTTTGAAGAGAAGCACTTTAGTCAATTTTTAGTTGATGAAGCATGAAGAAATGGCATTTCATTGACATTTTAAAAATTATTCAGATTCCCTCTTTGAATTCAAGTGTTTCAAAGACATCTTATTTTAAAATACCAAAATGGGAATAGAATATGAAGGGCTGGTTATGAGTAATATGATACACTTTTATGAGAGGATGAGATTACAATAACAATACCTCCTCTCATAGAATAGCCAGCAAGTCTCCACTAAATAACAGTGCCTTGATTTTATAGATGTTTAATCATGGATATTCAGTTAATGTGAACCATTTGTAGACACAAGAGTTTATTAAAGAATTATATAATATCTTTCAAGTATTTAGAATAGTGTTGAAATTAAGCCTGCATCCCCACGATTTTCAGCGGTGCTGATGCCTAATAAACTCAACCCCTTGCATGCCAAAATTGGCTTAAAGCCCATCTGTTATGCAAGCTACACTTCAAGCATCAAGGTTCAAAAATGTGATTTTGAATATGCAAGAGTTTGAGGAATTCACTACTCACACTTTCTTGAACAGTCTATCCAAGTGCATCAAGCAAAATGTGAGTAAAGAAATTTTGACTAAAGGATTCATAGTAATGTTGAATACATTTAATAGTAGATCTAAGATTAAAAGGTGAAAGTGAGGGTGAGAAGAGTGTATGAATGCTTTGTGTTCTGACAAAGGGAATGTAGTACCCAGGTCCTACCTGCTTGGATACATTGCCAGTGCCCACGGTAGGCCATTTTATCCAGGTTTTTAGGTTTTGTTTTGTTTTGTTTTGTTCTTTTCTTTTCAGGACAGTTAGTCCAAGACCAATAACTCCATAACTGGTAGATTTGGAAGACTTTAATAGTGCTTAACATTTTGTACATAGCTTTATAACAGTTTTCTTTTTCTTTTTTTCTGAGAGATTCTTTTCAATATACCCCATCATGGTTGAACTCAAAAATCGTTGCTTATTTAAAATCTACAACTGCTGACGTTTTGTAACGTTCGCATTCCAGGTAATTGGTTTTTTGTACATTTTCTATATTTTTCTCCATCAGTCTACCTAGATATTTGTTAGATTTAATATTTTAATATTTTTCTGAAAAAGCGAGCTTTTGCATTTTTAAATATATACCCAGTTGCTTTAATTCTGCTTTTTCGTGTACTATTTCCTCGTTTTTTTTTTTTTTTTGACATGGAGTCTTGCTCTGTCGCCCAAGCTGGAGTGCAGTCGCGTGATCTCTACTCACTGCAACTTCCACCCCGCATGTTCAAGCAATTCTCCCACCTCAGCCTCCCGAGTAGCTGGGATTACAGATGTATGCCACCATGCCAGGCTAATTTTTGTATATTTAGTAGAGAGTGGGTTTCACCATGTTAGTCCAGGCTGGTCTCGAACTCCTGACCTCAGGTGATCTATCTGCCTCGGCCTCCCAAAGTGCTGGGATTACAGGCGTGAACAATGGCGCCTGGCTATCTCCTTCATTCTTTATGTTTATTTTACTGGTTTTATCTCTCTCTCTCTCACTGTTTCTCTCCTTCTCACATTCACTTTGCAGTTGTCAAATAGCCCAGGTGATGTTACAGATTTACTCCTTATAAAAGGAGGCATTACACATTACACATGCATCTTAGTGGCCTTACAAAAGTGTTTGGTTTATTTCTATTGACTATTCACCTTTAAAATATTTCAATATTCATTAAAATAGCTTCCAACCAATATTATTAGACTTATGTTCCTAGCTTTCGTTTTTGTATTGATATCTGCCTTCATTGCTGTTTGTTTAGGAAATACATTCTGTGTCACGTTATTTCCGTGAAAATTGTTTGAATTTGTGGTATGGTCTAGAAAATGTTAATTTTTGTAAGTATTCTCTATGAACATGAAAATAACATGAATTATAATATTCATGTTCCTTATATAATATTTGCCCTTTTTAAAATCCACTTTTAAAACTTATTCTTTTAATTTTTTCTTTTATCTATTACTGAAAGATGTGTGTTTGAAATGTCTATAATATTTGGGGGCTTATCCATTTCTACTTACTTTCTGATATTTTTGCTTTATATAATTTGACTCTCTAAATACGTGTGTGTCTGTGTGTGTGAGAGAGAGTGTGTGGTTTGTGTTTATATATATATGTATGTATCAGGCTAATGCACATTTAAGTCATCACATCTTCTTAATAACTTAAAACTTTTATCACACTGGTTAGACTAACTTATTTTAATAAATGTTTCTAACTTACATTCTATTTTGTCTACATAGCAACTTTTTAAAAAATTATATTCATGTAGTATGTTTGTATATATATCATATATACACAGTATCTGTATTGTTTGAACTTCAAAGTTTCTGTAAATTTATATATTAGTTGCCTCTCTTGTAACTGTGATAGAGACGGATGTTTTAAATTTTGCCAATCTTTGTATTTTAACAAAAACATTGTCTACTTAGGTTTAAGTTAATCTTTGATCATTTATACTTAATTTTGTATTATTAATTTGTGTATATATATATATATATATATATAATGTCTCATTTTCTCCTATCAGTTTCTCTCTTCTTGTTTTAAAATTATGACTTTTATTTTTATTGTTTTCATAGATACAACAGAGAAATGCATAATGTCCAGTCAATTTATTAAAGTTCCAAAGTCGGTCACGCGCAGTGGCTCACGCCTGTAACCTCATCACTTCGGGAGGCCGAGGCGTGTGGATCATGAGGTCAGGAGTTGGAGACTAGCCTGACCAACATGGTGAAACCCCGTCTCTACCAAAAATACAAAAATTAGCCAGGCATGGTGGCACGCGGCTGTAATCCCCGCTACTCAGGAGGCTGAGGCAAGAAAATAGCTTGAACCTGGGAGGCAGAGGTTGCAGTGAACAGAGATGGCGTCACCGCACTCCAGCCTGGGAGAAAGGGTGAGTGAGACTCCTTCTCAAAAAAAAAAAAAAAAAAAAAAAGAGTTGCAAAGTCATATCTTTCTGCTTTTGTCAGACAATTAAGGGGTCTTTGAATACTTCAGCCCTAATAATTTGCTTCCTAACATACATATTGCAGTCCTTATCTAATTTTAAATATCTTTTTGTTTCAATACCTAATTTTTTGTTTATATCTATCTGTATGTTTACAATATATTTTGCTCTGTGTTCATTCTTTGATTTGAGAACTTCAATCTTTCTGAAGCATGTTTTCAGAGTTTCTTTTTAGTTCCTTTAGTGGAATTCTGATGGTGGCGTTTTGTTTTTTGTCTCTAAATATGTTATTTAGCCATAGGTTGATGAATATTTTTCTTGGTTGAGAATTTCAGAATGGCATTATTATTCTTAACAAATAATATGGTTTATTTTACCTTTCATGCTTTCAGATTTCAATATGATTAAAGGTAATTTGATTTTTCTAGTGCTAATTGAAATATTTTTCCCTTCCTGATTGTTTACTATTTCTCTAGGAGATATGTAGATGTAGGTTTATCTCCATTGTAGCTTGCTTAGCATGCATAGAATTTTTGAATATGCGGATTAGTGTCTTACAAAAGTCTAGAGAACTTTCAGCCAAAATACCATCACATATTGTCCCTTCCCAGTTCCCTTCTTCTATGAGAACACTCACTAAACACATGCTACACTTTCTCACTGTATCTTCCATGTCTCTTCATGATTCTGTCCAGGTTGTGCACTTTTAAAAATTTTATGTAATGGATTCTGAAGTATTTATGAACTCTCACCATGGCCATGTCTAATCTGATGAGTTCATTTTTGAGTTTTTAATTTAAAATACTATATACAAACTACTTTTCAAATTTGCCACATCAATTTTTTAGTCTCCTAAAAACATATTCATTTTTTAAAAAATTTTTTAAAAGCAAATGTGCTTTATATTCTAACAGTGATATTTCTACTACTGAACCTTTGTGGATCTGTTTGTACTCTTTTTCTGCTTTCCTTTCAAATGGTGGAATATAATTTCCTTGCGTACTTAGATGCCTTTGAACGACAAAGATTTATTTTTCTCTGAAAAGTATTATTGTGACCTTTTGCATATTAGTAAGAAGAAAATTTGACAAAGAGAATTTGAATTTTTTGTGAGTCTACTAAAGGCGCCACCATTCTGGGACCACATTATATTAATTCTTGGCCTAAAGGTGTTTGGACGTATGTTTGGACAGCACATTTAAACAATTTTTAAATTAATTGCTGTAAATCATTAATGATTCAGTTTCTTTAAATCTGTCCAATCTCAAGTCATTTTTATTTGCCATTTCCAGGGAATGTGAAATGGGACTAATTTACCTCTGATTCTTCTTTATACTGAGGATATAAATTTTGGTGCTAGCTTTAGGGAAGAGCTCCTGTGTGATGCCCTATCTTGGGAAAAACTATGTATTTCTTTACTGTTCTATGTGATGTATGACAGTAGGAATCTGCACTCATTCATTTTGCTACATGTCCATAGGACAAAATGAGTTTCAGTGTTTAGGTGTATTTTGTCTGCTCCCTGCATTCCCATGGTTTTGACCTTATATTTTACTTTTTTTTGTGAACATACCAATGCTTCAATTTTTTTTCAGTAATATAATCAACTATACTATAAGAAAGAGAAAAATTTTGATAAAACACAAATTTCATGTTTTCCTATTCTAATTGGCTTTTACGTAAAAATACAGGTAAAATTTATTTGTGCTTTTTTGCTATTTCTGTTTTGCTATTCTCTGTTTGTCTATGTCTTCTCCACATAGACACAATTAGGGAATTTTGTACACTCTTGTGCCAACTGCTTTGAAAGTAACAAAATGTATTTCTCGAACTCCTAGGTATAAAACTCAAGTATCCACAATTTAAATTCTTTTTTGCTCACTTCTATTATGTTTCCAGTCTCAATAGAAATCGATGCCAATCCAGAAATACAAGCATTATTCTAATACTTCTCACACATTACTGATATAGATTAAATTTTCTAGATTTCCTTAAATACTATCATTTTTCACTACTTGTATCTTAACTGTTAAGTTCAACATTTGCTATAAAATTAATATATTGTGAAAATTTCCTTACTTTCTTATTTGTCCCAGGTTCAATGTTTTGCAGTCTCTACCTCACCCTGTGAAGCATAAACATTGTACATGCTGTACAAATAATACATCTTTCATGTACTTAGAGATTGAACAATTTTTATCTGGTTGACAATAGCTAATGTTTCCTTCTTCATTTTCTATTTCCTGATTTTTTTTATTTAGTATATACTACATTATCATAAAAATAATAACGTTTTACAAACGAAAGCAAAGGCAACCCTAGGAATAAAATGCATAAATAAAATATATAAACATACATTTAGATGTACCACGTACCCTTGTAATTTATTTAGACATTTAATTTTAGTAGAATTTTAATTAAAGTCTGTGTATTATGTGTCATCGTCTTAGTATTTTTTGTATAACAAATTGTGTAAATCAAAAAGTCTCAATGTCATTATAAACTATCTTGGCAGAGGTTGATCTCCAAGGAATTATTTCTCTCCCAAGTTATGCCAATCAGAATTTCACTCTACCATAATTCTTTTAATCAGTTTCAGAGGAATAATAAATTTCAAAATTGTTCAAGGTACTTATTTTAGTTCAAGTACCTTTTGACAGGTGTAAAACTGTAGACAGACTGATACAAACATATTCTAATTGACTCAAAATTATATGGGACCTATTTTGAAATCTAGATTTTAAAATGTCGTGTCAACATACACATGTTCTCCTTGTGAAATAATTGCTTTTCATTCTCTGGATAGAATAATTTAATCTTTAAACCTTCAATTCACTGTTATAAACGAAATATTACATAAGGATATGCTTATAAAAATAATTCCCAACTAGCTTTTCAATTCAGAAATATATGTGAAAAATCATCAAACATCTAATGGATTTCAAGGAGAAATGGGTTAGTAATTTATTCCATATGTCTCAATTTTTCCTAGACTCAAGGCTTCCTTTAAAATAATTGTAGGCGTTTAAGAAACCATGTAAACTAAAAAGAAGAAATTGTGACACTGCCGGTTAGGTTTTTTAAATCCTTGGACATGATTCAATATATTCTTTAAATTGTAGCTTAATTAGACATTTTGAGTTCACCATCTTCCTTTCAGTATAGCATCCAAGCTGATTATCATAGATTAGAAGTTCAACTATCAACTGTGTTCTGAGAGTCTAAAAAAATAAATGACCGTATTTGTTTGGGTATTCTTAAAGCAGGAGTGAGGACACAGCGAAAGTGAGACAAGGAAAAGGGAACAAAATAAAACAGGAAATATAGAAAAGCCAATACCACACGTGTTAAGAGGTAAGTTCCTGTGTTAGATATCTGGGCTTAATTTTATGGGAAGCTATGTGGAGCATGCCTCAGAATTACATCACTGAATCCAGGGAGATTCTTCTTAGTTACCCTCACCTTTTCTTCCCACTTCATGCCCAGTAACAAGCTTCCGTGCTGCTAAAGAAAGTCCTCAGCTAGAAACTGGTGAAAATTCTGGAGATGAGACCTTGTAGAGTGTTAAGAATGGTTTTCTTCCCAGCAGCTACAGGTAAGGAATAGGGGCCGGGCCATTAATACATCTGCCACAAACCAATAAAGCCCTTATGCTCCTTTTGGTGATCGACAATGTATATAAAAATATTAGATGATCAAGAAGGGCTGCAGAAAGGAGGAAACAGATAAAAACAGCACACCTCTTGGTTTATTTTTATTCATTTCATCAGTTTCAAGGAAAATATTTTGGGAGTTCCTGGCATAGAGAATGTCACAAAGACATGTTTTCAATAGTAATGCTATCCCTAGGGCAGAGAAGACCCAGAGAAAGCCCAAGTGGCTGCTGGAACAAAGTCAGACACCGTGCCACCTGTCCACACTCCTTGGCTCTGCCATCATGCTGAATATCGCTTTAAAGGACTGGCTTCCCTCCCCCCAAAATTAAAAGAGCACAGACTGAGAAACTGAATGTAGGAGACAGCAGTGGATTATGCTGTTCTCAGTGGTCACCTCAGGTTTGGAAGCATTCTTTCAAATTAACCCATCTCAGGGCATCTGCAGAAAAGAAAGGTGGTACCTAACTTTTTTTCTTGTCAGCAATTGGTAGGGGTGTTTTATTGACCAAATATGTTCCCACAACCTAGTTTTTTGGGACTTACTAAATATAGTAGATTTTTAGATTTTATCATCAAAATCTATAGACAATTTTTGATTAAAATAGACTCCATATCTATGTCCTGCTTTTCTTCTTCTTATTAATTACATTGCTGTATAAAGTAACAAGACTTCAGAATCAAGAATATCTTGTCTCTTGGTATTGAATTTATACAAGGTGCTCTCTCTTTAATGCTGTCTCAAAGGACATATTTTACTCATTAAAATGGAGGATCGGAATCTAGTTGTATGCACTGCTCCAACATATTAATAATTAAAATTAGGAGGTAAATGTGGTCAAAGCTATGGAAAGACTGAGATGTCATTTATATTGATTACTATATAGCACTCTACAAACAGAAATTGTTAAATAATAGTTTATATAAATATTTTGTAGCATTTCAAATATTTGAGTGCTTGAAGTTTCTACTCATATAGTTCAGATTATCAATTTGAAGACTTACTCCGCTAGTTAATATGTTTTTAGTCTCGTTTTAGTATTATATAAAAGCAATTTTCAGTTAAATGTGTTCTGCTTAAATAAAACATTACAAATTATTGAGGACTTAATTACTTATTCATGTTCCTGTAATGTCTTTAGAAGATTTTCTTATTATTACCTATCAATATATGTATGCTTTGTCAAAGAAAAATCAAACATATATATCATTGAAATTGAAACTTTTTACAAGTACTTATTAATTCTATTGAAAAACAACATCCATAGGAACAATTACAATATAATATTGTGAACATGTAAACATATACCCTATATCTATTTTATGTATAAGCATACATGATTAAAAATATAATGAAGAATTTTTAAACCTAGTATTATAAAGTAAAAATTAGTTAACTTCTGATGATTATTTGATAATTAAGATAAAATTATTTTGATTTGGGTGATTTTAAATAAAGAAAAATATTAAATCACATGACAAAAATTCTTTATAAAATGTTTATCATTTTTACAATGGTTTTATCACTTTATTCCACTACTTTATTTTAAGATGACCTTCCTTGTTTAAAACACTGTATTCATCTTAATTAAACTAAATTCCATTTGTAAAAAAATTAACAAATGATTTGCTCTATTGTATAGTGAGGTTATAAACTGAGTCAGTATCTCAAGATTTGATCCCCATTATCATCATCTGTGGCCCTATTTGTTTTATAAATGTATTGTCTTTTTCCATGCCTGTCACATCTCTATTGCTCTTTCATTTTTCTCTTTGTCCCTTATAGGGAGCATTGCCTTTCTCTAGATTAAGCAAAAGTTGCATCTTAAAAAAGCACAATAACCTGCTCAATCCTTCTCACATAGAGAAATGTTTGTTAAGTAATTAAAGTGTAGATGATGATACGAAGAGCTTGATTAAATTAGATGCCAAAGTACCCTTGTGAATCAGAATATGAATGGTATTTAATTTCTTTGAAATCATTAATTGCTGAGTGACATTAATTAATGCAAATATTCCAGAAGTAGTTCTAGTTAGTGAAATGTATACAACATGCAAAAGATTCAGAACTCTGAAGAGCAACATTATTCTATAATTAATAATTAAGAATAAATTTACATTAATTATTGGGGAGAAATAATTATTAAGAATTAATGACTGAGAAAATGTTTTTATTTTTATTTAGAAAATTATTTTGTGCATGAGCATTACCGCAAGTTTTGCAAGAAACATAAATTTAAAGAAACAATTATGTGCACAAGATGAATATAATAACATTTTGATATTTTCCACGATTACAGTTTTATTTGGTAAATCTTTAAATGCACATCATCTAAAGATAATAAATGAATCTTGGGAATCTTATAGGTAAGGGTAAATATTAGGATGCATCCAGTTACATTTACACACACATACAGTTACATTTACACACACATACATGCATACAGACTGATACAAGTGTGTATATATATATATATGAATTTACTAATTGATTTTAACTAATATTTATAAGAGCCATTTGGATTGATATATATTGTTGAACCTGAAAAATATTTATTATATACATGTTTAAAATATACACAGAAACAAATAGTAATTGCACTAGGCATTTGAAACTGTACTAAAATATAAACTGTGAACATTTTGTGATCATTACAAATTCTTACACTGAATAAATATTTTTATTTTTACAATATTAATATGTTTGATACCTGTGTACATTTTTTACAATGTGTTATTTTATTTTTGTCATAGAGTCATGTCATGCATAATAACATTTCAGTCAAAGATGGATTACATATACAAAAGTGGTCCCATGAGATTATAATACATATTTTTACATACTTTTCTACGTTTAAGTATGTTTAGATACATAACCTCTTACCACTGTGTTCTTATTGCCTGCAGTATTCAGTAGAGTAATGTAGTACACTGGTTTGTAGCCTGGGAGAGAGAGGCTATACCATATAACCTAGACGTGGTAGGCTGTATAATCTAGGTGTTTGTAATAGTCTCTGTGATGTTTGCAAAATGATGAAATTGCCTATGGATACATCTGTTAGAACGTATCCCTATCATTCAGTGATGTGTGACTGTACGAAAATGCTCAAGGTAAATTTCAATGCCCTCCATAAAATTGTTGTACTGTGAAATACAAATCTCTCACCCATGGCATGAATATGTTTGGTAACTAAGCAGATCATGGGAAGGAGAATGTGCTGGCATCGCTGGGATGATTTTCTCACACTACATGAATAATATCTACAGACTTCGTGAATATGAGCCAGTTGCATAGAGTTAAAGTAAGCATCTCTTTGCTGGGAAATGTATCAAATGGGAGTATGAAGTGTTTTTAAAAGATACTTGTTTGTTTGTAGCTGGTAGGCCTACAGTGGCTCATGGCAATGGTTGAGGTTGCTAAGATTTGGTGGCAGAAGGCAAAATGAAATGGCCACTTATATGGTATATGGTATATGGATCACTAGTTTCTGTTGAGTTACAGACTCAGCTGGCTATTTCTCCCAATGTTAGTTATTTGGAGAAAAAAAACGTGATGGTAATTTTGGGGTAACAAATACAATATTTGATGAAAGCAATTTATTGAGGGTTAGACAAACTACAAGATGCTTTAGGCTGCAAAGTCAACATGAGACTTCTGGCCCAAATTGTGCAGAGTTGGCATCCAGCTGCAAAGTTCAAAGGAAGAGGCCATATAAGACGATTCTCACTTCTGACACCAACTGCCAGTTCAGGGGTTTCCCCTGAACACCCTCAGTTTCAAGAATTTACTAGAAACACTCACAGAACTCATTGAATGCCATTGTACTCACAGTTTATAATAGAGAAAGGGTAGAAATTAGGACCAAGTTGAAGAGACATATCATATAAGGTGGAATCTAGGAGATTTTGAATGTTAAGTTTCCATTGTCTTCAGGTCATATTACCTGTCATTGTTGTACAGCAATAAACATGGAGTACTACCAACCTTGGGAGCTCACCTGATGCTAAAAAGACACTATTTAGAAAATGAAAAGACAAATGAAAGGATGAGATAAGATGACCTTCCAAGTTAAAACACTGGAGAGAATAGCAAACTAAACCTAAAGCAAGCAGAAGGAAGAAAATAAAAATTAGAGAAATTAATAATTCATAATAATAATATTTCTTAGTGTTGAATAATTGATATTAATTCTTGACTAGCTTTTTAAAAGAGAGAAATAGTCACTTCCCAGTTTATTCTGTGCGGCCAGTGTTACCTTGATACAAAAATTAGTCCAAATAGCATAGAAAAATAAAACTACTGTAAGTATAAATGCAAAATTCCTTAAAAAATACTAACAAATCAAATCTAGCAACATATAAAAGAATTATACACTATGACAAAGTGAAATTTATACAAGTAATCCCAGGGTGGTTTAACAGCCCAAAATCCATTAAGGTAATACATCTTATCCATAGAATAAGAAACGAGAATTGCATGATCATCTCAATAGATTCGGAAAAGACATTTAACAAAATCCAAATGCTTTAATGATTAAAAATAAAAATAAAAACTCAATGAACCAGGAATAGAGAACTTTCTACACCAGATACATGGCACCTGTGAAAAGCCAACAGCAAGCATGCAACTTAATGGTAAAGGATGCTTTCCCGCTATGGTCAGAGATAAGAATAGGATATGTAGTTTGACCTCTTCTGGTCAACACTGTACTAAAGATTTTATGCAGGGCAAATCGGCAACTAAAAAAATAAGAGTCATCCATATTGAACAGGAAGAAATAAAACTTTATTTGAAAATAACATTCTTGTATATAGAAAATTTTAAGGAATCCACTGAACGATAGAACTAGTAAATTATTTCAGCAATATTACAGCATACAAGATAAATGTACAAAAATCAATTGCACACATCTACAATGAAAACCCCAAAATGAAATTAAGAAAACACTTCAATTTAAAATAGCATCAAAAAAAGAAATAATAATTAATTTGGAAAATGGGATACAAGAGTTTACTCTGAAAATTAAAAATTATTGTTTAAAGAATATCTAAATAATTAGCAAACATCTTAGCTATGAATTGGAAGATTTAATATTGTAGTACTTTACAATTTGAACTACAGATTTGATGAAATCTCTGCAAGTATCCCAACAGACTTCTGTCTAGAAACTGACAAGCTGATTCTAAAGTACACATGGAATTGTAAGGGACACAAAATACCCAAAATAATCTTGAAAAAAGAAAACATAGTAGGATAATTCACACCCCCATGCTCCAAAACTTACTGCAAAGTATCAGTAATCAAGACAACACAATACTGATGAAGGAAAAATATATAGATTGATGGAATAGAATTGAGAGTCCATATATAAAACTATGTGTCTAGTCAATGGATTCTTACAGTGTTGCCATGTGCAATTCAATGAGGAAGAGACGGTCTTTGAACAAACTGGGTCAACAACGTACACGTGGATCCACACTTTCAAAATAATAAATTCGAACACTTATCCCAAAGCATACAAAAATATTAACTCAAATGAATTAAAGACACACATGCAAGTGCTGGAATAAAGCATATGGGAAAATCTTCAGGATTTTGGATCTACCAAAGAAATAGCTGTAACCCCAAAAACATGAGCAACAAAATAAAAATTAGATAATAAAAATTTCTTAAAAATTAAAGACATTGGTGTTTCAAAGGACAACCAAGCAAGTCAAAAGGCAGCTCAAAAATTGTGAGAAGATATTTGAAAAACACGTATCTATATGTCTGTATATATATGTATCTTGAATATAGAAAAATTGTTTTAACTCAGTAACAAATATCCCAACTCAAAACTGATAAATGATAGGAATAGATGTGTTTCCCAAGAAGATACACGAACGGTCAATAATCCCATAAAAAGATACTCAATAGCATCACTCATCAGGCAATTACAAATCAAAATCACAGTTAGATGCTATATGGCTAGAACTGGCCACTTTGGAAAATAATTTGATAGCTTCTAAATATATTAAACATAGAATTGTCATATGACCCAGAAATGTATTCCTAGGTATACACCCAGATTATTGGAAAGAGGTGTTCAAACACAAATTGTACACAAGTATTTTTAGCAACAGTATTTAAAATAGCCAAAGGCTGAACACAATTCAAATGTCAATAAAAATATTATTGGATAAACAAAATGTTTCATCCATGAAATTGAATGTTATACAGCTATAAAAAGAAATAAAGTACCAATACGTACATGAACCTTGATAGCATTATGCAAACTGAAAGAAGCCAGGAAGAAAAGGCCACCTATTGTATGATTCCATTTAGATGAAAACAGAATAGGAAAATCTACAGAGACAGAAAACAGATTTGTGGTTGCTTAGGATTGAGTAGGGGACGGTTGCATAGGAGGTTAACAGCTAGAGAAGGTGGGGTTTCTTTTTGAAGTGATGAAAATACTCTAAAATTCATTGTGATGATGGTTCCACTTATCTGTGCATATACTAAAAGCCACTGACTTGTAGACATTAATGTGTGCACTCTACACTACGTAAATTATATCTCAATAAATCCTCTCAGAAATACACAGAAGAGTAAGGGGTTTTGGAATGTTGCAGCTGGGAGGCAGTTTGAAATACTGAATAGGCCTCATCGAGAATGTGAAGTTTCAGTAAAGACTTGAGGAAGTTGAATGAGCTGATGAATGGATATATGGAGGGCTATCTTTCCAAGGCAAGAAATTAACTAGAGTCTTGGTCATAAGGCAGCAGCCTGTTGGCATGTCCAGAGGACAGTGAGGTGGCTAGGACAACTGGTAAGATCAAGGGTGAAGATATAAAAGAATTTTGGCGCTTAACATGTGGCAGATCATGATGGGCTTGCAGACCATTGTAAGAATTGTTGTTTTAGTGTACATGAAATGGGGAGTCAAGCCATTATCCCATTTTCAATATTTTAATAAATTGGATCCATGAACCAAATCCAATGAGATTAAATCAATTAATAATAATATGCAAATTCATATTAAAATTACAAGAATTACTTGCACATTTGAGAACAGGAGAGTCATGATTGTTTATCAGCAATAATAAACATTATTAATTTTAATTGTGATCAGCTAATTGAGATTAATTGTAATACATCATGCTTTATAATGTGACTGTCAAAAAGAAAATATTATTGTAATCTTATACTACATATATCAATGTCTTTGATTCATAAGACTATAGAGTAAGCCCCTAGTTTTCAAAGACAACTTATGAGGCAGTGACATTTTATGCAAGTTTGCTGCTTTCTGCCACAGTGATCCTTGGTCAGCTGGCAGAAATTGTTTTACAAACGCCCCTAGGTCTAAAAATAGTTTGGATCACAATGAACACAGAAACACCTTCATCCTTTCAGAAATACCTATCAATTACTTCCAATACAGAATGAAAAATTGACAAAGGAATTATGTGGATTGTAAAAATGCCAGTTAGCTTGCATCTACATGAAAGAAAAATGCCATTTTTATTACATTAGATCATTGTTTTACATGAGTTTTGGCATAGCACAATGTTGAACCAAGGGCAAAGAGAGATGAATTAATGAAGTCTTAAGACATCAAGAATTTGAAAGAAAAGACAGGTCATCTTTGAAGGTTAGTGACATAGCATTCATCTTCTCTTGTCACCTTTTCCGTCATTCCCTGTATGCCTGATGAACAGGTTTCACTCAAGTTCAGACAACAGCATGCAAAATTAGCTACCAATTAATCTTTATGAAGTGAGCTGCATTTCTAGCCAGACTGAGCTTACGTTTTAGCAGGAAGCATTTTTGGGAAATGTTGATGTTAGAGTTTGCCCTTCTTGACAAGGTGAGACATAAATGTCTCCTTTAGAGACATGAATTAAGATGGGAAGATATATGGGGGAATCATTTACTCAAACGCTAAATAATAAAGGTACACAAAGGGCAAATTATACTAGATTTCTGTCCCACTTGCTTTCTACGTCTCATGCAATTCACCTTGATTCCTTTCAGTTTCTGTTTAATGTAGAAAGTGGCATTTTCATTATTTTAAGCTTCTAGCACAATGAAAGAATTTCTCTTTTTCATGAACAGGATCATAAATGAAAGGGAGGAAGAGTGTCCTATATCATATTTATTGTTCAACAAAACACTGCTCCACGGCTTACATTCAGTTTAAAAAAGAGAATTTATTGAACATCTAACACATACATAAAAGGCAGTAAAGACAAATGAGAAGAGGGCAGGATATTGAAGTATACAGACTTCAATGCTGAGTTTTATATCTTAGGATGTTACTCCACCTTACAGAGGCTCAATTTCCCCTTATTTAGGAAGGCGATGTTAATGGGTATTACATAGGTGTAAGTATAAAAATGTTGTATTTAAGAGAAACCTACAACCTTGGTATAAGGCAGAAAATAAATAGATGTGACATGAATAAGTAGTTTATTATATTTGTATGCTACCTGCGGACTAGAGGAAGCAAGAAACACAGCCACTATGCTTGATTAGCATTATAGAGATGGTACAATGATGGTTGCCAGAAGCTGGGGGGAGGAAGAAATGGGGAAGTATTGTTTAATAGGTATAGAGTTTCAGTTTTACAAGATGAAAAGAATTATGGAGATGGATGTTATGGACGGATGAACAAGGTTATGACTATATTTAGTACCACTGAACTGTACCCTTAATATGGTTAACAGAGTACATTTTATGTTATGTGAATTTTACCACAATAAAAAAGTAAAATACTTTAGGAACACTTTCATGAAAAAACCCACATAAAATTCATTTTAATGCACGTGTTTATGCATAGCTTTCTAATTTTCTCTTTTCTCTTTATATTCCAAATTCTAATCAGAGAAGGGAATCCCCTCTGTACCTCCAGGATATTCAGTAAAGACCAGTGGAGGCTCATGCCCTAGTGACAGTGCTCATTTAGCTCCAAATTACAGATGGCTCTACACTAATTCCACAAACTTTAAAGAGAAGATTTAAAACAACAACAGACAAATGCTCATCCTGAAGTTACTGAACTGCCTGCCACAACATTGTTCAAAGGTAGCCAATAAAATCTAGATATTCAATAGCATAACATCAAAATACCCCCCAAAAAAAAACTCTGTCATGCAAAGAAGCCACAAGATATATATAATTAAGATATATATTAACAGGATAAAAATAAGTCATTTATAAATGACGGAAAAGAGGGAAATTTAAAGGTCCTTAAAGTAAATATATTTTATAAATACATATAGATAAATACATATATATGTCAAGGTACTTAAAAGAAAATTGAACATAGGAGAAAAATAGAAGTTATAAAATGAAAAATGTGACATGTCTAGATGAAAAATAAATATTTGAAATAAAAATTCCATGAGATAAAATAAGTAATGGAATTTATTTATAGAAAATAATAGAAGCTTTACAAACTAAAGGACAAAGGGTAAACTAAAATAAGAAAGCCAGAAACTCACTGATACGTCAGACAATATGCAGCAGTGTAACATACATGTAATTAATATCTCAAAAAGGATGGGTGGGGGAATTATATGTGAATAAAGAATGGTACACTCATTCCTGGGGGCACCAAGGAGGGAGGATAGCTTTAGATTTCTTTTTTTTTTTTTTTTTTTGAGACGGAGTCTCGCTCTGTCGCCCAGGCTGGAGTGCAGTGGTGGGATCTCGGCTCACTGCAAGCCCCGCCTCCCGGGTTCACGCCATTCTCCTGCCTCAGCCTCCCAAGTAGCTGAAACTACAGGCGCCCGCCACTACGCCCGGCTAATTTTTTGTATTTTTAGTAGAGACGGGGTTTCACCGTTTTAGCCGGGATGGTCTCGATCTCCTGACCTCGTGATCCGCCCGCCTCGGCCTCCCTAAGTGCTGGGATTACAGGCGTGAGCCACCGCGCCCGGCCTAGATTTCTAAGGGAGGGTATTATCCATTCATGAAGGTCCAAACCCATGAACAAACACCTCCCAGTAAGCCCCACCTGCAACGTTGGGGATCAAATTTTAACAAGAGATTGGTAGGGGCAAGCATTCAAACCATAGTAAGAGTTAAATTTCCTTTTTAAAAAAATCACTGATATGATTCCATTTCGCCATAGATAAAAACTAGTATTTCAGCCTACCATCGAGTGTGCTTATAGCTCACCAAAAGGGCACTCTGTCTCGGGAATACAGATTTGCCTAGAGGTATCCTAGTGCAGTCAAAGGAAGCGCAATGAGGGATAGAGAAGGTTAGTGATGGAGACACCAGCGCTGCATTTTGCAACCAACAATGTAAAAATTTTACGGTTTGGTTCTGCTAACTTACTACAGTTTACATTCCTCTCAGCTGGGAGAATTGTTGCTTTTTTTCTCAAGATAGAAAAGCAATTCAGATAATCTGAAATCTCCACAAGAAGGATAAGAAGCACAGCAGAAACTATTCTAGGCAGGAAGTCAATCCTTTCAACTGTCTGTGCTCCATAGAAACAATTGTCTGCACTGGGAGTCATATGAGGTACAGACAACAGCCAGTCCTCTGATCCTCTCATTAGTGATTTCAGAAGAAATTACCAGTCAACTGAGTAATTCACTGAGTAAAGTAAACATTTGGCACTGAAAGAGGTTAGACGGATAACTATTTGTATCACCATATTCATGAAGCTGCAATATTTTCCATTACTGGTAGCACTTACGAATGGAAGATGTTATAATGTCTCTCATCTTGTAAGATGGATATGAAAGAACATTTTCTGAGAAATGAAATTATTAACACACCTGCGAGGTGGATGGAAAAAAAAAGAATAATCAGCTTGAGTTCTTCTCCTTGATAAGATAACTCACTAAACACATAAAGAGAAAAATACAAGTTTAAAATAATTAACCAGAAGAAGACGACTCTAGAGTTTTTAAATTGCTGATAAGATTTTAATTTGCTCCAAGTTGAAAATAATTATATTGTTTGTGTTTTAAGGCACATAATGAACAATTATATCACACATGATGGTTTCAGCAGTAAAATATTATCTGTTAAAAGCTGGAACTCATAAAAGCATAGCACAATGTGAAGATGGAATTTGCTAAAATAAACCATCTGCTGAAAACTACTATTCTGCAAATTTAAAAATAAAGTTTAAATGTTATTTGTCTTATTTAATAGGTCTGTGAAAAAAATGCGCTCTTTGAAAAGTAGCTCCTACCTTAATTAATTCTTTTTTTATTACACTTTAATTTTTAGGGTACATGTGCCCATTGTGCAGGTTAGTTACATATGTATGCATGTGCCATGCTGGTGCACTGCACCCACTAACTCGTCATCTAGCATTAGGTATATCTTCCAATGCTATCCCTCCCCCCACCCACCCCACCACAGTCCCCAGAGTGTGATATTCCCCTTCCTGTGTCCATGTGATCTCATTGTTCAATTCCCACCTGTGAGTGAGAATATGCGGTGTTTAATTTTTTGTTCTTGCGATAATTCACCGAGAATGATGATTTCCATTTTCATCCATGTCCCTACAAATGACATGAACTCATCATTTTTATGGCTGCATTGTATTCCATGGTGTGTATGTACCACATTTTCTTTTGACTATAGGTCTCAATCTTACTTCCGTTCCTGTATTTGAATTTTCGCTAATAAAGTTCTACAGCTAAAAAAGATTATATAAACTTATCTACATTTTTACTAGTATTCTGGTGTCATTTTAAATTATGTAATGAAATCACATTTTAATTTGGATTATTGTTATCTGAGTTAAGGATCTAAATTTTTAATTTTCTTATAAATATTACATAATTATTTCTGAACCATATATTGACTAATCTGCCCTTTATATGATGTGCATTATAAGAGCTTGGGATTGTTTCATTTGCAAAGATGAATGCTTGAGAAGTAGATATTTAATCATAACATTTCAAAATCTACTGGATAACCTAGAATTGAAAAATAGCCTATAGGTTGAAAAACTCCTGTAGTGAAGAAAGAAAATAACTAATATAGAGTGATAATATAAATATTATAAGTATTTATTTCCTTATCGCCCTGAAATTTGATAATACAAACATGTAATATCTACATATCATCCATATATCAGGTCATAAATATTCAATACATTCTTCAAAAATTTAGCATAACAGAAAATACACTCTCTCTCCTTGATGGAATTAAGTTACAAATAAACGTAAAAATAAGTAGATAAGTAGATGGAAGTAGATGTTTAAAAACAAATAAAAGTATTTGTTTTGGATAACATACAATCTCAATGGACAATTCCAATATTTCCAGAACTTTGGTTGTCAACTGGTGGAGAGTTTTCCCCAGGAGACATTTGTCAATGTCTAGGGTTATTGTGGGCATGTCAAGACTGGTGGAGGTGTGAAATTTAGAGGTCAAACGAAACACCTAGCATTGCTAGGGCAGCCTCCCACAACAAAGAATCTTCTGGTCCTAAAGGTAAGTAGCACCTAGGTTGAGAAACCATAATCTAGACAGTAAACACTACATAGCTATTCCAAGTGCTCAGGAAAACACATCAGTGCCCTCGAGGGGAAAAGTGTAAACATTTTAGTTGCTGTACATGGTGACACAAATCCATGTTGTTAATGTAAGTGGAAGGGGCTGACGCACAAAACGTAATTCAAAGAGTTTACTTGAGCCACAATGAGGACAGCTGCCTGGAAGAAACAGACCCAAGTATCCTTGGATATGAACTCCCTTTGGAGCTTTGCAACAAGCAGTTTCTTAAAGGCAAAAAAGGGTCCAGAAGTGGGATGATGCAAAGAGGTTTGTCACAAATTCTCATTGGCTTATGGAAATAACATTTATTAGTGACTGGCTATACACTGTTACACTATTATTGGGTGTGGATTATAGTGTCTGGTGTGGCGTTATTTGTCAATTTATAGCTACTGTGGCAACAGCAAGCAGCCTAGATGAACACACAGCTCAAAGCGGAGCAGGACAGAACTGCTGTCTCATTTGAATATCTCTCTGGGCCTGATTATTTAAAAGGACTTGCATTTCTCACATGAAAGTTATTTTCTTTTCTCAATGTCCATAAATGAGAATAAATAGACATAAAATAGATCTTTTCAAGGATGAAGTAAATAGAAAGAAAAACAAAACCCAAGCTGACCAGAAATCATAGAGGGAAGAAAAGGTTATAAATATATGGATTTTTCAAAGTGATTTTAAGCTATTAGGAATCAGTTAAATGTTGGGGTATTTTGTCTGAGAATGGGCTAAAGGAGAATGTCCCTTTCGCCTTCTGAAGTTTCCCTGAAAATCACTAAGAGGAGGCAGGTAAATAGCAGAAAAGGCATGCAGGTTTCTGCAATGTGTGTACACCGGAGCCCTTAGAACGAAGACCCAGACACACGATGCGTGCAGAAGCTTATCTACCACATGAAGTTTACAGAAAGAATGGGGTCTTGGATCACAGGAAAAAAAAAAAAAGGTTATGTGAGAAAACGACCCTGGCTAGCAACAGTGGACTTATTGCATAGGTGGAACCTCACTGGGAGCAGTCCTCAGAGAGAATAGACCGAAAAGGTTTCTTTCAGACCTTAGGAGACCTCAGACTCTCAGTTAAGCTTTCCTAGATCCAGACAAGGGGGCAGACCTCAGAGAAAGCCTGGCTGCATCAAGGCAGATTCTCTACCGATGCAAATCTCCCCAAGACAGCTTTACAGCTAAGTTTGCATTTCCAGCCCTTCTCAATAGCCATTTTGAAATTTATCAAGGAAATATATTTAGGGGTAAAACATATTAGTTTCCTTCATACAGCTATAAAACATACAGGAATACTTTTTGTCAATGTCTACTACAAATCCAATATAACAGTAAATATAAAACCCAACAGATATTGAAGAAAAAATATGTAGAGTACATCAATTACAAATGTTGATACTAAAATGCCAAATAAAATAAAAATAATATCCAACAATGTTTGAAACAGTAAGACAAGAAATTGGCAAAAAAAAATAAAACAAATATCCACCTTGGGGATGAAAGTGTGTTTCCAAATTTGGTAATACAATAATATTAATCATATTGATTAGCCCAAATTAAAAATAAACAGGGGATTCTCAGTACATGCTAAAATATATTTGTTAGAAGACAATATTCATGTCTTTAAAGATTTTAAATGCTATAAAGAGTCTGATATTCTATGTGCAAACATGTGTATGTCCCTTAGAAGAAGAGAGACCTTATTTTAATATGTTACTACATAGAGATAAAGAAGTGCATAGATTAATTTGCATATGCATAGAGAAAGCATAAAATAGAAATTTACTATCATATTAAAGGAATTTTAATTCAACAATAAAATAATTCAATGTTAAAATAAATATTTTTAACAGGTACATTCTTAATATTAGATAATATTTATAATAATTGTGAAAATATTCAATGCTAAAATAAGACAAAATGTCTAAACGGCAGTATTAAAACTAGTATAAATATTTGCTTGTTTATACAAGGAAAATTCAAGCTCAAACTAAAATCATATAGGAAATAAAAGAAAAATTTATGGGAGCTCTTAATAACATAAACATATATATATACACACACACATATAACATGTATATATGTTATATGGGATAGATATAGATTTAACATGTAATATCTATATTTGTATCTATAACTGCAGCTGTATATATCTACATTTCTATATATTTACTCAGTGATATAAATATAGACTGGATTAAATGTAAAGACACATATGATTCTTGGATAAAAAGGATTCAGTGTCATAAAGACAAATTCTTTCCAAATTCACTTATGAATTCACAACAGTGTACAGTTTCATTAGTATAATTTAAAATTTTTAAATAAATTCCAAGATTCATTTAAAGGAATATACATGTATATAAGCAGTCAAGAAAGAAGCAAGAGTGCACTAAACTAACTTGCTATTAAAATACATTTTTAAACTTAGTATCTACAACTGAGCAGTACTGATTTGGAGTACTGGAATTTAGGTGTATGGGATCTCAAAAGCACAGAGCTCAAAGGAGACGCCTGTATGCACGAGAGCTTAGGATGTGCTTTAGAAGGCATTACCAAACCACGGGCAAAGTTACTTTAGTGTCTTAGTCTTACTAGGTTTGAAAAGCCAGAGAAAAGACACAAGACCACCATATAAGAGCAAAACAAAAGGACAGGGAGAGAATGTGAAGATAGTGAAACATTTTACATAAAGTTGTATAAAACATCCTTTAAAGAAAATGTAAAGTTTAGGATATACATCAAAATCAGCAGAGCCACTAAATAAATAAATAGGCACTGTAAAATAGCAAGAGAAAATTTAAGTGGATTTCTAAAAAATATTGACACCTATGATTTTTAAAATATGTTGAAGAAATCCCGTATTTCACAGGGCAGCCTTTCACAACACAGATATGTTAGGACATAAAGGTCCTTCAGTTTTTAATTTACTAGTGTGTATAGGGTTACAAATGTCTTCTACCCTTGTCTTTTGTCTGATGGTGCAAAAAAAATTTCATAAGCATGTATTTCTGAATGCCTGATGGATTGACATACAAAATATGCTGCTAGTATTAAAATATGTGATGGAAAACGCATCCAATCTTCTCACTGTTTACATAAATTCTAGGTTTGTCCTATTTACCTCAAGCACGTATGGAGCGAATTCTTACCTTTGAATATTGCCATGGCATTCACATTGAACATAAGTTGAACTCTCCCATATGGTAGCTGGGTTCACATTCCCTTGACAATTTCCAGTTCTAACCCTCACAGTTCCTCAGTGTGGCTGGCCCAGATATGGACCCTACACAGTTGCCTTCTCCGGGTGTCTACCAGCTATAGAACCATTGGATACAACCTACCTGACTCACCCCACAGACTTCACAGTGCACATGGACAGCCCCCACACGCCAGAGTGACCTGCTCAGTTGCAGCGGGAGTCAAGAAATGTGCCTGCTGGCACTCACCCCACCGACTAGTGCCCCGTGGAAAACTTATTTGGGTAATATTCTGGGCCCAATAAAGGCTGGAGTCCCACAGACCCCTTTTCTCTCTCCTGCTCCCCACTCATCTTCCCCATTTTGTTAAGCCCTATGAGGTGTGCTACTCTATTAGTCCATTTTCACACCACCGGTAAAGACATGCCCAAGACTGGGTAATTTCTAGAAGAAAGAGGTTTAATAGATGCACAGTTCCACATGGGTGGGTAGGCCTCACAATCATGGCACAAGGTGAAAGGCACGTCTCACATGGCAGCAGACAAGACAAGAGAGCTTGTGCAGGGAAACTCCCCTTTATAAAACCATCAGATCTTGTGAGACATATTCACTATTAGAAGAACAGCATGGGAAAGACCTGCCCCCATGATTCAATTACCTCCCACCTGTTCCCTCCCACAACATGTGGGAATTCAAGATGAGATTTGGCTGGGGACACAGCTAAACCCTCTTCTCAGCTACCCTCTTCTCTCTGGATCTGTGAGTAATAAACCTACTTCTGTGATTTCCCATGTTTGGTTCTGTGGCCTCCATGGGTCTGAGCTGACCTACACTGGAACCTAACTCTCCTCCTGGCCAGGGTCTCTGAGAGTGGCTCTTGTCAGAAATACACAGGACACAGGTCAGGCAACAGTCACCAGGCATCTCCTAGTCTCAACAAATGTTCTGTGAGAGGGAGACCTGGTCGTGGGATGCACACCTGGCCACTGCTGGGGTAAGGAAATGTCCTGTGAAAGGCACATGTTAAGCATCCACAACCCCCTGACCAGAAACCCAGAAAGGCAGGGCTCCAATTGACAGTCACTCTCCAGAGACAAACCTCTAGCCCTAAGTGGAGGAAAAGAAAACAATGTAAAAAGTTGAATTTGTCTTACTATTTAAATGATCCAGTAAAGACATTCTATGCCTGTACACCACATATTTTCTTCGATTGTGGATTTATTTTAGATAGAATTTTATGTCTGGTTTTCACTTCAGCCCGGTCCCTATCTCAAGCGTAAGGTAAAGATTTTCCATGGGTTCTTTCCTGGTACTACTACCTGCCAGTGTGGGGTCATGTCCTAGTCTATCTTGAGGGAACCCGCCTGTTCATTACTGTCAGAGTGATACTGTTAATTCTTGATTTCCCTGGACAACTTCACTGTATGACTTTTAATATGATTTTTTAATATACCCTTTACTGGACAATAAATTATATAGTTATCTGAGTAAGAGATATGGTCAGGAAGAGGCATTGCCTCATTCAGCTTTTCTCTTTGGTGAGCTCGCATATGTTCTCCTCACCCGCCAGTCACCTCTAAACCGTATTGTTCCAAGACAACAAACAGAACTCGATTGTGTATCTTTCACCACTGGATTTGTGTTTGCTCCATAAAGCTTCATGCTTAATAGGGTTTCTGTTAGCATTTTCTCTATTTATTTTCCCATAAAATATCACAGGCCTTCTTCATATGGAATTATGGTTGATTTCCTTCAATCTGCATCATATTAAGTTGAGGTTCATGTTGATGAAAAGTAAAACATACATTGAAAATATCAGTAATGATGTTTTCCCCTCCTTTTTAGCACCTGTGCTTGTGATACAAGCACATTTTAATACAATTGTAGTCTCATGCTTTGATCATTCCTATGAGGAAAGTAACATTTTTAGATAAAATATCTGAGTTTTATGAGGCCTTTAGTATGTGATGTGATAGAATATCAGAAGACCATACTTTTTTCTAGTTTTCCTTGCTATTCTATCATTGTTTCAGCTTTACTCCTATCAGAGTAATTTTCCAAAATAGATATCTTGTCATTCTTCCTGTTGTTATTAGTAAATAAGTGAAATGAAAAGCTAGATTATATAATTTATGGAGAACAAGAAAGTAGAATTGAATCTATATTCATTAATGAGACTGACCAGTCAATTACACAGATAGGCATTTTACATTTTGAAGATCGTATGGACCTATTGTCAGAAATATTATTATTTATGTCTATATGGACATCACCTGTGCATATTTACATAGAAATCAATGAGAGCTGATTTTTGTTTTTATTATATATATTTTTTTGAGATAGGGTCTTTCTTTGTTGCCCAGGCTAGAGTGCAGTGGTGCAATCACTGCTCACTGCAGCCTCAGCCTCCCAAGCTGAAGCAATCCTTCCACCTTGGCCTCCCAAATAGCTAGGACAACAGGTGCACATCACCATGCCCACATTTTTTTTTTAGCTTTTGACAGAGACTGGGTCTTGCTATGTTGCCCAGGTTGCTTTTGATCTCCTGGGCTCAAGGAATCCTCTCATTTCAGCCTCTTCAACTGCTGGTATTACAAGCATGAACCACCATATGTGCTGGAAGCTGATTTTTAAAATACCGAGATCATATAGATGACAGCACCTGAAAAATAGACAGCACCAAGCTTTATGTTAAAAGGTGTGAGAGTATCAATATTGTTGTGGCTATTGGGGAGGAAACATTAGTAAAACCAGTAAGTTAAAGCTCTTGCTTTAAACTTTGTCTTTAATATAACAAATGTTCTATGGAGTGACAATATGCATGTAACCATGCTATGCCCATTCACAGATGCAGTAGAGGGAAGAATTTCTCAAAGACAACTGTTCTAAGACTCAAATTAAACCGTACTGGGTTTGAAAAGAGAAAGTCCAGGAATTACCAAATATTTTAGATATCAGATAAAAGAGAATGCCAGGTATGCGATGAAAATCAGCAATGGTTGTTCACACAATATATCAGATCAGTATTTGAATTAGCTTTTGAATTACAAGGACAAATGGATCAAGTCTAGACTCTTTAGTAGATAAGTCTTATTAGGCTGAGATGTGTTTTCCCCTGGTTTTCCACAAGGAGATTACAAATTTGCAAACCTCAGCTGCTCTCATGTTATGCTCTCACAAAGCCAAAAGCTGAAGTTCATCAATCAGTGTGTCTAAGTGTTCACTGGTTATATACCATTTTGTAGTTTCAGCTATCTTTCCAAATTCTTAAATCATCACCTTCATTTGATCTTGTTTTTTTCCACTCTCACTTCTTTATTGACCATATAAAGAATATAAGTAAGTTCTTATTTTGTTATTGTTCATTTTAGTCTAATTTCATCAAAAGATCACCATCTTTTTATTTCATTTTAATTTCAAAGATTAAATAAAACCTACATAGAAATGAGTGTAAGATTTGCATTTGCATTATTTTGGCATCAATTTGTTATCCTCCCTCATGCACATAGAGATCATTTCCATGTACGTGATTTCAAACATCCAAGTGCAGTATTAAAAGCAGTTGTAAATTACGGTTCTCATTTTCATGATACAATTACAATATAAACTTCCTCTTGCTGCTGTAACCAATTACCACAAACTTCATATCTTATAATAAAGTGACCGTTAATCCTACAGTTCTGTAGTTCAGAAGCCTTAAATGAAACTCACTGGGCTAACATCAAGTTTTGGGCAAGGCTGCAGTCTTTCTGAGGGCTATGTGGCAGAATTTATTACTTGATTTTTTTCAGCATCCAGAGGCCACCTTTATTCCTTGGAACATGACCTCATTCTTATACCTATTTTTCTTTTTTTTTTTGGTGATGGGGTCTCCTTCTGTCACCCAGGCTGGAGTGCATTGGCATGATCTCAGCTCACTGCAACCTCTGCCTCCTGGATTCAAGTGATTCTTCTGCCTCAGCTTCCTGAGTAGCTTGGAATACAGGCACTTGCCACCATGCCCAGTTAATTTTTTGTATTTTTAGTAGGGATGGGGTTTCACCATGTTAGCCAGGATGGTCTCGATCTCCTGACCTCGTGATAAACCCACCCCAGCCTCCCAAAGTGCTGGGATTAGGAGTGAGCCACCGCACTGGGCCCTCATTCTTGTATGTTAAAAGTCAGTGATGTTGAGTAATTTCTCATGCCACCACCTCCAAGGTTGCCTTTCTTCTGCCTTCTTCTTTCACTTATAAGGAAGTTTGTCATTTCATTGATCCCACCCATTGAAGACAATCTCTCTATCATTTTACCGCAACCTTAATTTCACTTGAAATCTAATTTCACACTGCCATGCAACCTAACATATTTGTATGTTAGACTCTGGGAATTAGGACATGAAATTTTTTTGGAGGCCATTCTTTTGCCTACAGCAGATATAATCTATTTACCTGCAGATTAAAGCGTTCTTTATTTTTCTGTCTCCCTCTCTTAATTTTTTTAAAATAATATGAATTGTAATAAAGAGAAAGAAAGAAAAGAAAAGAAAGAAAAAGAAGGAAGGAAAGAAGGAAGGAAGGAAAGAAATAAAGAAAGAAGAAAGAAAAGAAGGAAGAAATGAGGGAAGAAGGGAGGGAGGGAGGAAAGGAGAAAGGCAGGAAGGGAGAAAAAAGAAAGCATGAACACAAGAAAGAAAGAAGGAAAGAAAGAAAGAATGAATGAAAGAAAGAGAAAGAAAGAAAGAAAGGAGGAAGGGAGGAAGGAAAGGAGGAAGAGAAAATGGTAAAAGGGAGGAAGTCAAAGAAACAAAGAAAATAAAGAGGCGAAGGAAGGAAGGAAAAGAGGAAAGGAAGAGAGGGAAGAAGGAGGAAAAGGAGGGCGGGAGGAAGGTAGAAAAAAGGAAAGAAAGCAAGAACGTTAGAAAGAAAGAATGAATATGAGAAAAGAAGGAAGAAAAGGGAGCGAGAAAGGAAGAGAGGCAGGAGGGAAGGTAGAAGAACAGGAAAGAAAGAAGGAAAGAAGGAAGGAAGGAGAAAAAAGAAAAAAGAAATAAAGGAAAAGAAAAAAGAAAAGAAAAGGAAGAGGAAAAGAAGAAAGGAAGGAAGAAGGCAAGGGAAGGGAAGAGAAGAGAAAGGAAGATGGAAACAAGGAAGGAAGAACGCAAATATTAGAAATTCTGGGTTTGTTAGACAATATGCCGTACTGTTTTTTTTTTTTTTCACTTGAAAGGAAAGAGTATCTGCCATTGAAGATTGGATGTCTTGTTGGTGATATTGTTGTTCTTATCTTCCACATGGTTACTGAGTTTGTGCCTAGTCTTTCCATTACTAAGACAAAAGTGTTGAAGTCTGCAAATATAATTTTTGATTTTTGTATTTCACCTTTGATTTCTTTCCTGTTTTACCTCATGTATTTGCAGGTTCTGTTGTTAACTGCATACCCTAATTAGTAGGATGTTTACATCTTCTTGAGTATTGATTATTCTATTATCTATTATCTCTCATCTCTGATAGTATTTCTTGTTCCGAACTCTGTTGTGTCTAATATCAATGTAGTCCTTCCACAGCCTTATTTTAGTGTTTCCATGATATGGCTTTCTCCATATCTTGATGATAACCTATTTATATCTCTATATATTTGGAGCAAGATATAAAATTTAGACTTGATATTTTAAAGATTTTTCAAGATGTAATTCTTATTTCTTTTTGTTCTATTTGACATTCTCTGAGTTTCCTATATTTGAAGTTTAATTTTCTGCACTTATTTTAGAATATTTTTGGCAGTTATTTTGAAAAATATTTCTTTTGCTCCATTATTTTTTCCTCTTTTCTTTTTGGGACTTCAATCATAACTAGAGTAGGTAATTTCATCTCAGTCTTATGCAGGTTCTTTTTCTCAGGGTCTCAGGAATGTAGCCTTCTCACACTTCTGTTCTTTTCCTGGCTGTGTTGGTGAGCTCAGTGATATTCCTCCTTCAACTTCAAGAGCAGTTTTGTTTTGTTTTTCTTGTTTTCATACTCCCAGCATCAGGAGTATTCTAAGTGTGGCAGTTTTTGTTGCCTTCCCCTACATATTAAGTGGAATATCTTGGTCTAATAAAAGAGAGAGAAATCAAATAGACACAATAAAAAATGATAAAGTGGATATCACCACCGATCCCACAGAAATACAAACTAACATCAGAGAATACTACAAACACCTCTACGCAAATAAACTAGAAAATCTAGAAGAAATGGATACATTCCTCGACACATACACTCTCCCAAGACTAAACCAGGAAGAAGTTGAATCTCTGAATAGACCAATAACAGGAGCTGAAATTGTGGCAGTAATCAATAGTTTACCAACCAAAAGAGTCCAGGACCAGATGGATTCAGAGCCGAATTCTACCAGAGGTACAAGGAGGAACTGGTACCATTCCTTCTGAAACTATTCCAATCAATAGAAAAAGAGGGAATCCTCCCTAACTCATTTTATGAGGCCAGCATCATCCTGATACCAAAGCCGGGCAGAGACACAACAAAAAAAGAGAATTTTAGGCCAATATCCTTGATGAACATTGGTGCAAAAATCCTCAATAAAATACTGGCAAACCGAATCCAGCAGCACATCTAAAAGCTTATCCACCATGATCAAGTGGGCTTCATCCGTGGGATGCAAGGCTGGTTCAATATATGCAAATCAATAAATGTAATCTATCATATAAACAGAGCCAAAGACAAAAACTACATGATTATCTCAATAGATGCAGAAAACGCCTTTGACAAAAATCAACAACACTGCATGCTAAAAACTCTCAATAAATTAGGTATTGATGGGACGTATTTCAAAATAATAAGAGCTATCTATGACAAACCCACAGCCAATATCATAATGAATGGACACAAACTGGAAGTATTCCCTTTGAAAACTGGCACAAGACAGGGATGCCCTCTTTCACCGCTCCTATTCAACATAGTGTTGGAAGTTCTGGCAACGGCAATTAGTCAGGAGAAGGAAATAAATGGTATTCAATTAGGAAAAGAGGAAGTCAAATTGTCCCTGTTTGCAGACGACATGATTGTATATCTAGAAAACCCCATTGTCTCAGACCAAAATCTCCTTAAGCTGATAAGCAACTTCAGCAAAGTCTCAGGATACAAAATCAATGTACAAAAATCACAAGCATTCTTATTTGGACTCTTATAACAGAATAACATAAACTGGGTGACTAAAAAACAACAGATATTTCTTTTTTCACACTTCTTGAGGCTGTAAGATCTCAGGCCAAGATACTCACAAATTCAGTGTTGATGAGAGCCCATTTCATGGTTCATAGATGGTGCCTTCTTTCTATGTCCTCACGTAGTGGAAGGCACAAAAGAACTCCACTGAGCTTCTTTTATAAAGGCACTAATCCCATTCATAAGGGCTCGGCCCCCAAGACCTGTTCACCTCCCAAGTGTTCTGCTCTCCCTGATCTGTGTCATATACAGACTCTCTTGGATTCCTTACCAATTGCTTGAGAGATCGCAGTGGGTTTGTGGGGAAAAAGTTTTCAAGATGATGGATCTTTCCCAACTTCTGAAGCTGTCAGCGGTCTCCCAATCTCACCAGCTCCACTTTGTCTTTAGGAATTTATTGATTATTCCACCTTTACTTGTCATAGTGGTGTCTATTTGCATCTGTCCTATGTAAGTGCATCTGTCCTCTTTCTCCTTGCAGGTGCTTGTTTTCCCTCACATTTTGACTCAGTTCTTGGCAACCTCGTTGCTATAAAAATAAAGTCATGACTTTGAAGTTAGTTTGGTTCTTTCATTGATGTCAGGTTAGGAGGTTAGGAACCCTATTCCATCCCAGATCTCCAAAACCCAGACTTTTTGGGGGGTTGAAATTTTAGGGTTTCTCTTTGAATTGTAGTTTTATCTTCTTTCGGTTACCATTTGCATTTTCATAATGATTAATGAGACTAAGCTTTTTTTTTGTAGTTGACTGTACCTTTGGATTTTTTAAATTTGGAATATAAACACCTTTTTAATTTGGAAATAAAACACCTTTTTTAATTTGGAATATAAAGAGAAAAGAGAAAAATAGAAAGCTATGCATAAACACGTGCATTAAAATGAATTTTATGTGGGCTTTTTCATGAAAATATTCTTAAGGCATTTCATTTTTTTATTGTGGTAAAATACACATAACATAAAATGTACTATGTTAACAATTTTAAGTGTACAGTTCAGTGGTATTAAATATAGTCTTAACATTGTGCAGCCGTCCCTACCATCCATCTCCATAATTCGTTTCATCTTGTAAAACTGAAACTCTATACCCATTAAACAATACTTCCCCATTTCTTCCTCCCCCCAGCTTCTGGCAACCATCATTGTACCATCTCTATGATTCTGTCCACTTTAATACAAATGGAATTATACTCTATTTGTCCTTCACTGACTAACTTATTTCACTTGGCATAATATCCTCAAGTTTCATCCAAGTTGCAACATATGTCAGAATATTTCCCTCATGTTTAAGGCTGAATAATATTCCATTGTATGCATATATCATATTGTGCTTATCCTTTCATCTGTTGTTGGACACTTCAATTGCTTCTACGTTTTAGCTATTGCCAATAAAGCTGCTGCAAACATGGATGTGCAAATATTTTTTCAAGACTCTGCTTTCAATTCTTTTACTATCCTGAGATGTGAAGCTGCTGAATCATATGGCAGTACCATTTTAATGTTTTGAGGAACTACCATACTCTTTTCCACAGCAAACATAGCGTTTGGCATTCCCTCCAATACTGCAAAACGAATTGCCACATCCTTGCCTGTGGATTTTATTCACAAGTCCTGTGGCTCTCTCTACATCCTGGCCACCATGTGTTATTTCCTGTTTATGTATATGACATCAAAGGTGCAGGAAGTAATGAGCTAAATTGGAAGGATAAACATGTAGAAAAATAGAGATAATTACTGACTACATAAAACCATAAGAATAAGAATTTTGGATGATCTGTCTATTATACACCTATTTATCAAACATCTATCTGTTCCTCCATCTGTATTTAAAACATATTACAGTTAGAGAACAGAGGAAAATGTAGGAATACATGAATTTAAATTTTAATTCTTCTTAGATTGTCTCACAGCATCATTATAGGAAAGAAAATTTATAGGCCAATATCTGTTAACTATAAATGTAACATTCTTAAATAATTCAAATACATTGAAGTACAGCATGAATAATATATTACAATCCATTCAAGTTTATTTTATTCCAGGAACACAAAAATACAAATTTCATTTGCAATTCAAAAAAAAAACAGAAATCGATACATATGATTGATGTATATACACACAATGTATTTTTAAATATACATTTTATAAAAATATAAATTTTTCTAGGACAAATACTTAAAATGTCACTGAAAATAGTGTTATTAGCTAATACCTTCCTAATAACTCTGGTATTACATAAGAAACCAAAATTAAAATTTCAGGTAAACTTAGAAAGTAAAAATTTTAAAAATATTATTCTGTTCTCCTTATGTTCATATTTAATATTATTTCTTGTTTTCATTCATCTTCAGTGTTGCTCTACTAAAATATAACTTACAATACTAACTTTTGATTTCTGTTCTTATTACTCAGAATTGTATACATTTTCTCATGCTCTTAATTTAGTTATGCTACTTTTCTGTACTCTTGGAATTTTTACATTTGTGTTCACTCTCTTTTGAGTTCCCATAGTATCAAATGAGCTTTTTTCCCTCTTTCTGATTTGAAGATTCATCTTCTCTTGATTATTTTGTCCACTCAGTTTTTTTTCATTCTCAGTTAAGTGTCTCTCATCTCGCTTCTTTTCATTTATAAGGTTTCCTTTCATCTTAAGCCAGTCTTTCATTTATATTTTGATTCTGTTTTGTGGACGACATGCTTCCCTGAATTTTATGGAAGAGGCCAAAAGGTTTGTTCAAGTTTTTACCTGATACATTGGTTTAAATTATCTAATGTACACACTCTTAATTTAAGTCTAGGAGGGACTGTCTACTCTTCATTTTTTATAGTATTATTTTTCTTAACATCCAAGTCCATCTTCATCTATTTGTATAAGATCAATAAAAATATATTTGTCCAGGACCCTGCTTTGGCGGAGTTACTTCTTTCTAAGTAGTAGAGGTAGCAGTTGAGACATGATCTGGGTTCTGGGTCAGTTTAGAGGGCTGGGCGACTTTCCTCCTTTTGTTCTGTATGACTGAATGAATGCAGTTCTTGCTGTCTCGCTCCTCTCCTTAACACATTGAGCCATTGCAGCAGATGAGAAGGAATAATCCTGATCTGCCATTCAGGTGGAACACATGTTCTCTCCAACCACAGCCATAGGTTGTACTCACACTCAGCCAGAAGGTATCCTATCAATGATATGGAGATGTATCTATCTATATAGATAGATATCTACTTTGTTTTATGCTCTCTGGTTTCCCGTAAATTATCTCCTTAAAGTGAATATCAAAAGAGAGCTTGGTGATGGCAGTGTTATAAAATCCTCAAAATGCAGCACCCACACCCAGAGGAATTTGTAGATTCTGGGATTCTAATTCACATACCAAACTATATAAAAGGGGAATTGGTCATTGAGGGTTGCTAGGCTCTTAGTTGAGCATATTTGCTCCTTTCATGACTTCAAAATTATTTTAAAAATCTAACCTTTTTCTCAGTGTGCTGCAAGATGATTTGATTTGAATGCATAAGCACTAATTCTCCCCTAAGATTTGTATAATATACTTGCTCTGACAAGCCATAGCCAGCAACTCACTTCACAGCAATTTATAACATTTCCATGATAAGTTGAATTACTTTTAACTAGACTCTCTTTGCCTTAATAAAAATATGAAGAAGCAATATACTTGTTCTAATTAGGTTCAAAAGTTGGCAGTCTCTCTCCTGGAAAGAATAGTAAAATTTTACAGCGGCCTAATATGCATCTATAAACACACACACACACACAAACACACACACAAGCACTATTCATAATATTTAAAGCACATTCTGTTCTATGACTTCATTTGTCTAGCACAAAATTAAACGATCTCAGTATATGTCAAGTACCAATTTTTTCGTATGGCCAATTATAGATATTTTATTTTTTAAAGATTAGAGTGTTCTTGAAGCTCTTTATATTTCTTTGTCAATGAACTAAACATTGGCAAATATGTAGGGTTTCCCACCCAAGAACATTATTAACATCAAAATAGAAAGCTGGTGGTAGAAATAATGATTAGGAACACAGAATCTCTACTCAAAGTTCTAGTTCTGCCATACCATAACTTTGTGATCTCAGGAAATATCTCTCCATGTTGTCATCTGTATGTATAGTTCTGTCATTTTTCAATAAGAGCTTTTTGCTTAATTATGAAGTACTAGTTACTATAACCATTATTTTGAGTTTCATGTAAATCAAGAACACATGGACTCCACTTGCAAAACATCGAAAATGTAGTTAGGGATTGGGGGCATAAAGCAACATTTTAAAATGTGTAAAGACAATGAGTAAGCAACAAAGTGTCCAATTTTTTAAAGGAAAGTTGCATACGTTAGGAAAAGGCAGGATTAAGTAACAGAGAATTTGAATGATAACTGGCCAATTGGTGTCATTTACAATTGCAAGTCATACAAATGAACTTTTCTGTTTTAAAGAGAAAAGGAGTTATTTAGAATGGGTCAACCTATTGGGGAAGCAATGTAGTTAGAGACAATGCCCAAAACCATGTGAGCAAATGCTCTGTAGAGCGCACCCCTGCAATGCTGCCATTGTGAGGCCAAATCTCTCCTCGTCTTGGTACTGAGCCCTCCGTTCTGCCTCCATCATTGCCACTGTAGCTGCCACAAAATGATCCCTCAACCACCGCTGCCCAGGAACAAAGAAATAATTCTGTCCTTCCACGCTCTCAGATCAATTTCCAACATCAGGTGAGCCTTTGATGGGCACTATTCAGTTCCCATATCCCTGAAATAGATGCAGTAAAAACATAGAAATTGCCTATGTGTTTCCCAATAAGACACATATGGAAGCCTGTTTTCCCACAACAGAAAGGGATTTGCACAATGGGTGTTCAAGGGAACAATATTCCCTGTAAACCATACTTTGCCTATATGAAGAAAAGCAATAAGGATTATTTAGTAAATAGACATGGAAACTCATCCAGGGTTGGCTGATGAGAAGCTGGTTAGCAAGGGGGTCTGCCTTCAGTTAGGACAAGGTCTGTGCTTCCCACGGGTTCTCTCCACAGCAGGAGGGATGCAAACTTCCCTTTCCTCCCCTGCACCTACCCTCAAATGGCCCAGACGTCTTCAGGTGCTAGAATTTCTCAATGAATGCTGCACAAAATATCAGAGAGCCTTGACTGTCACAGTCTGTTTTCATGAAGCTAGTCTCTGCTCACTACATAAAACAGGAGAGTAAGAACAAGGCTGTTTAACGCTACCCTACCTCAAACATGTTTCTCTCTGTATTATGCCAAGAACCTGGGAACCAGTGCATCTGCTGATTTCCCTTCTTGGATTCTAGCCCAGACAAAAGAGGCAAGGGGCATTTCTTCAGAGGCCTTGAGCTTCACTACACAATGCCCCAGGCTCTACATGCACCCTCTTTATATATTTCTACCTTGAAAAAAAATTTTTATATAATATTAATAATATATATTTTTATATAATAAACACATATGTTTGTTTTATAGATAGATATAGATATACATAGATAAAGATCTCTAGTCTGCCTTTTTTAAGGCTGGGCTGATCGCGGTGCCTCAAAACTATAATCCCAGCACTTTGGGAGGCCAACGTGGCCAGATCTCTTGAGTTCAGGAGATGGAGATCAGCGAGGGCAACATGGTGAAACCCCATCTTTACAATAATTAGCTAGTATGGTGTCATGCACCTGCAGTCCCTGCTACTCAGGAGGCTGAGGTGGGAGAATCACTTGAGCACAGTATGTGAAGGCTTCACTGAGCTCTAATCACATGACTGCACTCCATCTTGGGTGACAAAGTGATACCCTCTCTCAAAAATAAAATAAAATAAAATAAAATAAAATAAAAATGCTAACACCATACTCACAGATAAGTGTGTCAGGTATATTTGTAGCTATCCTTCCTATAATCTATTTTGTAAAAAAAAAAAATGCAAAGAACTCTTCTCATTCTAGATTTTTGTATTAATTAGACATTTGAAGTTTATAGCAGAAGAGCCATAATCATGTTTGGTATGTGTACTCTATAGACCAGAGAGTGCAAACAGATATCACTGCTTTTTAAAAGTATATAAGGTTATTAGAAATATTTTAAACTACCTATAGGTATATATGTATCTAATTGAACTATCAAATGCAAGTAAGATCATTTCCTTAGCATGTGAAATCCACTCAATTTATTAAAATATTTTCTAATATCTATTACAATAATATTTCTTAATTAGCTAACATAAGAGGAGTTTTAAGACATTTATTTATATGTACTTACTAGATTCAAAGTCGATTCCACTATTTTCAGAAATCATACTCTGAGACAAGTCCTTTTTTTATCTAACTATGTTTCTGCCTATATTAAAAGACAGATATGTCAATTTTGCTAGTCATGCTGTTCCAAACCTCTCCATCTTGGTTATTTTTCGGTTTGTTCTAGCAGTCATTCAGAGACTTACTTATATTCAAATTTCTCTCTAGGTTTAACATTCGTGTATGTCTTCTTGTGGTGTTGTCTATTTTTGCTGTATATAATTTAAGACATTTTATTGACATATATCATACATGCAGAAAAGTACAATGATTAAATATGGATAGCTTGATTAATGAAACACATGTATTTGCTTATAGCCATGTACGAAAATAGAACATTACTAAAAATAGTGATACTTCTCCTGCCCCTTTCCAAACACTAACCCTCATCCTCAATAGTAACAGATTTTTTTTATCATAGTGTAATTTGGTCTACTTTCAAATTTTTATTAAATAAATCAGAGTATCTACTCTAAGTCTATGTTTATTTTATTGTTGTTATTTTGCTTGTAGTGTTTATCTGCTAATGGACATGGTAGATTGAAAATGGCTACATACACATTTTTTAATTAATAGGTTTTTTGAGCAGTTTGTGGCTCATGCCTCTAATCCCATCACTTTGGGAGGCTGAGGTGCGTGGATCATGAACTCAGGAGATCCAGACAATCTTGGCCAACGTGGTAAAACCCCTTCTCAACTAAAATACAAGAAATTAGTTGATAGATAACATCAAGATAACATTTGAGTTCTTAGCTGCACTGAGTCAAGCCTACTTACATCTTTGTCTTCCGCTGCACTTTTCCTTCCACATCACAGTCCAGGAATGCCAAGCTGAGTTGGTCTTCTACCCCATTTCCACTATTGTGCCCCTGCCACCGCGGCTTTTTGCCACCACTGCTTTTTGTCGCCACTGCCGTGGGTTTTTGCCTCCGTTGCTTTTTGCCACCGCCTCTGCGGCTTTTTGCCCCCAACGCTGGTGCTTTTTGCGACTCTTTGACCCACCACTGGGGCTTTCTGTGGCTTTTGGTGCCCGCTGCAGTGCCATTTTGACCCCGCTGCTGCGGATTTTTCCCCCGCCTCACGGCTTTCTGCCACCGCTGCTGTGGCTTTTCGTCACTGCTGCCATGGATTTTTGCCCTCGCTGCTGCGGGTTTCTCCCGCCACGGCTTTTTGCCCCGCCGCCGTGGCTTCTTAACCCCGCCGCCGTGGCATTTTGCCCCGTCACCTTGGCTTTTTGCAGCTTTTTGCCACTGCGGCTCTTTGCCCCCGAAGCCACGGCTTTTTGCCCTCGGCGCCGTGGCTTTTGCCCCCGCCACCGTGGCTTTTTGTGGCTTTTTGCTCCCGCCACTATGGCTTTTTACAGCCACGGCTCTTTGCCTCCAAAGCCACGGCTTTTTGCCCCTGCCACCACGGGTTTTTGCCACCACGGGTTTTTGCTGCCACGGCTTTTTGCCTCCGCCGCCATGGCTTTTTGCTCCTGCCACTGAGGCTTTTTGCCGCCGTGGTTTTTGTCCCCGCCGACGCTGCTTTTTGTGGCTTTTTGCCCCCTCACCGCCATGGCTTTTTACCCCCCGCCACTGTGGCTTTTTGCCACCATGGCTTTTTCCTCCCGTTGCCATGGGTTTTTGTGGGTTTTTGCACCCGCTCCCGCTGCTTTTTGCCCCCACTGCTGCAGCTTTTTGCCCTGCCACTACGGCTTTTGGCCGCCGTGTTTATTTGCCCCCGAAGCCACAGCTTTCTGCCCTCACCGCCGCGGCTTTTTGCCCCTGCCACCGTGGCTTTTTGCCCCTGCTGCCACGGCTTTTTGCCTGTGCTGCTGCGGGTTTTTGCCGCCACGGCTTTTTATCCCCACCACCGCTGCTTTTTGCAGCTGTGGCTTTTTATCCCCACCGCCATGGCTTTTTGGGCTCACACTCCGCAGTTTTTGCAGTCATGGCTTTTTGCCCCCCACAGCCATCGTTTTTGCTCCTGCCACTGAGTCTTCTTTCCACTGCGGTTTTTGCCCCTGCCGCCATGGCTTTTTGCTCCTGCCGCTGAGGCTTTTTGCCGCCACGGTTTTTGCCCCCCCGCCGCTGCTGCTTTTTACGGCTTTTTTCCCCCTGCTGCTGCGGCTTTTTGCCCCTGCAGCTTTTCCCCCCATCGCCGCGGGATTTTGTGGTTTTTCTGGCCCCGCCGCCACCACTGCTTTTTGCCCCGCTGCTATGGTTTTTTGCCCCCGAAGCCACAACTTTTTGCCCTTGCCGCCGTGGCTTTTTGCCCCGCCACTACGGCTTTTTACCCCCAAAGCCACAGCTTTTTGCCCTCGCCGCCGTGGCTTTTTGCCCCGCCGCTATGGCTTCTTGTCCCCGAAGCCACAGCTTTCTGCCCTCGCCACCACGGCTTTTTGAGGCATTTTACTCCCCGCCGCCTTGGCTTTTAGCCCCCGCCACTGAGGCTTTTTGCCGCCTTGGTGTTTGTTCTGGCTGCCGCTGTTTTTGCGGCTTTTTGCCTCCCGCTGCCATGGCTTTTTGCCCCCGCAGCTACAGCTTTTTGCTGCTGCAGCTTTTTGCCCCCGAAGCCAAGGCTTTTTGCCCTCCCTGCTGCGGCTTTTTGCACCCGCCGCCGGGGCTATTTGCCCCCACTTCTGTGGCTTTTTGCCACCGCTGTTTTTTCCACTGCCACTGTGGGTTTTTGCCCCCGTCACGGGTTTTTGCCACCGCAGCTATTTTTTTAACCACCACCGCCGTGGCTTTTTGCTCCTGCCACCATGGTTTTTTGCCTCCGCCGCCGAAGTTTTTGCTCCCACTGCCTTGGCTTTTTGCAGCTTTTCGCCCCTGTCGCTGCAGCTTTTTTGCCCCCTGCCACCATGGCTTTTTACCCCAGCCATTGTGGCTTTTTACCCCAGCCGCAGCAGCCTTTTCCCCCAGCTGCTGCGGCTTTTTGTGTTTCTTTGCCCCCACACCTGCTGCTTTTTGACCCACCTCAGCAGATTTCTACCCCCTCAGCGTGGCTTTTTTCCCCCACTGCCGTGTCTTTCTCCAACCGCCGCTGTGGCTTTTTGCCCCTGCCGCCGCGCCTTTTTGCCACCGTGGCTTTTTGCCCCCGCTGCCTTTGGAACATTAATTTCACTTGAAATCAAATTTCCCACTGCCATGCAACCTAACATATTTGTATGTTAGACTCCGGTAATTAGGACATGAACATTTTTGGGAGGCCATTATTTTCTCTACAGCAGACATAATCTATTTGCCTGAAGATTAAAGTGTTCTTTATTTTTCTGCCTCTCTTTCTTAATTTTTTAAAATAATATGAATTGTAGTAAAGAGAAAGAAAGAAAAGAAAGAAAAAAGAAGGAAGGAAGGAAAGAAGAAAGAAAAGGAGGAAATGAGAGAAGGGAGGGAGGGAGGAAGGGAGAAAGGCAGGAAAGGAGAAAAAAGAAAGCAAGAAGTCAAGAAAGAGAGAAAGAAAGTGAGAAAAGAAGGAAGGAGGAAGGAAAGGAGGAAGAGAGAATGGTAAAAGGGAGGAAGGCAAACAAAGAAAATAGAAGGGAGGAAGGAAGGAAACAGGAAAGGAAGGGAGGGAGGAAGGAAAAAAGGGAGGGAGGAAGGGAGAAAAAAGGAAAGAAAGTGAGAAAGAATAAGAGAAAAGGAGGAAGAAAAGGGAGGAGAAAGCAAGGGAGGGAGGAGGGAAGGAAGAATAAGGGGAAGGAAAGAAGGAAGGAAGGAGAAAAAAGAAAGGAAAAGAAAGCGGAAAAGAAGAAAGGAAGGAAGAAGGCAAGGGAAGAGAAGAGAAAGGAAGATGGAAAGAAGGAAGGAAGAACGCAAATATTAGAAATTCTGGGTTTGTTAGACAATATGCCATACTGTTTTCTTTTCACTTGAAAGGAAAGAGTATCTGCCATTGAAGATTGGATGTCTTGTTGGTGATATTGTTGTTCTTATTTTCCACATGATTACTGAGTTTGTGCCTAGTCTTTCCATTACTAAGACAAAAGTGTTGAAGTCTGCAAATATAATTTTTGATTTTTGTATTTCACCTTTGATTTCTTTCCTGTTTTACCTCATGTATTTGGAGGTTCTGTTGTTAGCTGCATATCCTAATTAGTAAGATGTTTACATCTTGAGAATTTATTATTATATTATTTATTATCTCTCATCTCTGATACTATTTCTTGTTCCGAACTCTGTTGTGTCTAATATCAATGTAGTCCTTCCACAGCTTTATTTTAGTGTTTCCATGATATGGCTTTCTCCATATCTTGATGATAACCTATTTATATCTCTATATATTTGGAGAAAGATATAAAATTTAGAGTTGATTTTTTAAAGACTTTTCAAGATGGAATTCTTATTTATTTTTGTTCTGTTTGACATTCTCTGAGTTTCCTATATCTGAAGTTGGATTTTCTGTCACTTCTTTTAGAATATTTTTGGCAGTTATTTTGAAATATATTTATTTTGCTACATTATTTTTTCCTCTTTTCTTTTTGGGATTTCAATCATAAATTGTGTAGGTAATTTCATCTCAGTCTTATGCAGGTACTTTTTCTCAGGATTTCAGGAATGTAGCCTTGTCACACTTCTGTTCTTTTCCTGGCTGTGTTGGTGAGCTCAGTGATATTCCTCCTTCACCTTCAAGAGCAGTTTTGTTTTGTTTTTCCTGTTTTCATACTCCCAGCATCAGGAGTATTCTAAGTGTGGCCATTTTTGTTGTCTTCCCCTACATATTAAGTGGAATATCTTGGTCTATGTGGACTCTTATAACAAAATAACATAAACTGGGTGACTAAAAAACAACAGATATTTCTTTTTTCACACTTCTTGAGACTGTAAGATCTCAGGCCAAGATGCTCACAAATTCAGTGTTGATGAGAGCCCATTTCATGGTTCATAGATGGTGCCTTCTTTCTATGTCCTCACATAGTGGAAGGCACACAGGAACTCCACTGAGCTTCTTTTATAAAGGCACTAATCTCATTCATAAGGTCTCGGCCCCCAAGACCTCGTCACCTCCCAAGTGTTCTGCTCTCCCTGATCTGTGTCATATACAGGCTCTCTTGGAATGCTTACCAATTGCTTGAGAGATGGCAGTGAGTTTGTGGGGAAAAAGTTTTCAAGATGATGGATCTTTCCCAACTTCTGCAGCTGTCAACAGTCTCCCAATCTCACCAGCCCCACTTTGTCTTTAGGAATTTATTGATTATTCCAGCTTTACTTGTCATAGTGGTGTCTATTTGCATCTGTCCTATGCAAGTGCATCTGTCCTATGTAAGTGCATCTGTCCTATGTAAGTGTATCTGTCCTTTTTCTCCTTGCAGGTGCAAGTACTCAGGAGTACACTGTTGTTACTAATTACTCAGTATTGGTTGGTACATTGTCAAAGATCAAAAAACATTTTTAATGATAAAAAAATTCTTGGAGATTGTGTAATGAAGGTTTAATTCTGCAGACATGGCTTTCCAAACCCTTGTTCATTCCTAAGGTCTTCAGGACTGGCCCTTGACAAGCTCCTGGGAGATGATAACCTAAGAGCCCTTGGTATATGCTGCCTGATGAGAGTCTTTGTATACCTGAAAACTTAGGTCATATCAAAGAGCTGATGCTAACAACGTGATTTCTTGTGAACACCTGTTTCTGTATGCCTATGACTTTGTGTAATGCCATATTAATATGACCTCTCTTAGGGCATAGGGAGGTTGGGAACTAAGTAGCTAAGTTCAGTCACTGGACGCTCGATGCATATGTGGTGGAAGCCTAATAAAATCCCTGGACTCAAGACTGACTGAGCTTCCATAGTTGACAACAAGTTCACACATGTTGTCTCACACCATTGTAAAGAATATTAGTCAGTGTGAAGTCCCCACTATGAAAGGACACCTGTAAGCTCACAATTGGTTTGTCCTGGACTCAACTTTATGTGTTTTTATGCTTCTGATTATTTTAATCTGGTTTATTTCACTGTTAGAAACTATAACCACAGAAAAAATCAGCTTTCTTGAGTTATGTGAATCATTAAACCGAAGGGGGACTTGGGGACCCCCAATAGAAAGTATATATATTCATATATTCTTAAAAAGAAAAAGAAAACTGGCTATAGCAGATATTGCTGATGACTTGTCTCCTATGTCCTGGACTCAATGTGTTCACCTGAATTTCACCTGTTTCCAGCTAACTGAGCGCTCCCCACATCATGTCTGTCTTTCTGATTTTTGGGCCTGCCTGCAAGCTTCTTGAGGTTAACCAGTGCTTCTCAACCACACATAGGAACAAAGAAGGAGTTAGGGGTGGGGAGTTAATGATTCTAAGGCAATCCTTAAGCAACAAGAGATGGGGATTCCAGCATCCCTATCTGTTTGTAAAGTTATTTTGACACAATCTCCATACCTCCATCATTACTGAGCACATAGCACTACTGGCTTCGTGTTCTGTTTCATTTTCTCCACTTCTGTGCTTTCTTACTCAATTTCTGATTAAAGTATCTGACCCAAGATTTTTGTTTCATAGTGTATTTTTGAGGGAATCCAGAGCCAAGACAATAACAATGGGAGCTTTGCAATGAGGGAGGGTGAGTATAATCATCAGAAGTTTACCTACCTCACTGGGAACATGAAGGCCTGGAGAGCTTGCTGTTTCAATGAGAGAAACATGTTGACTCTCAGTTGAATACCTATATATATATGTGCAATAAGACGTGCCCTTTACTTATATCAAAGGAAAGTGCTCTTTACCTCTCTTTGTTGTTGTGTTTTTATCACTATTGCCTACACAAGTAGAATATCATACCCAGGATTTAAAGCCCTCTCTGCAGGATTTTCAAGCTCATGTTTTTATCATAAGTCACTCTGCTTCCATGTGTTTTAAATCTAATCCTCATTCCGCTGCTTTTACCCCAGAGAATTCATCACTGACTTAATTTTGACTGACCTCCTTATAGAGCTGTCAAGTAGACAATTTCTGCCGTGACCTTTCTCTTAGAGTTCAGCCATATAGCCTCTCACTGGATATCATTTCCTCTTATCTTTCCTAATAATGAATTGTCAGTAAAAACTCAATATTTTTAAGATTAAGCTTACCCTCTGCACACACACACACACACACACGCCATTATTGGTGTATTCTTATAGCCTTGAAACACTAATGTCACGTTGATGTCTGCCTTTTCTTCCTCTGCTAACTCATTCCTCATCCTTAGATTATTCTAAAAGATTCAATCAGATCAAGTTGGCTAATTATATTTATAAGATCTTCTCCACACTTACCAACTTTTCATTTAACAAAATTTAAAAATTTCTGGCAGGAGACTGCTGAAATCCCCCTGGATGACTGTGGTTTTACTATTTTACCTTTCAGTTTTAATAGGTTTTATATTATGTATTTTGAAGTAATGTTATTGTGTGCACACATATTTCTTATTTACATTACTTTTGGTGTATTTTCCCCTTTGTCAGTTTGAAATGTTATTCTTCATCCACAGTGATATTTCCTGTTCTGATGTCTACTTTTCTCAACACAGTTTTAGGGGGTTTTGGTTTGTTGTTTTTCTATTTTTTGGTTCAAGTAAGTTTCTTACAAATCTGTTCGATTCCATTTGATGATTCCATTTGATTCCATTCGAGGATTCCACTAGATTCCATTCGATGATGATTCCATTCGAGTCCATTGAATGACTCCATTCGAGTCCATTTGATGATTCCATTTGATTCCATTCGATGATGATTCCATTATACTCCTTTTGATGATTCCATTTGATTCCATTCGATGATGATTCCATTAGAGTCCATTCGATGATTCCATCAGATTCCATTCAATGATGACACAATTTGAGTCCCTTCATTGATTCCATTGGATTCCATTTTATGATAACTGCAATCATTTCCATTTGATGATGATACCAACGGATTCCATTCGATTTCTCCATTCGATTCCATTCCTTGCTGAATCCACTCAATTCCATTAGATAATGCCTCCTCTAGATTCCATTCGATGATGATTTCATTAGATTCCATTCGATGATGATCCAATTCGATTCTATTAAATGATGATTCTATTCAATTCCATTCAATAATTTCATTCGATTCCATTCGAAGATTCCATTTGATTCCATTTGATGATGATTCCATTCGTGTCCAATCGATGATTCCATTCGATTCCATTCGATGATGATTCTATTTGAGTCCATTCAATGATTCCATTTGATTCCATGTGATGATGATTCCTTCGAGTCCGTTCGATGATTCCATTTGATTCCATTAGATGATGACTGCGTTCGGTTCCATTCGATGATGTTTATAACGGACTCCATTCGATGACTCCATTCGATTCCATTCATTGATGATTCCATTCGATTCCACTGGATGATGATTGCATTCGATTCCATTCGATGATGATTCCATTCGATTCCGTTCGATGATTATTCCATTCTGTTCCATTCAATGATGATTCCATAGGATTCCATTCGATGATTCCATTTGATTACATTTGATGATGATTCCTTTCAGGTCCATTCAATGATTCCATTCTATTCCATTCGGTGATGATTCCATTCGATTATTCCATTCAACTCCATTTGATGTTTTCTTTCGATTCCACTCAATGTTGATTCCAACTGAATGCTTTCGATGATTCCATTCGAGTACAGTCCATGATTTCATTCGATTCCATTCGATGATGATTCCATTCGATTCCATTCGATGATTCCATTTGATTTCAGTCGATGATGATTACATTAGGTTCCATTCAATGATTCCATTCGAGTCCATTCAATGATTCTATTCAAGTCCATTAAATGATTCCATTTGATTCCATTCCATGATTCCATTGGATTCTATTCTTTGTTTTATTTTGATTCGTTTTGATGATGATTCCATTCAGTTTCATTCGATGATCCCATTTGATTCTATTCAATGATATTTCCATTCGATTCCTTTTGAAGAAAATTCCATTCGATTCCATTGATGATGATTCCATTCGATTCTATTCGATGCCGATTCTATTTGATTCCATTCAATGATGATTCCATTCGATTACATTTGATGACTAAATTCGATTCCATTCGATGATGATTCCATTCGAAACCATTCGATGATTACATTCATTTCCATTCAATAATAATTCCATTCGAGTCCATTCGATGATTCCATTCAAGTCCATTCAATGATTCCATCTGATTCCATTCAATGAATCCATTTGATTCCAAAATATGATGATTCCATTCGTTTCCATCCGATGATGATTCCATTCGATTCCCTTCAATGATTCCATTCGATTCCATTTAATGATGATTCCAATCAATTCCATTCAATGATTCAATTCAAATCCATTCGATGGTGAGTCCATCCATTTCAATTTCATGATAATTCCATTCGATTCAATACGATGGTGTTTCCATTCGATTCTATTCGATGTTGATTCCATTGGTTTCCATTGGATGATGATTCCATTCGTGTCCATTTGATGATAATCACATTCGATTTCATTCCATAATTCTATTTGATTCCATTCGATGATGATTCCATCTGATTCCATTAGGTGATTCCATTCGATTCCATTCGATGATGATTCCATTCGTTTCCATCCGATGATGGATTCCATTTGATTCCATTCGATGATTATTCCATTCGAGTCCATTCGATGATTCCTTTCGATTCCATTCGAAGATGATTGCATTCGAGTCCATGGATTATTCCATTCCATTCCACTAAATGATTCCATTTGAGTCTATTCGATGATTCTCTTTGATTCCATTCAATAATTCCGTTTGATTAAGTTTGATGTTGATTCCATTCGAGTCCATTCGATGATAATTCCATTCGATTTTATGTGATGATTCCATTCGTTTCCATTCGGTTCCATTTGAATATGATTCCATTCGAGACCATTCGATGATTCCATTCAATTCATTCTATGACGATTCCATTCATTTCCATTTGATGATTCCATTCGATTCCATTTGATGATGATCTCATTTGATTCCATTGGATGATGATTCCATGCGATTCCATTCGATGATGACTCCTTTCGGTTCCATTCAATGATGACTCCATTTGGTTCCATTCATTGATGATTCCTTTGGATTCCATTCAATGATGGTTCCTTTCGACTCCATTTGATGTTGATTCTTTTGTATTCCATTCGATGATGATTCCATTTGATGCCATTTAATGACAATTCCATTCGATTCCATTCAATGATTCCAGTTGATTCCACACGATGATGATTCAATTCGAGTCCATTTGATGGTTCCGTTCAATTCCATTCGATGATGATTCCATTCGATTCCATTCAATGATTCCGTTTGATTCCTTTCGATGATTATTCCATTCGAGTCCATTTGGTGATTTCTTTTGATTCCAATTGAAGATGATTCCATTCGATTCTACTCGATGATACGATTTGATACCATTCGTTGATGATTCCATTTGAGTGCATTCCATGATACCATTCGATCCCATTCAGTGATGAATCCATTTGATTTCACTCGATGATTCCATTCAATTCCATTCTATGGTGATTCCATTCGAGTCCATTTGATGATTCCATTTGACTCCATTAGATGATGATTCCATTCAATGATTCCATTCCATTCTATTCGATGATGATTGCATTTGATATCATTCGATGCTAATTCCATTCAATTCCATTCGATTATTCCATTTGATTCCATTAAATTCCATTCAATGATTCAATTCGATTATATTTGAGGATGATTCCATTCGATTCCATTCAATGATGATTCTATTCGATTTGTTTTCATGATGGTTCCATTCAATTCCATTCAGTGATGATCCATTTGTGTCCATTCAATGTTTCCATTTGATTCCATTCAATGATTATTCCATTCTTGTCCATTAGATGATTCCATTAGATTCCATTTGATGATTCCATTTTGTGCAATTCAATTATTCCATTTGATTTCATTCAATGATGATTCCATTGATGTCGTTTGATGATTCTTTTCCATTCCATTCAATGATTATTCGATACGAGTCTATTCGATGATTCCATTCGATTCCATTCAATGATGACTCCATTCGTGTTCATTGCATGATTTAATGCAATTTCATTTGATGATTATTACATTCAATTCTATTCGATGATTCCATTCAATTCCATTTGGTGATGATTCGATTCGAGTCCATTCGATGATTCCATTCAAGTACATTTGATTATTCCGTTCGGTTCCATTTGATGATGATTCCATTAGAGTCGATTCGATAATATCATTTGATTCCATTTGATGGTGATTCCATTCGTGTCCATTCGATGATTCCATTTGATTCCATTTGATGATGATTTCTTTCGAGTCCATTCTGTGTTTCCATTCAAGTCCATTCAATGATTCCTTTTGATTCCATTTGATGATGATTCCAATCGAGACCATTAGATGATTCCATTTGATTTCATTTGATGATGACTGCATTTAATTCTGTTTGATGATTCCATTCTGTTCCATTCAATGATGATTCCATTTGAGTTCATTCGATGATTCCATTCGAATTCATGTAATGATTCCACTGGGTTCAATTTGATGATGATTACATGAGATTCCATTCAATGATTCCATTCGATTCCATTCGCTGATTACTCCATTCGATTCCTGCCAATGATGATTCCATTTGATTCCATTCTTTCATGACTCAATTTGATTCAATTCGATGATGATTCGATTTGATTCCATTTGATGATGATGATTCCATTCAATTCCATTCGATGATGATTCCATTCGATTTCATTTGATGATACTATTTGATTCCATTCGATGTTGATTCAATTCTATTCCATTCGAGTATTCCATTCGATTCCATTCGATGATGATTCCATTCGATTCCATTCGATGATGATTCCCTTCAATTGCATTCATCGATGATTCCATTCGAGTGCATTCGAAGATTACATTCGATTCCATTTGATCAAGATTCCATTTGAGTCCATTCAAAGATTAGATTCGATTCCATTCAATGATGATTCCGTTCGAGTCCATTCGATGATTCCATTCCATTCCATTCCATTTGATGATGATTCTGTTTGATTCCATTTGATGATGATTCCATTCGATGATGATTCCATTTGATTTCATTCGATGATTCTATTTGTTTCCATTCGGAGATAATTCTATTCTATTTCATTCGATGATTATATTCAATTCCATTCGATGAGGATTCTATACGATTCCATTTGATGATGACTCCACTCGATTCCATTCCATAATGATTCAATTCGTGTCTATTCGATGTTTCCTTTCGATTCCATTCGACAATGATTCCATTTGAGTCTGTTAGATCATTCCATTCAATTCCCTTCGATGATGATTCCATTCGATGATTCCTTTCTCTTTCATTTGATAATGATTCCATTCGAATCCTTTTGATGGTTCCGTTCCATTCGATGATGATTTCATTCGAGTCCATTCGATGATTCCATTCGATTCCATTTGATGATGATTCCATTCGATTCCATTTGATAATTCAATGTGATTTGATTCGATGATGATTACATTCGATTCTGTTCGATGATTACATTCAATTCCATTTGATGATGACTCCATTCGAGTCCATTCGATGATTCCATTCAATTCTATTCGAAGATGATTCCATTGGATTCCATTCCATGATTCCATTCGATTCCATTCGAAGACCATTGCATTCGAGTCCATTCAATGATTCCATTTGATTGCATTCAATGATGATTCCATTTGAGTCCATTCGATGTTTCCATTCGAATCCATTTGATGATTATTTCAATTATATTCGATGATGATTCCATTCGAGTCCATTTGTTGTTTCCATTCAATTCCATTCAATGATGACTCCTTTTGGGTCCATTAGATGATTCCATTCAATTCCATTCGATGATGATTCCATTCGAGTCCATTCGATGATCCCATTCGATTCCATTTGATGATGATTCCATTCGATTCCATTTGATAATTCAATGTGATTTGATTCGATGATGATTACATTCGATTCTGTTCGATGATTACATTCAATTCCATTTGATGATGACTCCATTCGAGTCCATTCGATGATTCCATTCAATTCTATTCGAAGATGATTCCATTGGATTCCATTCCATGATTCCATTCGATTCCATTCGAAGACCATTGCATTCGAGTCCATTCAATGATTCCATTTGATTGCATTCAATGATGATTCCATTTGAGTCCATTCGATGTTTCCATTCGAATCCATTTGATGATTATTTCAATTATATTCGATGATGATTCCATTCGAGTCCATTTGTTGTTTCCATTCAATTCCATTCGATGATGACTCCTTTTGGGTCCATTAGATGATTCCATTCGATTCCATTCGATGATGATTCCATTCGAGTCCATTCGATGATCCCATTTGATTCCATTTTATGATGTTTCCATTCGAGTACAATAGATGATTCCATTCGATGGTGTTTCTATTGCAGTCCTTTAGATGATTCCATTCAATTCCATTCGATGATGATTCCATTCTATTCAATTCTAAGGTGATTCCATTGGGATCCATTTGATGGTTACTTTGGTTACCATTCAATGATGATTTTGTTCTATTCCATTCAATGATGATTCCATTTGTGTCCAATAGATGATTCCATTTGTGTCCAATAGATGATGATTCCATTCTATTCCATTCGATAATGATTCCGTTCATGTAAATTAGATGATTCCATTCTATTCCATTCAATGATGATTCCATTAGATACCATTCTGTGATTACATTCGATTACATTCGATGTTGATTCCATTCGATTTCGTTCACTGTTTCTATTTGATTCCATTCGATGATGATTCCATTCGATTCCATTTGATGATTCCATTTAACTACATTTGATGTTGATTCCATTCGATTCTATTCTATGATTCCATTTGATTCCATTCGTTGATGATTCCATTCGAGTCCATTCGATTATTCCTTCTGATTCTATTCGATTATGATTCCATTTGAGTCCATTCAATGGTGATTAAATTTGATTCAATTCGATGATTCCATTCGATTCCATTCAATGCTGATTGCCTTCTATTCCATTCATTGATTCCATTCGATTCCATTCAAAGATGATTCCATTCGATTCCACTCCATCATTCCATTCGATTATATGCGATGATTCCAATGGATTCCATTTCATGATGATTCCTTTTGAGTCCATACAATGATGCCATTCAATTCCATTCGATGATGATTCCATTCGTGTGCATTCGATGATTCCAATCGATTCCATTCAATGATGATTCCATTCAAGTCCATCCGATGACTCTTTTCAATTCCATTCTATAATGATTCCGTTCGAGTCCATTTGATGATTCGATTCGAGTCCTTTCAATGATTGCATTCAATTCCATTCGAAGCTGATTCGGTTCGATTCCCTTTTGGTCCATTTGATAAATTCATTCAAGTCCAACTGATGATTCCATTCAATTCCATTCTATGATGATTCCGTATGATTCCATTTGACGATGATTCCATGTGATTCCATTCGATGATGATTCTTTCAGTAACATTTGATTATGATTCATTTCGAGATCATTCAACGATTCCAAATGATTCCATTCAATGATGATTCCATTCGAATCTATTTGATGATTCCATTCGATTCCCTTCGATTATGATTCCATTTGAGTTCGTTCGATGACTCTATTTGATTCCATTCAATGATAGTTCCGTTCTTGTCCAATCGATGATTCCATTCTATTCCAATAAATGATGATTCCATTCAAGTCCATTCCATGATTGCATTCGAGTCCATTCGATGATTCCATTCGACTCCATTCGATGATGAATCCATTCAAGTCCGTTCAATGATTGCATTAGATTCCATTCGAGGATGACTGCATTTGGTGTCTTTCGATGATTCCATTCAATTCCATATGCTGATTCCATTTGATTCCATGTGATGATGATTCCATTCGATTCCATTCCATGATTCCATTCGATTCCATTCGATGATGATTCCATTCAAGACCATTCAATGATTCCATTCTAGTACCTTCGTTGATTCCATCCAATTCCATTTGATGATGATTCTATTCGAGTCCTTTTGATGATTCCATTCGATTACATTCAATGAAGATTCCATTCGAGTCCATTAAATGATTCCATTCAATTCCATACATTGATGATTCCATTTGATTCCATTCGATGATTCTATTCTATTCCATTCAATAATGATTCCATTCGATTCTGTTCTATGATTGCATTTGATTTCATTTGATGATGAATCCATAGGAGTCCATTCGATGATTCCATAAGATTCCATTCAATGATGATTCCATTCAAGTCCATTCGATGGTTCCATTTGTTTCTATTTGATGATGATTCCATTGGATTTCATTCAATGATTCCATGCGATTCCATTCGTTGTTGATTCCATTCGATTCAATTCGATGATGATTCCATTCAATACCCTTCATTGATGATACCATTGGATTCCATTCGAAGATGATTTCAATCAACTCCATTCATTGATGATTCCGTTCGTTTCCATTCGATGATTCCATTTGATTCCATTCAAAGATGATTCCATTCGAGTACATTTGATGATTCCATTGGATTCCATTCAATGATTCCATTCTATTCCATTTAGTGATGATTCCATTCTATTCCATCCGATGATGATTTCATTAGATTCATTTCGATGATGATTCCATTTGAGGCCATTTGATGATTCCTTAAGAATCCATTCGATGATGATTCATTTCGAGTCCATTCGATGATTCCATTCGAGCCCCTTCGTTGATTCCATCAGATTCCATTTGATGATGATTCCATGAGAGTACAATCAATTATTCCATTCTATACCATTCTATGATTCAATTCGAGCAATTCAATTATTCCATTCGTGTTCATTCGATGATTCCATTTGATACCATTCGATGATGATTCCATTCAATTCCATTTGATGATTCCGTTCAATTCCACTTGATGATTCCCTTCGATTTCTTTCAATGATGATTCCATTCGATTCCCTTCAATGATTCCATTCGATTCTATTCGAGGATTCCATTCGATTCAATTCGATGATGATTCCAATAGAGTCCATTCGATGATTTCATTCGAGTCAATTCAGTGATTCCATTTGAGTCCATTTGATGATTCCATTCGATGCCATTCGATGATGCTTCCCCTAGATTCCATTTGATGATTCAATTCGAGTCCATTTGATAATTCCGTTCGACTCCATTCAATGATTATTCCATTTGATTTCATTCAATGGTTCCATTCGATTCCATTTGATGACTATTCCATTCAATTCTATTCGATGGCTCCATTTGATTCCATTTGATGATGTTTCCTTTCGATTCCATTCGATAATCAGGCATTCGATTCAATTCCATGATGATTCCATTTGATTCAATTCCATGATGTTTCCATTCGATTCCATTCGATGATGATTCCATCCGATTCCATTCGACCATGATTCCATTCGAGTCCATGCGATGATGAGTCCATATGAGTCCGTTCATTGATGATTCCATTCGATTTCTTACGATGCTTCTATTTGATTCCAATCAATGATTCCATCTGACTCCATTCGATGATTCCTTTCGAGTCCATTCAATGATGATTCCATTTGTTTCCATCTGATGATGATTTCATTTGATTCCATTCGATGATTCCATTCGATTCCATTCGATAGTGATTCCATTTGAATCCATTCGATGACTCCACGTGATTCCATTCGATGACTACATTCATTCCCATTCGATGACTCCATTCGATCCCATTCGATGAATCCCTTCAATTCCATTCGATGATCATTCCATTTGATTCAATTCTGTGATTCCATTCGATTCTATTAAATTATGATTCCATTAGACTCCATTCGATGATGATTCCATTCCTTTCCATGCGATTATGACTTAACTCAATTCCATTTGATTATGATTCCATTTGAGTCCAATCGATGTATACATTCGATTCCATTCTATGATGATTCCACTCAAGTCCACTCGATGATTCCATTCGAGTCCATTCAATGATGCCATTAGATTCCATTCGATCATGATTCCATTGGATGCAATTCGATGACTCAATTCGATACCATTCAACGATGATTCCATTTGTGTCCATTCGATCATTCCATTCGATTCCATTTGATGGTCATTCCATTCGAGTCCATTCATTGATTCCATTCAATTCCATTTGATGATGATTCCATTCTAATCCATTTGATGATTCCATTCGATTCCATTCGATGATGATTGCATTTGGTTCAATCTGATGATGATTCCAAAGGATCCCATTCAATTTCTCCATTTCATTCCATTCGTTGATGATTCCATTCGTTTCCATTAAATGATGATTCCATTAGATTCCATTCGATGATGATTCCATTCAATTCCATTCAACGACGATTCCATTCAATTCCATTCAATGATGATTCCATTCGATTTCATTCGATGATTCCATTTGATTCCATTCAATGATGATTCCATTAGGGTCCATTCGATGATTCCATTCTATTCCATTCGATGATGATTCCATTCGAGTGCATTCAATGATTCCATTCAAGTCCATTCAATGATTCATTTCAATTCAATTCCATGATGATTCCATTTGAGTGCATTCGATGATTCCATTCGATTCCACTGAAAGATAACTCCATTCATGTCGATTAGATGATTCCATTTGGTTCCATGCGATGATGATTCCATGGAGTCCTTTAGATGATACCATTTGATTCCATTCGATGCTGACTGCATTCAGTTCCATTCGATGATGATTCCAAAGACTCCATTCGATGACTCAGTTAGACTCCATTCATTGATGATCCCATTCGATTCCATTCGATGATTATTCTATTCAATTCCATTCCATGATGATTCCATTCGATTCCATTCGATCATGATTCCATTCGATTCCATTCCATGATGATTCCTTTCGATTCCATTCGTGTCAATTCATTGATGATTCCATTCGTGTCCATTCGATGATTCCATTTGAGTCCCTTCATTGATTCCATCCGATACCATTTGATGATGAATCCATTCGATTCCAATCGATTATTCCGTTCGATTCCATTTGATGATTTCATTCAAGTCCATTCGGTTATTCCATTCGAGTCTATTCGATGATTCCATTCGATTCCATTCGATGATTATTCCATTCAATTCCATTAGATGATTCCGTTAGATTCCATTTGATGATTCCTTTTGATTTCTTTCGATGATGATTCCATTATATTCCATTCGATGATACCATTCCATTTGATTCGATGATGATTCCTTTCGATTCCATTCGATGATGATTCCATTCAATTCCATTCGATGATGACTGCATTCGGTTCAATTCGATGAAGAATCCAACGGATTCCATTCGATTTCTCCATTCGATTGAATTCGTTGATGATTCCATTCGATTCCATTAGATGATAATTCCATTCGACTCCATTCCATGATGATTCCTTTCGATTCCATTCTATGATGTTTCCATTAGACTCCATTCGATGATGATTTCTTTCGATTTCATTCGATGATTCCATTCGATTCCATTCGATAATGATTCCATTCATGTCCATTCGATTTTTCCATTTGATTCCATTCCATGATGATTCCATTAGAGTCCATTCAATGATTCCTTTCAAGTCCATTCGATGTTTTCTTTTGATTACATTTGATGATGATTCCATTCGAGTCCATTCTATGATTCCATTCAATTCCGTTCGATGATTATTCCATTCGTGTCCATTCCATGATTTCATTCGATTCCACTTGATGATTTCTTTCGAGTCCATTCAATGATTCCATTTGATTTCATTCAATGATGATTCCATTCAATTCCGTTTGATGATTCCATTCGATTCCATTCCATGATGATTCCATTCGAGTCCATGTGAAGAATCTATTCGATTCCATTTTATAATGATTCCTTTCGAGTCCATTTTATGATTTGGTTTGATTCCTTTTGATGATTCCATTCAATTTCACTCAATGATTATTCCTTTTGATTCCATTTGATGACGATTCCATTCAATACAATTTGATGATGACTGCATTCCGTTCAATTTGATGAAGATTCCAACGGATTCCATTCGATTTCTCCATTCAGTTGAATTCGTTGATGATTCCATTTGATTCCATTAGATGATAATTCCATTCGACTCCATTTGATGATAATTCCTTTCGATTCCATTCAATGATGTTTCCATTTTACTCCATTCGATGATGAATCCATTCGATTTCATTCGATTATTCCATTCGATTCCATTCGACGATGATTCCATTCATGTCCATTCGATTACTCCATTCGATTCCATTCCATGATGATTCCATTCGAGTCCATTCAATGATTCCATTCAAGTCCATTCGATGTTTCCTTTCGATTCCATTTTATGATGATTCCATTCGAGTCCTTTCAATGATTCCATTCGATTCCATTTGATGATGATTCCATTCGTGTCCATTCCATGATTTCATTCGATTCCACTTGATGATTTCTTTCGAGTCCATTCAATGTTTCCATTTGATTTCATTCAATGATGATTCCATTCAATTCCGTTCAATGATTCCATTCGATTCTATTCCATGGTGATTCCATTCGAGTCCATGCAAAGAATCTATTCGATTCCATACTGTAATGATTCCTTTTGAGTCCATTTTATGATTTGATTTGACTCCTTTTGATGATTCTATTCGATTCCATTCAATCATGATTCCTTTCGATTCCCTTCGTTGATGATTACATTAGATTATATTTGATGATGTTTCCATTTGACTCCTTTCGATGATTATTGCATTCGATTCCATTCGATGATTCCATTCCATTCCATTTGATGATGATTCCATTCGAGTTCATGTGATGATTCCATTCGATTCTGTTTGATGATGATTTCATTCGAGTCCATTCGATGATTTCATTCAATTCCACTCGATGATGATTGCTTTCGAGTCCATTCGATGATTCCATTCGAGTGCATTCAATAATTCCATTCGATTCCATTTAATGATGATGCAATTTGAGGCCATTCAAAGTTTCCATTCAAGTCCATTCAGTGATTCCCTGTGATTACATTTGATGTGGACTCCATTCTAGTTAATTAGGTGATTCCATTAGATTCCATTTGATGATGATTCCATTCGAGTCCATTCAAAGATTCCTTTTGAGTCCGTTCGATGATTCCATTCGATTCCACTTGATGATGATTCCTTTCGAGTCCATTCAATGATTCCTTTCGAGTGCCTTCAATGATTCCATTCAATTCCATTCGATGATGATTCCATTTGAATCCATTCAGTGATTCCATTCTGTAGCATTTGATGATTCCATTCTGTTTCATTCGATGATGATTCCATTCGAGTACATTTGATGATTCCAGTTGATTCCATTCTAGGATGATTCCATTCGAGTCCATTCAATGATTCCATTCAACTCCATTCCACGGTGATTCCATTAGATCCAATTCAATGATGATTCCATTCTATTCTTTTCGATGATGATTCCATTCGAGTCCATTCAATGATTCCTTTTGATTCCATTTGATGGCGATTCCATTCGATTCCATTTGATGATTCCATTTGATTCCATTCGATGATGATTCCATTCGGTTCCCTTCGATGATTCCATTCAAGTACATTCGATGATTCCACTGCATTCCATTCGATGATTATTCCATTAGAATCCGTTCGTTGATTCCTTTAGATTTAACTTGCAGATGATTCCTTTCAATTCCATTCCATGATACCTTTCGATTCAATTCGTTGGTGATTCCATTCGATTCCATTTGATGATTCCATTCGATTCCATTTGATGATGATTCCATTCGATTCCTTTTGATGATTCCATATGATTCAATTCGACGATGTTTCCATTCGTGTCCATTTGATGATTCCATTCTTTTCCATTCGATGATGATTCTATTCGAGTATATTCAATGATTCCATTTGAATCCATTTGATGATGATTCCACTCGAGTCCATTCGAGGATTCCATTTGATCCCATTCATTGATGATTACATTCGATTCCAATCTATGATTCCATTCAATTCCATTTGATGATTCCATTCAAGTACATTCAATGATTCCACTCAATTCCATTAGATGATTATTCCATTAGAGTACATTTGGTGATTCCTGTGGATTCCACATGAAAGTGGCTCCATTCGATTCCATTCGATGATACCATTCGATTCCCTTCATTGGTGATTCCATTCAATTCCATTCAATGATTCCATTCCATTCCAGAGGAACAATTACAATATAATATTGTGAACATGTAAACTTACACCCTATGTCTATTTTATGTATAAGCGTATATGATTAAAAATATAGTTAAGAATTTTTAAAACTAGTATTATAAAGTAAATATTAGTTAACTTCTGGTGACTATTTGTTAATTAAGATAAAATTATTTTGATTTTGGTGATTTTAAATAAAAAAAATAAAATTACATGAAAAAAATTCTTTAAAAAATGTTTATGACTTTAACATTGGTTTTATGACTTTATTCCACTATTTTATTTTAAGATAACCTGCCTTGTTTAAAACACTGTATTCATCTTAATTAAATTAAATTCCATTTGTAAAAAAATTAACCAATGATTTGCTCTATTGTACAGTGCGGTTATAACCTGAGTCAGTATCTCAAGATTTGATCCTCATTATCATCATCTGTGGGCCTATTTGTTTTACAAATGTATTCTCTTTTTCCATGCCTGTCACATCTCCATTGCTCTTTCATTTTTCTCTTTGTCCCTTATAGGGAGCATTGCCTATCTCGAGATTAAGCAAAAGTTGCATCTTTAAAAAGCACAATAACCTGCTCAATCTTTCTCACACAGAGAAATGTTTGTTAAGTAATTAAAGTGTAGATGATGATACAAAGAGCTTGATTAAATTAGATGCCAAAGTACCCTTGTGATTCAGAAAATGAATGGTATTTAATTTCTTTGAAATCATTAATTACTGAGTGACATTAATTAATGCCAATATTCCAGAAGTTGTTCTAGTTAGTGAAATGTATACAACATGCAAAAGATTCAAAACTCTGAAGGGCAACATTATTATATAATAAAGAAGAATTAATTCACATTAACTATTGGGGAGAAATAATTATTAAGAATTAATGACTGAGAAAATGTTTTTATTTTTTATTTAGAAAATTATTTGTTGCATGAACATTACTGCAAATTTTGCAAGAAATATAAATTTAAAGAAACAATTATGTGCACAAGATGAATTTAATAACATCTTGATATTTTCCACGATTAGAGTTTTATTTGGTAAATCTTTAAATGCACATCATCTAAAGACAATAAATGAATCTTGGAAATGTTGTAGGTAAGGGTAAATATTAGGATGCATCCAGTTACATTTACACACACATACAGTTACCTTTACATGCACATACATGCATACAGACTGATACACGTGTGTATATATACATAAAATTTACTAATTGATTTTAACTAATATTTATAAGAGCCACTTGGATTTATATATATTGTTGAACCTGAAAAATATTTATTATATACATGCTTAAAATATACACAGAAACAAATAGTAATTGCACTAGGCATTTGAAACTGTACTAAAATATAAGCTGTGAACATTTTGTGATCCTTACAAATTCTTACACTTAATAAATATTTTTATTTTTACAATATTAATATGTTTGATACCTGTGTACATTTTTTACAGTGTGTTATTTTATTTTTGTCATAGAGTCATGTCATGCATAATAACATTTCAGTCAAAGATGGATTACATATACAAAAGTGGCCCCATGAGATTATAATACATATTTTTACATACTTTTCTACGTTTAAGTATGTTTACATACATAACCTATTACCACTGTGTTCTTACTGCCTGCAGTATTCAGTAGAGTAATGTAGTACACAGCTTTGTAGCCTGGGAAAGAGAGGCTATGCCATAAAACCTAGACGTGGTAGGCTGTACAATCTAGGTGTTTGTAATAGTCTCTGTGATGTTTGCAAAATGATGAAATTGCCTATGGATACATCTGTCAGAACGTATACCTATCATTCAGTGATGTGTGACTGTAATAAAATGCTAAAGGTAGGTTTCAATGCCTTCCATAAAATTGTTGTACGGTGAAATACAAATCTCTCACCCATGGCCTGAATATGTTTGCTAACTAAGCAGATCATGGGAAGGAGAATGTGCTGGCATCACTGGGATGATTTTCTCACACTACATGAATAATATCTACAGACTTCGTGAATATGAGCCAGTTGCATAGAGTTAAAGTAGGCATGTCTTTGCTGGGAAATTTATCAAATGGGAGTATGAAGTATTTTTAAAAGATACTTGTTTGTTTGTAGCTGGTAGGCCTACTGTGGCTCATGGCAATGGTTGAGGTTGCTAAGATTTGGTGGCAGAAGGCAAAATGAAATGGCCACTTATATGGTATGTGGTATATGGATCACTTGTTTCTGTTGAGTTACAGACTCAGCTGGCTATTTCTCCCAATGTTAGTTATTTGGAGAAAAAAAACGTCATGGTAATTTTGGGGTAACATATACAATATTTGATGAAAGCAAATTTATTGAGGGTTAGAGAAACTACAGGATACTTTAGGCTGCAAAGTCAACACGAGACTTCTGGTCCAAATTGTGCAGAGTTTGTGTCCAGCTGCAAAGTTCAAAGGAAGAGGCCATATAAGACGATTCTCACTTCTGACACCAACTGCCAGTTCAGGGGTTTCCCCTGAACACCCTCAGTTTCAAGAATTTACTAGGAAGACTCACAGAACTCATTGAATGCCATTGTACTCATGGTTTATAATAGAGAAAAGGTAGAAATTAGGACCAATTGAAGAGACATGTCATATAAGGTGGAATCTAGGAGATTTTGAATGTTAAGTTTCCATTGTCATCAGGACATATTACCTGTCATTGTTGTACAGCAATAAACATGGAGTACTACCAACCTTGGGAGCTCACCTGATGCTAAAAAGACACTATTTAGAAAATGAAAAGACAAATGAAAGGATGAGATAAGATGACCTTCCAAATTAAAACACTGGAGAGAATAACAAACTAAACCTAAAGCAAGCAGAAGGAAGAAAATAAAAATTAGAGAAATTAATAATTTATAATAATAATATTTGTTAGTGTTGAATAATTGCTATTAATGCTTGACTAGCTTTTTTAAAAGAGAGAAATATTCACTGCCCAATTTATTCTTTGGGGCCAGTGTTACCTTGACACAAAAAATAGTCCAAATAGCATAGAAAAATAAAAATACTATAAGTATAAATGCAAAATTCCTAAAAAAAATACTAACAAATCAAATCTAGCAACATATAAAAGAATTATACACTATGACAAAGTGAAATTTATACAAGTAATCCCAGGGTGGTTTAACAGCCCAAAATCCATTAAGGTAATACATCTTATCCATAGAATAAGAAACGAGAATTGCATGATCATCTCGATTGATGATTCTGAAAAGACTTTTAACAAAATCCAAATGCTTTAATGATTAAAAATAAAAATTAAAACACAATGACCCAGGAATAGAGAACTTTCTACACCAGATACATGGCACCTGTGAAAAGACAACAGCAAGCATGCAACTTAATGGTAAAGGATGCTTTCCTGCCATGGTCAGAGATAAGACTAGTATATATAATTTGACCTCTTCTAGTCAACACTGTGCTAAAGATTTTATGCAGGGCAAATCGGCAACTAAAAAAATAAGAGTCATCCATATTGAACAGGAAGAAATAAAACTTTATTTGAAAATAACATTCTTGTATAGAGAAAATTTTAAGGAATCCACTGAACGATAGAACTAGTAAATTATTTCAGCAATATTACAGCATACAAGATAAATGTACAAAAATCAATTGCACACATCTACAATGAAAACCCCAAAATGAAATTAAGAAAACACTTCAATTTAAAATAGCATCAAAAAAAGAAATAATAATTAATTAGGAAAATGGGATACAAGAGTTTACTCTGAAAACTAAAAATTATTGTTTAAAGAATATCTAAATAATTAGCAAACATCTTACAGCCATGAATTGGAAGATTTAACATTGTAGTACTTTACAATTTGAACTACAGATTTGATGAAATCCCTGCAAGTATCCCAGGGATTCTTGTCTAGAACCTGACAAGCTGATTCTAAAATACACATGGAATAGTCAGGAACTCAAAATAGCAAAAATAATCTTGAAAAAAGAAAACATATTAGGATAATTCACAGCCCCATGCTCCAAACCTTACTGCAAAGTATCAGTAATCAAGACAACAGAATACTGATGAAGGAAAAATATATAAATTGATGGAAGAGAATTCAGAGTCCATATATAAAACTATGTGTCTATAGTCAATGGATTCTTACAGTGGTGCCATGTGCAATTCAATGAGGAAGAGACAGTCTTTGAACAAACTAGGTCAACAACGTACACGTGGATCACCACTTGCAAAATAATAAATTGGAACCCTTACCCCAAAGCATACAAAAATATTAACTCAAATGAATTAAAGACACTCATGCGAGAGCTAGAATAAAGTGAATGGGAAATTCTTCAGTATTTTGGATCTAGCAAAGGAATAGCTGTAACACCAAAAACACGAGAAACAAAATAAAAATTCGATATTTAAAATTTCTTAAAAATTATAGATATTGGTGTTTCAAAGGACAACCAAGCAAGTCAAAAGACAGCTCAGAAATTTTGAGAAGATAGTTGAAAAACACGAAACTATATGTCTGTATATATAAGTATCTTGAATATAGAAAAATTGTTTTAACTCAGTAACAAATATCCCAACTCAAAACTGATAAATGATAGGAATAGATGTGTTTCCCAAGAACATACACGAACGGTCAATAATCCCATAAAAAGATACTCAATAGCATCACTCATCAGGAAACTACAAATCAAAACCACAGTTAGATACTCTATGGCTAGAACTGGCCACTTTGGAAAATAATGTGATGGCTTCTAAATATTTTAAACATAGAATTGTCATATGACCCAGAAATTTATTCCAAGGTATACACACAGATTATTGGAAAGAGGTGTTCAAACACAAATTGTACACAAGTATTTTTAGGAGCAGTATTTAAAATAGCCAAAGGCTGAACACAACTCAAAAGTTAATAAAAATATTATTGGATAAACAAAATTTTTTATCCATGAAATTGAATATTATAGAGTTATAAAAAGAAATAAAGTACCGATTCGTGCTTGAACCTTGACAGCATTATGCCAACTGAATGAAGCTAGGCAGAAAAGACCACCTATTGTATGATTCTATTTAGATGAAAACAGAATAGGAAAATTTATAGAGACAGAAAACAGATTTGTGGTTGCTTAGGATTGAGTAGGGGATGGGTGTATAGGAGGTTAACAGCTAGAGAAGGTGGGGTTTCTTTTTGAAGTGATGAAAATGCTCTAAAATTCTTTGTGATGATGGCGCCACTTATCTGTGCATATACTAAAAGCCACTGACTTGTAGACTTGAATGTGTGCACTCTACACTATGTAAATTATATCTCAATAAATCCTTTCAGAAATACACAGAAGAGTAAGGGGTTTTGGAATGTTGCAGCTGGGAGGCAGTTTGAAATACTGAATAGGCCTCATCGAGAATGTGAAGTTTCAGTAAAGACTTGAGAAAGTTGAATGAGCTGACCAATGGATATATGGAGGGCTATCTTTCCAAGGCAAGAAATTAACTAGAGTCTTGGTCATATAGCAGCAACCTGTTGGCATGTCCAGAGGACAGTGAGGTGGCCAGGACCACTGGTAAGACCAAGGGGGAAGATATAAAAGAATTTTGGCAGTTAACATGCGGCAGATCATGATGGGCTTGCAGACCGTTGTAAGAATTGTATTTTTTAGTGTACATGAAATGGAGAGACAAGTCATTATCCCATTATCAATATTTTAATAAATTGGATCCATGAACCAAATCCAATGAGATTAAATCAATTAATAATAATATGCAAATTCGTATTAAAATTACAAGAATTACTTGCACATTTGAGAACAGGAGAGTCATGATTGTTTATCAGCAATAATAAACATTATTAATTTTAATTGTGATCAGCTAATTGAGATTAGTTGCAATGCATCATGCTTTATAATGTGACTGTCAAAAAGAAAATATGATTGTAATCTTATACTACATCTATCAATGTCTTTGATTCATAAGCCCATAGAGTAAGCCCCTAGTATTCAAATCCAACTTATGAGGCAGTGACATCTTATGCAAGTTTGCTGCTTTCTGCCACAGTGATCCTTGGTCAGCTGGCACAAATTGTTTTACAAAAGCCCCTAGGTCTAAAAATAGTTTGGATCACAATGAACACAGAAACACCTTCATCCCTTCAGAAATACCTATCAATTACTTCCAATACAGAAAGAAAAATTGACAAAGGAAATATGTAGATTGTAAAAATGCCAGTTAGCTTCCATCTACATGAAAGAAAAATGCCATTTTTATTACATTAGATCATTGTTTTACATGAGTTTTGGCATAGCACATTGTTGAACCAAGGGCAAAGAGAGATGAATTAATGAAGTCTTAAGATATCAAGAATTTGAAAGAAAAGGCAGGTCATCTTTGAAGGTTAGTGACATAGCATTCATCTTCTGTTGTCACCTTTTCCATCATTCCCTGTATGCCTGATGGACAGGTTTCACTCAAGTTCAGAGAACAGCATGCGAAGTTAGCTACCAATTAATCTTTATGAACTGAGCTGCATTTCTAGCCAGACTGAGCTTACGTTTTAGCAGGAAGCATTTTTGGGAAATGTTTATGTTAGAGTTTGCCCTTCTTGACAAGGTGAGACATGAATGTCTCCTTTAGAGACATGAATTAAGATGGGAAGATATTTGGGGGAATCATTTACTCAAACGCTAAATAATAAAGGTACACAAAGGGCAAATTATACTAGATTTATTTCCCAGTTGTTTTCTATGTCTCATGCAATTCACCTTGATTCCCTTCAATTTCTGTTTAATGTAAAAAGTGGCATTTTCATTATTTTAAGCTTCTAGCACAATGAAAGAATTTCTCTTTTTCATGAACAGGATCATAAATGAAAGGGAGGAAGTGTGTCCTATATCATATATACTGTTCAACAAAACACTGCTCCACGGCTTAAATTCAGTTTAAAAAAGAGAATTTATTGAACATCTAACACATACATAAAAGGCAGTAAAGACAAATGAGAAGAGGGCAGGATATTGAAGTATACAGACTTCAATGCTGAGTTTTATATCTTAGGAAGTTGCTCCACATTACAGAGGCTCAATTTCCCCTTATTTAGGAAGGCGATGCTAATGGGTATTGCATAGGTGTAAGTATAAAAATGTTGTATTTAAGAGAAACCTACCAGCTTGGTATAGTGCAGAAAATAAATAGATGTGACGTGAATAAGTAGTTTATTACATTTGTATGCTACCTGCGGACTAGAGGAAGCAAGAAACACAGCCACTATGCTTGATTAGCATTATAGAGATGGTACAATGATGGTTGCCAGAAGCTGGGGGGAGGAAGAAATGGGGAAGTATTGTTTAATGTGTATAGAGTTTCAGTTTTACAAGATGAAACGAATTATGGAATTGGATCGTAGGGACGGCTGCAGAATATTATGACTATATTTAGTACCACTGAACTGTACACATAAAATGGTTGACAGTACGTTTTATGTTATGTGTATTTTACCACAATAAAAAAATAAAATACCTTAGGAATATTTTCATGGAAAAGCCCACATAAAATTCATATGAATGCACATGTTTATGCATAGCTTTCTATTTTTCTCTTTTCTCTTCATATTCCAAATTCTAATTAGAGAAGGGAATCCCCTCTGTACCTCCAGGATATTCAGTAAAGACCACTGGAGGTTCATGCCTTAGTGACAGTGCTCATTTAGCTCCAAATGACCGATGGCTCTATACTAACTCCACAAAGTTTAAAGAGAAGATTTAAAACAACAACAGACAAATACTCATCCTGAAGTTACTGAACTGCCTGCCACAACATTGTTCAAAGTTAGCCAATGAAATCAGATATTCAATAGCATAACATCAAAATACCCCAAAAAAAACTCTGACATGCAAAGAAGCCGTAAGATATATATAATTAAGATATATATTAACAGGAAAAAAATAAGTCATTTATAAATGACGGAAAAGAAGGAAATTTAAAGGTCCTTAAAGTAAATATATTTTATAAATACATATAGATAAATACATATATATGTCAAGATACTTAAAAGAAAATTGAACCTAGGAGAAAAATAGAAGTTATAAAATGAGAAATGTGACATGTATAGATGAAAAATAAATATTTGAAATAAAAATTCCATGAGATAGAATAAGTAATGGATTTTACCCTAACATCAGAAAATTTATAGAAAATATAGAAGCTTTACAAACTAAAGGACAAAGGGTAAACTAAAATAAGAAAGCCAGAAACTCACTGATACCTCAGCCAATATGCAGCAGTGTAACATACATGTAATTAATATCTCAAAAAGGATGGGTGGGGGAATTATAGGTGAATAAAGAATGGTACACTCATTCCTGAGGGCACCAAGGAGGGAGGATAGCTTTAGATTTCTAAAGGAGGGTATTATCCATTCATGAAGGTCCAACCCCATGAACAAACACCTCCCAGGAAGCCCCACCTGCAACATTGGGGATCAAATTTTAACATGAGATTGGAAGGGGCAAGCATTCAAACCATAGCAAGAGTTAAATTTCCTTTTTAAAAAAATCACTGATATGATTCCATTTCACTATACATAAAAGCCAGTATTTCAGCCTACCATTGAGTGTGCTTATAGCTCACAAAAAGGGCACTCTGTCTCGGGAATACAGATTTGCCTAGAGGTATCCTATTGCAGTCAAACAAAGAGCAATGAGGGATAGAAAATGTTAGTGATGGAGACACCAGCGCTGCTTTTTGCAAGAAACAAAGTAAAAATTTTATGGATTGGTTCCGCTAAGTTACTACAGTTTACATTCCTCTCAGGTGGAAGAATTGTTGCGTTTTTTCTCAAGATAGAAAAGCAATTCAGATAATCTGAAATCTCCACAAGAAGGATACGAAGCACAGCAGAAAGTATTCTAGGCAGGAAGTCAATCCTTTCAACTGTCTGTGCTCCATAGAAACAATTGTCTGCACTGGGAGTCATATGTGGTACAGACAACAGCCAGACCTCTGATCCTCTCATTAGTGATTTCAGAAGAAATTACCAGTCAACTGAGTAATTCACTGAGTAAAGTAAACATTTGGCACTGAAAGAGGTTAGACGGATAACTATTTGTATCACCATATTCATGAAGCTGGAATATTTTCCATTACTGGTATCACATCTGAATGGAAGATGTTGAAAGGTCTCTCATCTTGTAAGATGGATATGAAAGAATATTTTCTGAGAAATGAAATTATTAACACACCTGCGAGGTGGATGGAAGAGAAAAAAAGAATAATCAGCTTGAGTTCTTCTCCTTGATAAGACAACTCACTAAAAACATAAAGATAAAAATACAAGTTTAAAATAATTAACCAGGAGAAGTCGACTCTAGAGATTTTAAATTGCTGATAAGATTTTAATTTGCTCCAAGTTGAAAATAATTATATTGCTTGTGTTTTAAGGCACATAATGAGCAATTATATCACACATGATAGTTTCAGCAGTAAAATATGATCCGTTAACAGCTGGAACTCATAAAAGCATAGCACAATGTGAAGATGGAATTTGCTAAAATAAACCATCCGCTGAAAACTACTATTCTGCAAATTTAAAAATAAAGTTTAAATGTTATTTGTCTTATTTAGTAGGTCTGTGAAAAAAATGCACTCTTTGAAAAGTAGCTGCTACCTTAATTCTTTATATTAGACGGCTGGTTACAGTAATGCACAGTAAGGTGCTACATAGATATATTGCTAAATTTTCTGCATATACTATGTATTTGGCTTAAATTATTTGAAATTTTATAGTTAAAATAACAAATGTATATTTAAATGTTTTGACACAAATTGCAAATATACCTTTAAAAAGCGTCTTACACTCTAAATATTATTTGTCACCTATATATTTGTCTTTTCTCTATAGGAAAGTTTAAATTTTTCCCTTGAAGCTTTAATTATTTGAGTCTATAAAACAAACTGATAATGTACAAATTAACAGAAAAAAAGGTTTACAGATATGTGCACAAGTGTGCACTTGGAGTTCACATAATATATAGAAATATATCTATACAAATAATAGTATATTATACACAGATGTACAAATATATACTATACATATAAAAACTCCAGGAAAGGCAAGGTAGTCAACACGCCTATGCTGTCTTGAAGTTACAGAAAACACAGAGCTGTAGGTTGGTAAATCAGGCTTTGCGGAAGAAAGGTGATGACAAGGAAGAAAGAGGAGCCTGGCAGCAGAGGTGGGCTTGTTACATGGATGAAACCTCACAGGGAGCAGCCCTCCTCTTGGGAAGTATAGATAGGAAAAGGTTTTTAAAAATGTAAACGTGCCAGGCTCACTTAATCTTTCCTAAATCCAGACAAGGGAGTATCTCAGGGAAAGCCTGTCTATATCAATGCAGATTTTCTCTACAAATGCAAATCTCCCCAATAAACCAGCTATTCTTGTAGAAGAAGCTATCTCCAGTCTTCCGAGTAGCCATCTTGAAATATGTCAAAAAGCTGGCCAGGCGCACGCCTGTAATCCAAGCACTTTAGGAGGCTGAAGTGGGAAGATCACCTGAAGTCAGGAGTTGGAGACCAGCCTGACCAACATGGTGAAACCACGTCTCTACTAAATCCAAAAAATTAGCCTAGTGTGGTGGTGCATGCCTGTAATCTCAGCTACTTGGGAGGCTGAGCTAGGAGAATTACTTGACCCTGGGAGGCTGAGGTTGCAGTGAGCCAAGATTGTGCCATTGCACTCTAGCCTGGGCAAAAAGAGCAAAACTCCATCTCAAAAAAAATGTATTTTAGGGTAATCTTTTGAGTATCTTTACCTCCATATGTACAATAAATATTATTGTGCTTTTTAATCTTTTCTGTGGAGAAAACACAGGTGTGATTTCTAGTGTAGCTGAACATCGTTTATTTGACAATATTGCACTTGCGTGTGGGTGTGTGCGTGTGTAGCTACTCTTTAATTGTGTTCTCACATAATGATTAGGTATTAACAATTAATTCAGTCAAATGTATATTTTGCAATATTTCTCCATGTTATCATGCTTTAAATTAGTTTAATCATGCCCCTATAATGTGTACATTTTAACCTTTGACTACAGGTCTCAATCTTACTTTGGTTCCTCTATTTGAATTTATGCTAATAAAGTCCTACACCTAAAAAAGATTATATAAACTTATCTACATTTTTACTAGTATTCTGGTGTCATTTTAAATTATGTAATGAAATCAAATTTTAATTTGCATTATTGTTATCTGAGTTAAGGATCTAAATTTTTAATTTTCTTATAAATATTACATAATTATTTCTGAACCATATATTGACTAATCTGCCCTTTATATGATGTGCATTATAAGAGCTTGGGATTGTTTCATTTGCAAAGATGAATGCTTGAGAAGTAGATATTAAATCATAACATTTCAAAATCTACTGGATAACCTAGAATTGAAAAATAGCCTATAGGTTGAAAAACTCCTGTAGTGAAGAAAGAAAATAACTAATATACAGTGACAATATAAATATTATAAGTATTTATTTTCTTATCGCCCTGAAATTTGATAATACAAACATGTAATATCTACATAACATCCATATATCAGGTCATAAAAAATCAATACATTCTTCAAAAATTTAGCATAACAGAAAATGCACTCTCTCTCCTTGATGGAATTAAATTACAAATAAAAGTAAAAATAAGTAGATAAGTAGATGGAAGTAGATGTTTAAAAACAAAGAAAAGTATTTGTTTTGGATAACATGAAATCTCAATTGACAATTCCAATATTTCCAGAACTTTGGCTGTCAACTGGTGGAGAGTTTTCCCCAGGAGACATTTGTCAATGTCTAGGGTTATTGTGGGGATGTCAAGACTGGTGGAGGTGTGAAATTTAGAGGTCGAACGAAACACCTAGCATTGCTAGGGCAGCCTCCCACAACAAAGAATCCTCCGGTCCTAAAGGTAAGTAGCACCAAGGTTGAGAAACCATAATCTAGGCAGTAAACACTACGTAGCTATTCCAAGTGCTCAGGAAAACACATAAGTGCCCTCGAGGGGAAAAGTGTAAACATTTTAATTGCTGTACATGATGACACAAATCCATGTTGTTAATGTAAGTGGAAGGGGCTGAAGCACAAAACATAATTCAAAGAGTTTACTTGAGCCACAATGAGGACAGCTGCCTGGAAGAAACAGACCCAAGTATACTTGGATATGAACTCCCTTTGGAGCTTTGCAACAAGCAGATCCTTAAAGGCAAAAAGGGGTCCAGAAGTGGGACGATGCAAACAGGTTTGTCACAAATTCTCATTGGCTTATGGAAATAACATTTATTAGTGACTGGCTATACACTGTTACACTATTATTGGGTGTGGAATATAGTATCTGGTGTGGCGTTATTGGTTAATTTATAGCTACTGTGGCAACAGCAAGCAGCCTAGATTAACACACAGCTCAAAGCGGAGCAGGACAGAACTGCTGTCTCATTTGAATATCTCTCTGGGCCTGATTATTTAAAAGGACTTGCATTTCTCACATGAAAGTTATTTTCTTTTCTCAATACCCATAAATGAGAGTAAACAGACATAAAATAGATCTTTTCCAGGATGAAGTAAATGGAATGAAAACCAAAACCCAAGCTGACCAGAAATCATAGAGGGAAGAAAAGGTTATAAATATATGGCTTTGTCAAAGTGATTTTAAGTATTAGGAATCAGTTAAATGTTGGGGGATTTTGTCTGAGAATGGGCTAAAGGAGAATGTCCCTTTAGCCTCTGAAGCTTCCCTGAAAATCACTATTAGGAGGCAGACAAATAATAGAAAAGGCATACAGGTTTCTGCAATGTGTGTACACTGGAGCCCTTAGAACGAAGACCCAGACACACGATGCGTGCAGAAGCTTATCTACCACATGAAGTTTACAGAAAGAATGGGGTCTTGGATCACAGGGAAAAAAAAAAGGTTATGTGAGAAAACGACCCTGGCTAGCAAAAGTGGACTTATTACATAGGTGGAAACTCACGGGGAGCAGTCCTCAGAGAGAATAGACAGAAAATGTTTCTTTCAGACCTTTGGAGACCTCAGACTCTCAGTTAAGCTTTCCTAGATCCAGACAAGGGGGCAGACCTCAGAGAAAGCCTGGCTGCATCAAGGCAGATTCTCTACTGATGCAAATCTCCCCAAGACAGCTTTGCAGCTAAGTTTGCATTTCCAGCCCTTCTCAATAGCCATTTTGAAATTTATCAAGGAAATATATTTAGGGGTAAAATATATTAGTTTCCTTCATACAGCTGTAAAACATACAAGAATAATTTTTGTCAATGTCTACTACAAATCCATTATAGCCGTAATTATAAAACCCACCAGATATTGAAGAAAAAATATGTAGAGTACATCAATTAAAAATGTTGATACTAAAATGTCAAATAAAATTAAAATAATATCCAATAATGTTTGAAACAGTAAGACAATAAATTGGCAAAAAAAAAAAATAAAACAAATATCCGCCTTGGGGATGAAAGTGTGTTTCCAAATTTGGTAATCCAATAATATTAATAATCACATTGATTAGTCCAAATTAAAAATAAATAGGGGATTCTCAGTACATGCTAAAATATATTTGTTAAAAGGCAATATTCATGTCTTTAAGGATTTTAAATGCTATAAAGAGTCTGATATTCTATATGCAAACATGAGTATGTCCATTAGAAGAAGAGAGGCCTGATTTTCATGTTACTACATGGAGATAGATAAGTGGATAGATTAATTTGCATATGCATAGAAAAAGCATAAAATAGAAATTTAATATCATATTAAAGGAAATTTAATTCAACAATAAAATAATTCAAGGTAAAATTTTAAATATTTTTAACAGGTACATTATTAATATTAGATAATATTTATAATTGTGCAAATATTCAATGCTAAAATAAGACACAAGATCTAAACTTCAGTATTAAAACTAGTATAAATATTTGCTTGCTTATACAAGGAAAATTGAAGCTCAACCTAAAATTATATAGGAAATAAAGGAAAAATTTTAAGGGAGCTCTTTAATAACATAAACATATATATATATATACACACACACACACATATATTATGTATATATGTTATATGGGATAGATATAGATTTAACATGTTATATCTATATTTGTATCTATAACTACAGCTGTATGTATCTACATTTCTATATATTTACTCAGTGATATAAATATAGACTGGAATAAATATAAAGACACATATGATTCTTGGATAAAAAGGATTTAGTATCATAAAGACAAATTCTTTCCAAATTCACTTATGAATTCACAACAATATAAAGTTTCATTAGTATAATTTAAAATTTTTAAATAAATTCCAAGATTCATTTAAAGGAATATACATGTATACAAGCAGTCAAGAAAGAAGCAAGAGTGCACTAAACTAACTTGTTATTAAAATACATTTTTAAACTTAGTAACTAAAACTGAGTAGTACTGATTTGGAGTACTGGAATTTAGGTATATGGGATCTCAAAAGCACAGAGCTCAAAGGAGACCCCTGTATGCACGAGAGCTTAGGATGTGCTTTAGAAGGCATTACCAAACCACGGGCAAAGTTACTTTAGTGTCTTAGCCTTACTAGGTTTGAAAAGCCAGAGAAAAGACTCAAGACCACCATATAAGAGCAAAACAAAAGGACAGGGAGAGAATGTGAAGATATTGAAATATTGTACATAAAGCTGTATAAAACATCCTTTAAAGAAAATGTAAAGTTTAGGATATACATCAAAATCAGCAGAGCCAATAAATAAATAAATAGGCATTGAAAAATAACAAGAGAAAATTTAAGTGGATTTCTAAAATATATTGACACTTATGATTTTTAAAATATGTTGAAGAAATCCCGTATTTCACAGGGCAGCCTTTCACAACACACATACGTTAGGACATAAAGGTCCTTCTGTTTTTAATTTACTAGTGTTTATAGGGTTACAAATGTCTTCTACCCTTGTCTTTTGTCTGATGGTGCAAAAAATTTTCATAAGCATGTATTTCTGAATGCCTGATAGATTGACGTATATAATAAGCTGTTAGTATTAAAATATGTGATGGAAAATGCATCCAATCTTCTCACTGTTTACATAAATTCTAGGTTTGTCCTATTTACCTGAAGCACGTATGGAGCGAATTCTTACCTTTTAAAATTGCCATGGCATTCACATTGAACATAAGTTGAACTCTCTCATATGGTAGCTGGGTTCACATTCCCTTGACAATTTCCAGTTCTAACCCTCACTGTTCCTCAGTGAGGCTGGCCCAGATATTGACCCTACACAGTTGCCCCCTCCTGGTGACTACCAGCTATGGAACCGTTGGATACAACCTACCTGACTCACCCCACAGAGCTCACAGCGCACATGGACAGACCCCACACGCCAGAGTGACCTGCTCGGTTGCAGCAGGAGTCAAGAAATGTGCCTGCTGGCACTCACCCCACTGACTAGTGCCCCGTGGAAAACTTATTTGGGTAATGTTCTGGGCCCAATAAAGGCTGGAGTCCCACAGACCCCTTTTCTCTCTCCTGCTCCCCACTCATCTTCCCCATTTTGTTCAGCCCTATGAGGTGTGCTACTGTATTAGTCCATTTCCACACCGCTGGTGAAGACATGCCCAAGACTGGGTAATTTCCAGAAGAAAGAGGTTTAATAGACGCACAGTTCCACATGGCTGGGTAGGCCTCACAATCATGGCACAAGGTGAAAGGCATGTCTCACATGGCAGCAGACAAGACAAGAGAGCTTGTGCAGGGAAACTCCCCTTTATAAAACCATCAGATCTTGTGAGACTTATTCACTATCAGAAGAACAGCATGGGAAAGACCTGCCCCCATGATTCAATTACCTCCCACCTGTTCCCTCCCACAACATGTGGGAATTCAAGATGAGATTTGGCTGGGGACACAGCTAAACCCTCTTCTCAGCTACTCTCTTTTCTCTGGATCTGTGAGTAATAAACCTACTTCTGTGATTTCCCATGTTTGGTTCTGTGGCCTCCATGGGTTTGAGCTGACCTATACTGGAACCTAACTGTCCTCCTGGCCAAGGTCTGTTAGAGTGGCTCTTGTCAGAAATACACAAAACACAGGTCAGGCAACAGTCACCAGGCATCTCCTAGTCTCAACAGTTCTGTGAGAGGGAGGCCTGGTCGTGGGATGCACACCTGGCCACTGCTGGGGTAAGGAAGTGTCCTGTGAAAGGCACATGTTAAGCATCCACAACCCCCTTACCAGAACCCCAGAAAGGAAGGGCTCCAATTGACAGTCACTCTCCAGAGACAAACCTCAAGCCCTAACTGGAGGAAAAGAAAAAAATGTAAAAAGTTGAATTTATCTTACTATTTCAATGATCCGGTAAAGACATTCTATGCCTGTACACCACATATTTTCTTCAATGGTGGATTTATTTTAGATAGAATTTTATGTCTGGCTTTCACTTTAGCCTGGTCCGTACCTCAAGCATAAGGTAAAGATTTTCCATGGGTTCTTTTCTGGTACTACTACCTGCCAGTGTGGGGTCATGTCCTAGTCTATCTTGAGGGAACCCCCCTGTTCATTATTTTCAGAGTGAGACTGTTAAGTTTTGATTTCCCTGGACAACTTCACTGCATGACTTTTAATATGATTTTTAAATATACCCTTTACTGGACAATAAATTATATAGCTATCTGAGTAAGAGATATGGTCAAGAAGAGGCATTGCCTTATTTCGCTTTTCTCTTTGGTGAACTCGCATATGTTCTCCTCACCTGACAGTCACCTCTAAACCGTATTGTTCCAAGACAACAAACAGAACTCGAGTGTGTATCTTTCACCACTGGATTTGTGTTTGCTCCGTAAAGCTTCATGCTTAATAGGGTTTCTGTTAGCATTTTCTCTATTTTTTTTTCCCATAAAGTATCACAGGCCTTCTTCATAGGGAATTATGGGTGATTTCCTTCAATCTGCATCATATCAAGTTGAGGTTCATGTTGATGGAAAGTAAAACATACATTGAAGATATCAGTAATGATGTTTTCCCCTCCTTTTTAGCACCTGTGCTTGTGATACAAGCACATTTTAATACAATTGTAGTCTCATGATTTGATTATTCCTATGAGGAAAATAACATTTTTAGATAAAATATCTGAGTTTTATGAGGCCTTTAGTATGTGATGTGATAGAATATCAGAAGACCATACTTTTTTCTAGTTTTCCTTGCAATTCTATCATTGTTTCATCTTTACTCCTACCAGAGTAATTTTCCAAAATAGATATCTTGTCATTCTTCCTGTTGTTATCAGTAAATAAGTGAAATGAAAGCTAGATTATATAATTTATGTAGAACAAGAAAGTAGAATTGAATCTATATTCATTAATGAGATTGACCAGTCAATTACACAGATAGGCATTTTACATTTTGAAGATCATATGGACCCATTGTCAGAAATATTATTATTTATGTCTATATGGACATCAAGTGTGCATATTTACATAGAAATCAATGAGAGCTGATTTTTATTTCTATTATATATATTTCTTGAGTTAGGGTCTTGCTTTTTTGCCCAGGCTGGAATGTAGTGGTGCAATAACTGCTCACTGCAACCTCAGCCTCTCAAGTTCAAGCCATCCTTCCACCTTGGCCTCCCAAATAGCTAGGACAACAAGTGCACATCACCATGCCCACATTTTTTTTTTTAACTTTTGATAGAGACTGGGTCTTGCTATGTTGCCCAGGTTGGTTTTGAACTCCTGGGCTCAAGGAACCCTCTCATTTGAGCCTCTTCAACTGCTGGTATTACAAGCATGAACCACCATATGGGCTGGAAGCTGATTTTTAAAATACTGAGATCATATAGATGACAGCACCTGAAAAATAGACAACACCAAGCTTTATGTTGAGAGGTGTGAGAGTATCAATATTGTTGTGGGTATTTGGGAGGAAATCATTAGTAAAACCAGTAAGATAAAGCTCTTGCTTTAAACTTTGGCTTTAGTGTAACAAATGTTCTATGGAGTGAGAGTATGTATGTAACCATGCTATGCCCATTCACAGATGCAGTAGAGGGAAGAATTTCTCAAAGACAACTGTTCTAAGACTCAAATTAAACCGTACTGGGTTTGAAAAAAGGAAGTCCAGGAATTACCAAATATTTTAGATATCAGATAAAAGAGAATGCCAGGTATGCGATGATAATCAGCAATGGTTGTTCACACAATACATCAGCTCATTATTTGAATTAGCTTTTGAATTACAAGGACAAATGGATCAAGTCTAGATTCTTTAGTAGATAAATCTTATTAGGCTGAGATGTGTTTTCCCCTGGTTTTCCACAAGGAGATTACAAATTTGCAAACCTCAGCTGCTCTCATTTTATGCTCTCACCAAGCCGAAAGCTGAAGTTCAACAATCAGTGTGTCTAAGTGTCACTGATTATATACCATTTTGTAGTTTCAGCTATCTTTCCAACTTCCTAAATCATCACCTTCATTTGATCTTGTTTTTTTCCACTATCAATCACTTCTTTATTGACCATATAAAGAATATAAGTAAGTTCTTGTTTTGTTATTGTTCATTTTAGTCTAATTTCATCAAAATATCACAATCTTTTAACTTCATTTTAATTTCAAAGATTAAATGAAATCTACATAGATATGCGTGTAAGATTTGCATTTGCATTTTTTGGCATCAATTTGCTATCCTCCCTCATGCACATAGAGATCATTTCCATGTACGTGATTGCAAACATCCAAGTGCAGTATTCAAAGCAGTTCTAAATTATGGTTCTCATTTTCATGATACAATTACAATATAAACTTCCTCTTGCTGCTGTAACCAATTACCACAAACTTCATATCTTATAATAAAGTGACCGTTAATCCTACAGTTCTGTAGTTCAGAAGCCTTAAATGAAACTCACTGGGCTAACATCAAGTTTTGGACAGGGCTGCATTCTTTCTGTGGGCTATGTGGCAGAATTTATTACTTGATTTTTTTCAGCATCCGGAGGCCACCTTTATTCCTTGGAACATGACCTCATTCTTATATCCTATTTTTCTTTTTTATTTTTTTTTGAGATGGAGTCTCCTTCTGTCACCCAGGCTGGAGTGCAGTGGCATGATCTCAGCTCACTGCAACCTCTGCCTCCCGGGTTCAAGTGATTCTTCTGCCTCAGCTTCCTGAGTATCTTGGACTACAGGCACTTGCCAACATGCCCAGTTAATTTTTTGTATTTTTAGTAGGGATGGGGTTTCACCATGTTAACCAGGATGGTCTCGATCTCCTGACCTCGTGATAAACCCATCCCAGCCTCCCAAAGTGCTGGGATTAGGCATGAGCCACCATGCTGGGTCCTCATTCTTGTATGTTAAAAGTCAGTGATGTTGAGTAATTTCTCATGCCACCACCTCCAAGGTTGCCTTTCTTCTGCCTTCTTCTTTCACTTATAAGGAATTTTGTCATTTCATTGATCCCACCCATTTAAGACAATCTCTCTATCATTTTTCCGCAACCTTAATTTCACTTGAAATCTAATTTCACACTGCCGTGCAACCTAACATATTTGTATGTTAGACTCTGGGAATTAGGACATGAAATTTTTTGGGAGGCCATTCTTTTGCCTACAGCAGACATAATCTGTTTACCTGCAGATTAAAGCATTCTTTATTTTTCTGTCTCCCTCTCTTAATTTTTTAAAATATTATGAATTGTAGTAAAGAGAAAGAAAGAAAAGAAAACAAAGAAAGAAAAAGAAGGAAGGAAAGAAGGAAGGAAGGAAACAAAGAAAGAAAGAAGAAAGAAATGAAGGAGGAAATGAGGGAAGGAAGGGAGGGAGGGAAGGGAGAAAGGCAGGAAGGGAGAAAAAAGAAAGAATGAACACAAGAAAGAAAGAAAGAAAGAAAGAGAAAGACAGAGAGAAAGAAAGAAAGAAAGGAGGAAGGGAGGAAGGAAAGGAGGAAGAGAGAATGGTAAAAGGGAGGAAGGAAAAGAGACAAAGAAAATAAAGAGGCAAAGGAAGGAAGGAAAAAGAGGAAAGGAAGGGAGGGAGGAAAGAAGAAAAGGAGGGCGGGAGGAAGGGAGAAAAAAGGAAAGAAAGGACGAACGTGAGAAAGAAAGAAAGAATATGAGAAAAGAAGGAAGAAAAGGGAGGGAGAAATGAAGAGAGGGAGGAGGGAAGGAAGAATAAGAGGAAAGAAAGAAAAGGAAAGAAGGAAGGAAGGAGAAAAAAGAAAGAAAAGAAAGAAAGGAAAACAAAAAAGAAAAGAAAAGGAAGAGGAAAAGAAGAAAGGAAGGAAGAAGGTAAGGGAAGGGAAGAGAAGAGAAAGGAAGATGGAAAGAAAGAAGGAAAAACGCAAATATTAGAAATTCTGGGTTTGTTAAAGAATATGCCATACTGTTTTTTTTTTTTTTCACTTGAAAGGAAAGAGTATCTGCCAATGAAGATTGGATGTCTTGTTGGTGATATTGTTGTTCTTATCTTCCACATGATTACTGAGTTTGTGCCTAGTGTTTCCATTACTAAGACAAAAGTGTTGAAGTCTGCAAATATAATTTTGGATTTTTGTAGTTCACCTTTGATTTCTTTCCGTTTTGCCTCATGTACTTGGAGGTTCTGTTGTTAGCTGCATACCCTAATTAGTAGGATGTTTACATCTTCTTGAGAATTGATTATTCTATTATCTATTATCTCTCATCTCTGATACTATTTCTTGTTCCAAACTCTGTTGTGTCTAATATCAGTGTAGTCCTTCCAAAGCCTTATTTTAGTGTTTCCATGATATGGCTTTCTCCATATCGTGATGATAACCTATTTATATCTCTATATATTTGGAGCAAGATATAAAATTTAGACTTGATATTTTAAAGATTTTTCAAGATGTAATTCTTATTTCTTTTTGTTCTATTTGACATTCTCTGAGTTTCCTATATCTGAAGTTGGATTTTCCATCACTTATTTTAGAATATTTTTGGCAGTTATTTTGAAAAATATTTCTTTTGCTCCATTATTTTTCCCTCTTTTCTTTTTGGGATTTCAATCATAACTAGAGTAGGTAATTTGATCTCAGTCTTATGCAGGTAATTTTTCTCAGGGTCTCAGGAATGTAGCCTTCTCACACTTCTGTTATTTTCCTGGCTGTGTTGGTGAGCTCAGTGATAGTCCTCCTTCACCTTCAAGAGCAGTTTTTTCTTGTTTTTCCTGTTTTCATACTCCCAGCATCAGGAGTATTCTAAGTGTGGCCGTTTTTGTTGTCTTCCCCTACATATTAAGCGGAATATCTTGGTCTATTTGGACTCTTATAACAAAAGAACATAAACTGGGTGACTAAAAAACAACAGATATTTCTTTTTTCACACTTCTTGAGGCTGTAAGTTCTCAGGCCAAGATGCTTACAAATTCAGTGTTGATGAGAGCCCATTTCATGGTTCATAGATGGTGCCTTCTTTCTATGTCGTCACATAGTGGGAGGCACACAAGAACTCCGTTGAGCTTCTTTTAAAAAGGCACTAATCCCATTCATAAGGGCTCGGCCCCCAAGACCTCGTCACCTCCCAAGTGTTCTGCTCTCCCTGATCTGTGTCATATACAGACTCTCTTGGATTCCTTACCAATTGCTTGAGAGATCACAGTGGGTTTGTGGGGAAAAAGTTTTCAAGATGATGGATCTTTCCCAACTTCTGCAGCTGTCAGCCATCTCCCAATCTCACCAGCCCCACTTTGTCTTTAGGAATTTATTGATTATTGTAGCTTTACTTGTCATAGTGGTGTCTATTTGCATCTTTCCTATGTAAGTGCATCTGTCCTTTTTCTCCTTGCAGGTGCAAGTACTCAGGAGTACACTGTTGTTACTAATTACTCAGTATTGGTTGGTACATTGTCAAAGATCAAAAAACATTTTTAAAGATAAAAAAGTTCTTGGAGGTTGTGTAATGAAGGGTTAATTCTGCAGACATGGCTTTCCAAAACCTTGCGCATTCCAAAGGTCTTCAGGACTGTCCCTTGAGAATCTCCTGGGAGATGATAACCTATGAGCCCTTGGTATATGCTGCCTGATGAGAATCTTTGTATACCTGAAAACGTAGGTCATATCAAATAACTGATGCTAACAACGTGATTTCTTGTGAGCACCTTTTTCTGTATGCCTATGACTTTGTGTAATGCCATATTAATATGACCTCTCTTAGGGCATAGGGAGGTTGGGAACTAAATAGCTAAGTTCAGTCACGGGACGCTCGATGCATATGTGGTGGAATCCTAATAAAAACCCTGGACTCAAGACTGACTGAGCTTCCCTAGTTGGCAAGAAGTTCACACATGTTGTCTCACACCATTGTAAAGAAAATTAGTCAGTGTGAAGTCCCCACTATGAAACGACACCTGTAAGCTCATATCTGGTTTGTCCTGGACTCAACTTTATGTGCTTTTATGCTTCTGATTGTTTTAATCTGGTTTATTTCACTGTTAGAAACTATAAGCACAGAAAAAATCAGCTTTCTTGAGTTATGTGAATCATTAAACCAAAGGGGGACTTGGGGACCCCCAACAGAAAGTATATATGTTCTTAAAAAGAAAAAGAATACTGGCTATAGCAGATATTGCTGATGACTTGTCTTGTATGTCCTGGACTCAATGTGTTCACGTGGAATTCACCTGTTTCCAGCTAACTGAGAGTTCCCTACATCATGCCTCTCTTTCTGATTTTTGGGCCTGCCTGCAAGCTTCTTGAGGCTAACCAGTGCTTCTCAACCACACATAGGAACAAAGAAGGAGTTAGGGGTGGGGAGTTAATTATTCTAAGGCAATCCTTAAGCAATAAGAGATGGGGATTCCAGCATCCCCATCTCTTTGTAAAGTTACTTTGACACAATCTCCATACCTCCATCATTATTGAGCACATAGCAGTAATTATTCATTCACACTGGCTTCGTGTTCTGTTTCATTTTCTCCACTTCTGTGCTTTCTCACTCAATTTCTGATTAAAGTATCTGACCCCATATATTTGTTTCATAGTCTATGTTTGAGGGAATCCAGAGCCAAGACAATAACAATGGGAGCTTTGCAATGAGGGAGGGTGAGTATAATCATCAGAAGTTTACCTACCTCACTGGGAACATGAAGGCCTGGAGAGCTTGCTGTTTCAATGAGAGAAACATGTTGAATCTCAGTTGAATACATATATATATATACGTGTGTATATATATATATGTATATATATACACGTGTATATATATATATACACATATATATACACGTGTATATATATGTGTATATATATATACACGTGTATATATACACGTGTGTATATATATATATATATATATGTGCAATAAGACGTGCCCTTTACTTATATCAAAGGAAAGTGCTCTTTACCTCTCTTTGTTGTTGTGTTTTTATCACTATTGCCTAAACAAGCAGAATATCATACCCAGGATTTAAAGCCCTCGCTGCAAGATTTTCAAGCTCATGTTTTTATCATAAGTCACTCTGCTTCCATGGGTTTTAAATCTAATCCTCATTCCTCTGCTTTTACACCAGAGAATTCATCACTGACTTATTTTCGACTCACCTCCTTATAGAGCTGTCAAGTACACAATTTCTGCTGTGACCTTTCTCTTAGAGTTCCGTCATATAGCCTCTCACTAGATATCATTTCCTCTTATCTTTCCTAATAATGAATTGTCAGTTAAAACTCAATATTTTTAAGATTGAACTTACTGTCTGCACACACACCCACACACACCATTATTGGTGTATTCTCATAGCCTTGAAACACTAATGTCACGTTGATGTCTGCCTTTTCTTTCTCTGCTACCTCATTCCTCATCCTTAGATTATTCTAAAAGATTCAGTTAGATCAAGTTGGCTAATTATATTTATAAGATCCTCTCTATCCTTACCAACTTTTCGTTTAACAAAATTTAAAAATTTCTGGCAGGAGACTGCTGAAATCCCCAGGGATGACTGTGGTTTTACTATTTTACCTTTCAGTTTTAATAGGTTTAATATTATGTATTTTGAAGTAATGCTATTGTGTGCATACATATTTCTTATTTACATGACTTCTTGGTGTATTATCCCCTTTGTCATTTGAAATGTTATTCTTCATCCCCAGTGATATTTCCTGTTCTGATGTCTACTTTGCTCATCACAGTTTTAGGGGGTTTTGGTTTGTTTGTTTTTCTATTTTTTGGTTCAACTAAGTTTCTTATAAATCTGTTCGATTCCATTTGATGATTCCATTTGATTCCATTCGAGGATTCCACTCGATTCCATTCAATGATGATTGCATTCGAGTCCATTCAATGATTCCATTCGAGTCCATTTGATGATTCCATTCGATTCCATTCAATGATGATTCCATTAGAGTCCATTCGATGATTCAATTTGATTCCATTCGATTCCATTCGATGATGATTCCATCAGAGTCCATTCGAGGATTCCATTTGATTCCATACGATGATGTTTCCATTCGAGTCCACTCGATGATTCCATCTGATTCCATTCAATGATGACACAATTCGAGTCCCTTCATTGATTCCATTGGATTCCATTCTATGATGACTGCATTCAGTTCCATTCAATGATGATTCCAACATATTCCATTCGATTTCTCCATTCGATTCCATTCCTTGCTGATTCCATTAAATTCCATTAGATGATGACTCCACTTGATTCCATTCCATGATGATTTCATTAGATTCCATTCGATGATGATCCAATTCGATTCTATTGAATGATAATTCTATTCGATTCCATTGAAAGATTCCATTCGATGGTGATTCCATTAGTGTCCAATCGATGATTCCATTCGATTCCGTTCGATGATGATTCCATTTGAGTCCATTCGATGATTCCATTTGATTCCATGCGACGATGATTCCATTAAGTCCATTCAATGATTCCTTTTGATTCCATTAGATGATGACTGCATTCGGTTCCATTAGATGATAATTCTAACGGACTCCATTCGATCACTCCATTCGATTCCATTCATTGATGGTTCCATTCGATTACATTTGATGGTGATTCCATTTGATTCCATTTGATGATGATTCCATTCGATGCCAGTCGATGATGATTCCATTGTATTCCATTCGATGATTCCATTTGATTGCATTCGATGATGATTCCTTTCGGGTCCATTCGATGATTCCATCTGTTTCAGTCGATGGTGATTCCATTAGGTTATTCCATTCAACTCCATTTGATGTTTTCTTTCAATTCCACTCAATGTTGATTCCATTTGAGTCCATTCAATGATTCCATTCGAGTGCATTCCATGATTTCATTCGATTCCATTCGATGATGATTCCATTCCATTCGATTAGAAGATTGCATTTGATTTCATTCGATGATGATTACATTAGATTCCATTTGATGATTCCATTCGAGTCCATTCAATGATTCCATTCGAGTCATTTAAATCATTCCATTTTATTCCATTCGATGATGACACCTTTTGAGTCTATTCAATGATGATTCCATTTGATTCCATTCGATGATTCCATTGGATACCATTCTTTGTTTTATTTTGATTAGTTTTGATGATGATTCCATTCAGTTTCATTCGATGATCCCATTTGATTCTAATCGGTCATGTTTCCATTCGATTCCATTTGAAGAAAATTCCATTCGATTGCATTGATGATGATTCCATTCGACTCTATTATATGCCAATTCTATTCAATTCCATGAGATGATGATACCATTCGATTCCATTTGATGATTAAATTAGATTCCATTCGATGATGATTCCATTCAAGACCATTCGAGGACTCCATTCAATTCCATTCAATAACGATTCCATTCGAGTCCATTTGATGATTCCATTCAAGTCCATTCAGTGATTCCATCTGATTCCATTCAATGAATCCAGTCAATTCCATTGTATGATGATTCCATTCATTTCGGTCCGATGTTGATTCCATTCGATTCCATCCAATGATTCCATTCGATACCATTTGATGATTCCAATCAATTCCATTCAATGATTCCATTCGAATCATTGAATGAGTCCATCCATTTCAATTTCATGATAATTCCATTCGTTTCAATTCAATGGTGTTTCCATTCGATTCTATTCGATGTTGATTCCATTAGTTTCCATTGGATGATGATTCCATTCAAGTCCATTCGATGATGATCACATTTGATTTCATTCCATAATTCTATTCGATTCCATTCAATGATGATTCCATCTGATTCCATTTGATGATTCCATTCGAATCCATTCGATGATGATTCGATTTGTTTCCATCCGATGATGATTCCATTCGATTCCATTCGATGATGATTGCATTCGTTTCCATCCGATGATGATTCCATTCAATTCCATTCGATGATTATTCCATTCGGGTCCAATCGATGATTCCATTCGATTCCATTCCATGATGATTGCATTCGTGTCCATGGATTATTCCATTCCATTCCATTCGATGATTCCATTCGAGTCCATTCAAAGATTCTCTTCGATTCCATTTGATAATTCCGTTTGATTCCGTTTGATGTTCATTCCATTGGAGTCCATTCGATGATAATTCCATTCGATTCTATGTGATTATTCCATTCGATACCATTTGAAGATGATTCCATTCGAGTCCATTCGAAGATTCTCTTCGATTCCATTCAATAATTCCATTTGATTCTGTTTGATGTTGATTCCATTGGAGTCCATTCGATGATAATTCCATTCTATTCTATGCGATTATTCCATTCGTTTCCATTTGAAGATGATTCCATTCGAGACCTTTCGATGATTCCATTCAATTCATTCGATGATGATTCCATTCAATTCCATTTGATGATTCCATTAGATTCCATTTAATGATGATTCCATTCGATTCCATTAGATGATGATTCCATGCAATTCCATTCGATGATGACACCTTTCGTTTCCATTCGATGATGATTCCATTCGGTTCCATTTGATGATAATTCCTTTAGATTCCATTTGATGACGATTCCATTCAACTCCAATTGATGATGATTCTTTTCGATTCCATTCAATGATGATTCCATTTGATTCCATTTGATCATGATTCCATTCAATTCCATTCGAAGATGATTCCATTCAATTCCATTCGATGATGATTCCGTATGAATCCATTCGCTGATTATTCCATTCGATTCCATTCATTGATGATTCCATTCGATTCCATTCAATGATGATTCTCTTCTATTCCATTCGATGATTCCGGTCGATTCCATTCGATGATGATTCTATTAGATTCCATTCGATTGTTGCATTCGATTCCCTTCGATGATGATTCCTTTGAATTCCGTTCGATTATGATTCCGTATGAATCCATTTGATGATTATTCCATTTTATTCCTCTCTATGATTCCATTCAATTCCATTCAATGATGATTCCAATCGAGTTTATTGATTATTCCATTCCATTCCATTCAATGATTCCATTCGAGTCCATTTGATGATTCTATTCAATTCCATTTGATAATTCCATTCAATTCCATTTGATGATAATTCCATTTGAATCCATTTGATGATTATTCCATTCGATTCTATTTGGTGATTCCATTCAATTCCATTTGATAATGATCCATTCGAGACCATTTGATGATTCCATTCAATTCATTTGATGATGATTCCATTCAATTCCATTCAACGATTCCATTCAAATCCGTTTGATGATGATTCCATTCGATTCCATTCGATGATGATTCCATGCGATTCTATTCGATGATGACTCCGTTCGGTTCCATTTGATGATGAATCCATTCGATTCCTTTCAATGATGTTATCATTCAGTTACATTCGATGATGATTCCGTTGGATTCCATTCCATGATGATTCCATTGTATTCCATTCGATGATGATTCCATTTGATTCCATTCGATGATTCCATTCGATTCCACTTGATGATGATTCCATTCGATTCCATTCAATGATTCCTTTTGATTCCTTTCGATGTTTATTCCATTCGAGTCCATTCGGTGATTCCTTTTGATTCCTATTGAAGATGATTCCATTCAATTCCATTCAATGATACCATTCGATACCATTCGTTGCTGATTCCATTTAAGTGCATTCCATGATACCATTCGATCCCATTCAGTAATGAATCCATTTGATTTCACTCGATGATTCCATTCAATTCCATTCTATGATGATTCCATTCGAGTCCATTTGATGATTCCATTTGACTCCATTTGATGATGATTCCATTCAATGATTCCATTCAATTCTATTCGATGATGATTCCATTCGATATCATTCGATGCTGATTCCATTCAATTCCATTCGATTATTCCATTTGATTCCATTCACTGATTCCATTCGATTACATTTGAGGATGATTCCTTTCGATTCCATTCGATGATTCCATTCAATTCTATTCGATGATGATTCCATTCGATTCCATTCGATGATGACTTCATTCGATTCCATTTGATCATTACATTTGATTCCATTCGATAATGATTGTGATCGATTACGTTAGATGATTCCATTCGAATCCATTCGATTATTCCATTTGATTCCATTTGATAATGATTCCATTCGAGTCCATTCAATGTTTCCATTCGAGCACATTTGATAATTCCATTTGAGTCCAATCCATGATTCCATTCGAGTCCATTCGATCATTCCATTTGAGTTCATTCGATGATGATTCAATTCGAGTCCATTTGATAATTCTTTTTGAGTCCATTCGATGATGATTCCATTCAAGTCCATTCGATGATTGTATTCGATTCCATTCAATGATGATTCCATTCGAGTCCATTCGATGATTCCATTTCATTTCATTCGATGATGATTCCATTCAATTCCATTGAATGATTCCATTCGATTCCATTTGATGATGATTCCGTTCAATTCCATTCGATCATGATTCCTTTCGATTCCATTCGATGATGCTTCCATTTGATTTCGTTAGATGATTCTATTTGATTCCATTCGATGATGATTCCATTCTATTCCATTAGATGACTCCATTCCATTCCATTCTATGATGATTCTATTCGACTCCATTTGATGATGATTCCATTTGATTCCATTTGATAACGATTCCATTCATGTCCATTCGATGATTCCACTTAATTCTATTGAATGATGATTCCAAATGAGTCCGTTAGATGAATCCATTTGATTCCATTGGATGATGATTCCTTTTGATGCCATTTGATGATTCCCATCAATTTCATTTGATAATGATTCCATTCGATTCCATTCGATGATTCCATTCAATGATGATACCATTCGATGCCGTTTGATGGTTCCATTCGATTCTGTTAGATGATTCCTTTCAATTTCATTCAATGATGATTCCATTCGAGTCCATTCAATGCTTACATTCGATTACATTCGATTCCATTCAATGATGATGGCATTCGAGTCCATTCAATGATTCCATTCGATTTCATTCGATGATGATTCCATTCGATTCCATTCAATGGTCATTCAATTCAAGTCCATTCCTTGATTCCATTCGAGTCCATTTGATGATGATTCCATTCGAGTCCATTTGATGATTCTATTTGATTCCATTCTCCGATGATTACATTCGAGTCCATTTGTTGATTCCACTCGATTCCATACGATGATGATTCCATTCGATTCCATTTGATGTTTCCATTCTATTCCATTCAATGATGATTCCATTCGAGTACATTAGATGATTCCATTTGATTCCATTCAATGATGATTCTATTCGTGCCCATTAGATGATTCCACACGATTCCATTTGATGATGATACTCTTCGAGTCCATTCGATGATTCCTTTCGATTCCATTCAATGATTATTCCATTCTATTCCATTCATTGGTGATTCCATACATTTCCATTCATTGATTCAATTCCATTCCATTTGACAGTGATTCCATTCGATTCCATTCGATGATTCCACTCGATTCCACTTGATGATGATTCCATTTGATTCCATTCTATGATTCCATTTGATTCCATTCTATCATGATTGCCTTCGATTCCATTCTATGATTCCATTCGTTTCCATTCGATGATGATTCATTTTGATTCTATTTGATGATTCCATCTGATTCTATTCGAGGATTCCAATCAATTCCATTGGATGATAATTCCATTCGAATCCATTCGATGACTTCATTCAAGTCCATGCAATGATTACATTCGAGTCCATTTGATGATTCCATATGATTCCATTTTATGAATCCATTAAAATCCATTTGATGACTCCATTCAAGTCTATTCGATAATTCCATTCGAGTCCAGTCGATTATTCCATTCGATTCCATTTGATGATTCCATTCGAGTCCATTTGATCATTACATTCGAATCCATTCAGTGAATCCATTGGATTTCTTTTGATGATGAACCAATTCGATTCCATTTCATGATGATCCTATTCGACTCCATTCGATGATGATTCCATTTGAGTCCATTCGATGATTTCATTGAATTCCATTCAATGATGATTCCGTTCGAGTCCATTCGATCATTCCATTCGAGTCCCTTTGTTGATTCCATCCAATTTCATTTGATGATGATTCCATTAGAGTCCATTCAATTATTCCATGCGATTACATTTGATGATTACATTGGAGTCCATCCGATTATTCCATTAGAGTCCAATCGATGATTCCATTCGATTCCTTTTGATAATTCCATTTGAGTCCATTCGATGATCATTCCCTTTGATTCCATTCAATGTTTCCGTTCGATTCTATTCAATGATTCCCTTTGATTCCTTTCCATGATGATTCCATTCCCTTCCATTCGATGATTCCATTTGATTCTATTCCATGATGATTCCTTTCGATTCCATTCGCTGATGATTCCATTTGATTCCATTTGATGACGACTGCATTCGGTTCCATTCGATGATGATTCCAAAGGATTCTACTCGATTTCTCCATTTGATTCCATTCGTTGATGATTCCATTCGGTTCCATTACATGATGATTCCATTAGGTTCCATTCAATGATGATTTCATTTGATTCCATTCGAAGATGAATCCATGCGATTCCATTCAATGATGATTCCATTCGATTCCATTCGATGATTCCATTTGGTTCCAATTGATGATTATTCCATTCGAGTAAATTCAATGATTCCATTCAATTTCATTCAATGATGATTCCATTTGATTCCATTCAATGATTCCATTCAAGTCCATTTGATGATTCCCTTCAATTCCATTCGATGATGATTCCATTCGAGTCCATTCCATGATTCCATTTGATTCCATTTGATGATGATTCCATTCAAGTACATTCGATGATTCAATTCAATTGCATTTGATGATTCCATTCTATTCCATTCGATGATGTCTCCATTTAAGCCCATTTGATGATTCCATTCGAGTCCATTTCATGATTCTGTTGGGTTCAATTCAAAGATGACTACATTGGATTCCATTCTATGATTCCATTCGATTCCATTCGTTGATGATTCTGTTTGATTCCATTCGATGATTCCATCCGCGTCCATTCGATGATTCCATTTGGGTCCATTCGATGATACCATCCTATTCCATTTGATGATGATTCCATTCGAGTCCATTCAATGATTCCATTCGATTCCATTCGTTTCCATTTGATAGTGATTCCATTCGAGTCCATTCGATGATTCCATTCTATTCCATTCCTTCATGATTCCATTTGATTCCATTCGATGATGATTCCATCTGATTCCCTTCATTCGTGTTTCCATTGGATTCCTTTCGATGATGATTTCATTCGACTCCATTCGATGATGATTCCATTTGATTTCATTCGATGATTCTGTTCGTTTCCATTCGATGATGACTCCATTCTAATCCAATCGATGTTTCCATTCGATGTCATTCGATGATGACTCCATTTTATTCCATTTGATGATTCCATTGGATTCCATTCGATGATGATTTCATTCGATTCCATTCAATGATGATTCCATTGGTGTCAATTCGATAATTACATTTGATTTTATTTGATTATGATTCCATTTGCGTCAATTTGATGATTCCATTCGATTCCATTCCATGATGATTCCATTGAAGCCCAGTCGATGACTGCATTCGAGTTCATTTGATGATTCCATTCGATTCCATTTGATTATGATTCCATTCAATTCCATTCAATGATGACTCTGTTCGGTTCCATTTGATGATGAATCCATTCGATTCCTTTCAATGATGATTTCATTCAGTTACATTCGATGATGATTCCATTGGATTCCATTCGATGATGATTCCATTGTAGTCCATTCGATGATGATTCCATTTGATTTCTTTTGATGATTCCATTTGAGTCCATTCGATGATGATTCCATTCTATTCCCTTCAATGATTCCATTCAATTCCATTCGACGATGATTCTATTCGATGCCATTTGATGATGATTCCATTCTATTCCATTCAGTGATGATTCCATTTGTGTCCATTCGATATTTCCATTCGATTCCAATTGATGATTATTCCATTCGAGTCCGTTAGATGATTCCATTTGATTCCATTCGATGATGATTCCATTCGGTGCCATTCGATTATTCCATTTGATTTCATTCAATGATGATTCCATTGATTTCTTTTTGATTATTCCTTTCCATTCCATTTGATGATTATTCCATTCGAGTCCATTCGATGATTCCATTCGATTCCATTCGATGGTGACTCCATTCGTGTCCATTCGAAGATTCAATGCAATTTTATTTTATGATGGTTACATTCGATACTATTCAATGATTCCATTCGATTCCATCTGATGATGATTCCATTCGAGTCCATTCCATGATTCCATTCAATTCTATTCGATGATTATTCCATTCTAGTCCATTAGATGATTCCATTCGAGTCCATTCGATGATTCCATACGATTCAATTCAATGATGATTCCATTCGAGTCCATTTGATGCTTCCATTCGAGTACATTTGGTGATTCCTTTCAAGTCCAATTTTTCATTCCATTCAATTCCAATTGATGATGATTCCATATGATTCCATTCGATGATGATTCCATGTGATTCCATTCAATGATGATTGCATTCTAGTCCATTCAATGATTTCATTCAATTCCATTCGATGATGATTCCATTCAATTCCATTAATTGGTGATTCCATTCATTTCCATTCATTGATTCCATTCCATTCCAATCGACAATGATTCCACTAGATTCCATTAGATCATTCCACTCGATTAAACCTGACGATGACTCTATTCAATTCTATTCGATGATTCAATTTGATTCTATTCGATGATGATTCCATTCAATTCCATTCTATGTTGATTGTGTTCAATTCCATTCAATGATTCCATTCGAGTCCATTTGATGATTCTGTTCAATTCCATTCCATGATGATTCCATTAGAGTCCATTCTATGATTCCGTTCGATTCCATTTGATTCCATTCAATGATGATTGCATTCGTTTCCATTCGATGATTCCATTCGATTCCATTCGATGTTGTTTCCATTTGAGTACATTCGATGATTCCATTCGAGTCCATTCGATGATTCCATACGATTCAATTCAATGATGATTCCATTCGAGTCCCTTCATTGACTCCATTCGTTTCCATTCTCTGATGACTGCATTCGGTTTCATTCAATGATGATTCCAACGGATTACATTCGATTTCTCCATTCGATTCCATTCCTTGCTGATTCCATTCGATTCCTTTAGATGATGACTCCACTAGATTCCATTCGATGATGACTTCATTAGATTCCATTCGATAAGGATTCCATTCCATTCTATTCAATGATGATTCTATTCAATTCCATCTGATGGTGATTGCATTCGTTTCCATTTCATGATTCCATTCGATTCCATTCAATGATGATTCCATTCGAGTCCATTCAATGATTCCACTCAAGTCCATTTGATGTTTCCTTTTGATTGCATTTGATGATGATTCCATTTGAGATCATTCGATGATTCCATTCAATTCCGTTCGATGATTATTCCATTCGAGTCCTTTCGATGATTCCATTCAATTCCATTCAATGATGATTCCATTCGATTCCATTCAATAATTCCATTCAAGTCCATTCTATAATTCCATCTGTTTCCATTCGATGATGATTCCATTCGAGCCCATTCGATGATTCCATTCGATTCCATTCCATGATGATTCCATTGAAGCACAGTCAATGATTGCATTCGTGTCCATTTGATGATTCCATTCGATTACGATTCCATTCAATTCCGTTTGATGATGACTCTGTTCGGTTCCATTTGATGATGAATCCATTCGATTCCTTTAAATGGTGATTCCATTCAATTACATTCGACGATGATTCCATTCAATTACTTTTGATGATGATTCCATTTGATTCTATTCGATGATGATTCCATTTGATTTCATTCGATGATTTTATTTGATTCCATTCGATGATGATTCCATTATCTTCTGTGCGATGATTCCATTCGATTCCATTCAATGACGATTCTATTCGATTTGATTTCTTAGTGATTCCATTCGATTCCATTCGGTGATGAATTCATTTGTGTCCATTCGATGTTTCCATTCGATTCCATTCAATGATTATTCCTTTTGTGTCCATTAGATGGTTCCATTTGATTCCATTCGATGATGATTCCATTCAGTGCCATTCAATTATTCCATTTGATCTCAATCGATGAAGATTCCATTGATTTCATTTGATTATTCCTTTCCATTCCATTAGATGATTAATCCATATGAGTCTGTTTCATGATTCCATTCGATTCCATTCAATGATGACTCCATTCGTGTCCATTCCATGATTTATTGCAATTTCATTTGATGATTATTACATTTGATTCTATTCGATGATTCCATTCGATTCCATTTGGTGATGATTCCTTTCGAGTCCATTCGATAATTCCATTCGATTCCATTTGATGATGATTCCATTAGAGTCGATTCGATGATACCATTCAATTCCATTCGGTGGTGATTCCATTTGATTCCATTCGATGATGATTCCTTTCGAGTCCATTCAGTGATTCCATTCAAGTCCATTCGTTGATTCCTTTTGATTCCATTTGATGATGATACCAATTGAGACCATTCGATGATTTCATTTGATTTCATTCTATGATGATTCCATTCAGTTCCATTCGTTGATTCCATTCTATTCCATTCATTGATGATTACATTTGAGTCCATTCGATGGTTGCATTCGACTCAATGTAATGATTCTATTGGGTTCAATTCGATGATGATTACATTGGATTCCATTCGATGATGATTACATTGGATTCCATTCAATGATTCCATTCGATTCCATTTCTTGATTATTCCATTCGAATCCTGTCAATGATGATTCCATTTGATTCCATTCTTTGATGATTCAATATGATTCCATTCGATGATGATTCGATTTGATTCCATTTGATGATGATTCCATTCGATTCCATTCGATGATGATTCCATTCGATTTCATTTGATGATTCTATTCGATTCCATTCGATGTTGATTCAATTCTAATCCATTCGAGGCTTCCATTCGATTCCATTGGATGACGATTCCATTCAATTGAATTCTATGATGATTCCCTTTGATTGCATTTGACGATTACTCCATCTGAGTGCGTTCGAAGATTACATTTGATTCCATTTGATCATGATTCCGTTCGAGTCCAATCAAAGATTAGATTCGATTCCATTTGATGATGATTCCATTCGAGTCCAATCAAAGATTAGATTCGATTCCATTCGTTGATGATTCCGTTCAAGTCCAATCAAAGATTAGATTCGATTCCATTCGATGATGATTCCATTCAAATCCATTCGATGATTCCATTCCATTCCATTTGATGATGATTCTGTTCAATTCCATTTGATGATGATTCCATTCAATTCCATTCGATGATGTTTCCATTTGATTTCATTCGATGATGATTCCATTTGAGTCCATTCAATGTTTCCATTTGAATCCTTTTGATAATTGTTTTAATTATATTCGATGATGATTCCATTCGTGTCCATTCGTTGTTTCCATTTGATTCCATTCAATCATGATTCCATTCCGGTCCACTAGATGTTTCCATTCAATGATGTTTCTATTGCAGTGCAATAGATGATTCCATTCAATTCCATTCAATGATGATTCCATTCTATTCAATTCTATGGTGATTCCATTCGGATTCATTTGATGATTCCTTTGGATACCATTCGATGATGATTCCATTCTATTCCATTCAATGATGATTCCATTCATGTCCAATAGATCATTCCATTTGATTCCATTCGATGATGATTCCATTCTATTCCATTCGATGATGATTCCACTCGTGTTAATTAGATGATTCCTCTCTATTCCATTCGATGATGATGCTATTTGATACCATTCTGTGATTACATTTGAATCCATTCGATGTTGATTCCATTTGATTTCATTTGCTGATTCTATTCGATTCCATTCGACGATAATTCCATTCGATTCCATTTGATGATTCCATTTAATTACATTTGATGATGATTCCATTCGAGTCCATTCGATGACTCCATTTGATTGTATTCGATGATTATTCCATTCGAGTCCATTCGATGATTCCTTCTGATTCTATTTGATGATGATTCCATTTGAGTCCATTCAATGGTGATAAAATTCGATTCAATTCGATGATTCCATTCAATTCCATTCAATGATGATTGCCTTCTATTCCATTCGTTGATTCCATTCGATTCCTTTGAAAGATGATTTCATTCGATTCCATTCCACAATTCCATTCGATTCCATCCGATGATTCCAATGGATTCCATTTGATGATCATTCCTTTCGAGTCCATACAATGATGCCATTCAATTCCATTCGATGATGATTCCATTCGTGTGCATTCGATGATTCCAATTGATACAATTCAATGATGATTCCATTCAAGTCCATCTGTTGACTGTTTTCTATTCCATTCTATAATGATTCAGTTCGAGTCCATTTGATGATTCAATTCGAGGCCTTTCAATGATTCCATTCAATTCCATTCGAAGCTGATTCGGTTCGAGTCCATTCGATGCTTCCCTTTTGGTAAATTTGATGATTTCATTTGAGTCCAGCTGATGATTCCATTCAATTCCATTCTATGATGATTCCGTATGATTCCATTTGATGATGATTCCATGTTATTCCATTTGATGATGATTCTTTCAGTAACGTTTGATTATGATTCATTTCGAGATCATTCGATGTTTCCAGTGGATTACATTCAATGATGATTCCATTCGAATCCATTTGATGATTCCATTCAATTCCATTCGATGATGATTCCATTCGAGTTCGTTCGAAGATTCCACTTGATTCCATTCAATGATAATTCCATTCTTGTCCAATCGATGATTCCATTCTATTCCATTAGATGATGATTCCATTCAAGTACATTCAATGATTGCATTCGAGTCCATTTGCTGATTCCCTTCGATTCCATTCGATGATGATTCCATTCGAGTCATTCAATGATTGCATTCGATTCCATTCGAGGATGACTGCATTCGGTTCCATTTGATGATTCCATTCAATTCCATTCGATGATTCCATTTGATTCCATGCGATGATGATTCCATTCGATTCCATTCCATGATTCGATTTGATTCCATTCAATGATGATTCCATTCAAGTCCATTTGATGATTGCATTCTAGTACCTTCGTTGATTCCATCCAATTCCATTTAATGATGATTTCATTAGAGTCTTTTGGATGATTCCTTTTGATTACATTTGATGAAGATTCCATTCGAGTCCATTAAATTATTCCATTCGATTCCATTCATTGATGATTCCATTTTATTCCATTCAATGATTCTATTCTATTCCATTCAATGATGATTCCATTCGATTCCATTCTATGATTACATTCGATTTCATTCGATGATGAATCCATAGGAGTCCATTCGATGATTCCATAAGATTCTATTTGATGATGATTCCATTCAAGTCCATTCAATGATTCTATTCGTTTCTATTTGATGATGATTCCACTGGATTTCATTCAGTGATTCCATTTGATTCCATTCGTTGTTGATTCCTTTCTATTCCATTCGATGATGATTCCATTCAATTCCCTTCATTGATGATTCCATTGGATTCCATTCGATGATGATTTCACTTGACTCCATTCGATGATGATTCCATTCAATTTCTTTCGATTATTCCATTCGATTCCATCCTATGATGATTCCATTCGATTCCATTCGATGATTCCATTCAATTCCATTCGACGATTCCATTCTATTCCATTTAGTGATGATTCCATTCGATTCCATCTGATGATGATTTCATTAGATTCATTTCTATGATGTTTCCATTCGAGGCCATTCGATGATTCCTTAAGATTCCATTCGATGATGATTCAATTGGAGCCCATTCAATGATTCCATTCGAGCCCCTTCTTTGTTTCCATCTGATTCCATTTGATGATGATTCCATTCGAGTCCATTCGATGATTCCATTTGATTCCACTCTGTGATGATTCCATTCGATTCTATCCGATGATATCATTCGATTCCATTTAATGATGATTCCATTCGATTCCACTCTGTGATGATTCCATTTCATTCTATCCGATGATGATTTCATTCGATTCCATTCAATGATGATTCCATTAGAAGCCATTCGATGATTCCATTTGATTCCATTCAAAGATGATTCCATTCGAGTCCATTCAATGATTCCATTCTAGCCCCTTCATTGATTCCATCCGATTCCATTTGATGATGATTCCATTAGAGTCCAATCGATGATTCCATTTGATACCATTCGATGATTCAATTCGAGCCATTTGATTATTCCATTCATGTCCGTTCGATGATTCCATGTGATCACATTCGATGACGATTCCATTCAATTCCATTTGATGATTCCGTTCAATTCCATTCGATGATTCCCTTCGATTACTTTTGATGATGATTCCATTCGATTCCAATCGATGATTCTATTCGATTCTATTCGATGATGATTCCTTTCGATTCCATTCGAAGATGATTCCATTCGATTCCATTCGATCATGATTCCATTCGAGTTCGTTCGATGACTCCATTCGATTCCATTCAATGATAATTCCATTCTTGTCCAATCGATGATTCTATTCTATTCCATTAGATGATGATTCCATTCAAGTCCAGTCAATGATTGCATTCGAGTCCATTCGATGATTCCATTTGATTTCATTCGATGATGATTCCATTCGAGTCCGTTCAATGATTGCATTCGATTACTTTCGAGGATGACTGCATTCGGTTCCATTCGATGATTTCTTTCAATTCCATTCAATGATTCCATTTGATTCCATTCGTTGATGATTCCTTTTGATTCCACTCGATGATGATTGCATTCGATTACATTTGATGATGACTGCATTTGGTTCCATTCTATGATGATTCCAACGGATTCCATTCGATTCCTCCATTCGATTCCATTCATTGATGATTCCATTCGATTCCATTAGACGATAATTCCATTAGATTCCATTCGATGATGATTCCATTAGATTCCATTCGATGATGATTCCATTCCATTACATTCAATGATGATTGCATTTAATTCCATTCGATGATGATTCCATTCCATTACATTCAATGATGACTGCATTCAATTCCATTCGATGATTCCATTTGAGTCCATTCAATGACACCATTCGATTCCATTCGATCATGATTCCACTCGAGTCCATTCAATCATGATTCAATTCGAGTCCATTCGATGATTATATGCGGTTCCATTTGATGATGATTCCATTGTATTCCATTCAGTGATTCCATTCGATTCCATTCATTGATGATTCCATTTGATTCCATTCGATGATGATTGCATTCAGCTCCATTCGATGATTCCATTTGAGTCCATTCGATGATTCCATTCGGGTCCATTTGATGATGATTCCATTCAATGATTCCATTCGATTCTGTTTGATGATGATTCCATTCGATTTCGTTCGATGCTGATTCCTTTCAATTCCATTCAATGATTCTATTTGATTCCATTCGATGATTCCATTCAATTACATTCAATGATGATTCCATTCAATTCCGTTCGATGTTTCCATTCGATTCTATTCGAGGGTGATTCCATTCAATTCCATTCAATGATGATTCCATTCGATTCTATTCAATGATGATTCCTTTTGATTCCATTTGCTTATGATTCCATTCTATAACATTCGATGATGATTCCATTTGATTCCATTCAATGACGACTGCATTCACTTCCATTCGATGATGATTCTAATGAATTTCATTCGATTTCTCCATTTGATTGCATTCGTTGATGATTCCATTCAATTCCATTACATGGATTCCATTAGATTCCATTCAATGATGATTCCATTCGATTCTATTCGATGACGATTCCATTAGATTCCATTCAATGATGATTCCATTCAATTCCATTCGATGATTCCATTCGATTCCATTCAATGATGATTCCATTTGTTTCCATTCGATTATTCCATTCAATTCCATACGATGATGATTTCATTCGAGTCCATTCTATGATTCCATTCAAGTCCATCTGATGATTCCTTTCAATTACATTCGATGATGATTCCATTCGAGTCCATTCGATGATTCCATTCGATTCCATTCGATGATGATTCCATTCGAGTCCATTTGATGATTCCATTTGATTCTATTCTCCGATGATTACATTCGAGTCCATTTGATTATTCCACTCGATTCCATACGATGATGATTCCATTCAATTCCATTCGATTATTCCATTCTATTCCATTCAATGGTAATTCCATTCGAGCACATAAGATGATTCCATTCGATTCCATTCGATGATGATTCTATTCTTGCCCATTTGATGATTCCACATGATTCCATTTGATGATGATTCTATTCGAATCCATTCGATGATTCTATATGATTCCATTTGATGATGATTCCATTCCATTCCATTCATTGGTGATTCCTTTCAATTCCATTCACTGATTCCATTCCATTCCATTTGACAATTATTCCATTCGATTCCATTCAATGATTACACTCGATTCCACTTGACAATGACTCCATTTGATTCCATTTGATTCTATTTGATGATAATTTCATTCAATTATAGTCAGTGATGATTGCGTTCATTACATTCGAAGATTCCATTCGATTCCATTTGATGATGATTCCATTTGATGATTCCATTTGATTTCCTTCGAGGATTCCACTCGATTCCATTCGATGATCATTCCATTCGAGTCCATTCAATGATTCCTTTCCAGTGAATTGGATGATTCCATTCAATTCCATTCGATGATGTTTCCATTCGATTCCATTCGATGATTCCATTCGATTCCATTCGATGATTCCATTTGAGTCCATTCGATTATTCCTTTTGAGTCCATTCGATGATCTCATTCGAAACCATTCGATGATAATTCCATTCAAGTCCATTCGATGATGATTTCATTTGATTTCTTTGGATTATTCCATTTGATTCCATTCGATGATTCCCTTAGATTCGTTTTGATGATGATTCCGTTTGATTCCATTTGATGATGATTCCGTTTGATTCCATTCGATGACGACTGTATTCGGTTCCTTTCAATGATAATTCCAATGTATTCCGTTCGATTTCTCTATTTGATTCCATTCATTGATGATTCCATTCAGTTCCATTAGATGATGATTCCGTTAGGTTCCATTCGATGATGATTCTATTGGTTTCCATTCGATGATGATTCCTTTCAATTCCATTCAATGATGATTCCATTCGATTCTGTTCGATGATACTATTCGATTCCATTCTATTCCATTCGATGATTCCATTCAATTCCATTCTGTGATGATTACATTCGAGTTCATTTGATGATTCCATTGGACTCCATTTGATGATGATTCCATTCCTATATTCCATTCGATTCTATTCAATGCTGATTCCATTTGATTTCATTCGATGCTGATTCCATTCAATTCCATTCAATGATTCCATTTGATTCCATTCGATGATGATTCTGATCGATTCCATTCGATGTTTCCATTCAATTCCATTCGATGATTCCATTTGATTCCATTCGATAATGATTCCATTCGAGTCATTTGATGATTCCATTTGATTCCATTCGATGATGATTCCAATCAATTCCATTTGATGAGTCCATTCGATTCCATTCGTTGATTCCATTTGATTCCATTCGATAATGATTCCATTTGAGTCCATTTGATATTTCCATTCGAGCCCATTTGATAATTCCATTTGAGTCCAATCGATGATTCCATTCGAGTCCATTCGATCATTCAATTTGAGTCCATTTGATTATGAATCCATTCGGTTCCATTCTATGATTCCATTTGAGTCCATTCGATAATTCCATTTGAGTCCATTCGATGATTGCTTTTGATTCAATTCGATTATAGTGCATTTGAGTCAATTTGTTGATGCCATTGAATTCTATTAGATGATGATTCCATTCGTGTCCATTCGTTGACTCCATTCGATTTCATTTGATGATGATTCTTTTCGAGTCCGTTAGATGATTCCATTCGATTCCATTTGATGACGATTCCATTCGAGTCCATTCAGTGACTACATTCAATTCTACTTGATGATGATTCCATTCGATTCCATTTGAGGATGATTCTATTCGTGCCCATTAGATGATTTCACATGATTCCATTCGCTGATGATTCCATTCGATTCCATTCGATGATGATTCCATTCAATTGCATTCATTGGTGATTCCATTCAGTTCCATTCATTGATTGCATTCAATTCCATTCGACAATGATTCCATTCGATGATTCCACTCAATTCAACTTGACAATGATACCATTTGATTCCATTCGATGATTCCATTCAATTCCATTAGATGATGATTGCATTCGAGTCCATTCGATGATGATTCCATTCGATTCCATTCGATGATTCCGTTCGATTCCATTCTATGATTCCTTTCGATTCCTTTTGATGATGATTCCATTCTATTCCATTCGATAATGACTGCAATCATTTCCATTCGATGATGATTCCAGCAGATTCCATTTGATTCCATTCGATTCCATTCGTTGATGATTCCATTCGATTCCATTAGATGATGATTCCATTAGATTCCATTCGATGATGATTCCATTCGATTCCATTCGATAATGATTCCATTTGATTCCATTCAATGATGATTCCATTATATTCCATTATATGATTGCATTCGATTCCATTTGATGATGATTTCACTCGTTTCCATTCGATGATTCCATTTGATTCCATTCGATCATGGTTACATTCAAGTGCGTTCAATGATTCCATTCGGTTCCATTCAATGATGATTCCATTCGGGGCCATTAGAATTTCCCATTCAATTCCATTCGATGATTCCATTCGAGTCCATTCAATGATTTCATTCTAGTCCATTCGAAGATGATTCCCTTTGATTCCATTCCATGATTATTCCATTCTATTCTATTCGATGATGATTCCATTTGGGGCCATTCAAAGATTCCATTCAATTCCATTTGATGATTCCATTCGAATCCATTCGATGATTTCATTCGAGTCCATTCGAGGATGATTCCTTTTGATTCCATTCCATGATTATTCCATTTGAGTCCATTCGATGAAGATTCCATTCGATTTTGTTTGATGATTCTGTTTGATTCCATTCGATGATGCTTCTATTCAAGTCCATTCAATGATTCCATTCGATTCCATTCGAAGATGATTCCATTCCAGTCCTTTAGATGATTCCATTAGATGATGATTCCATTTGATTCCTTTCAAAGATTAAATTCGATTTCATTCGATGATGTTTCTATTCGAGTCCATTCAATGATTCCATTTGATTCCATTCTATAATAATTCCATTCGAGCCCACTGGAAGTGTCCATTCGATTTCATTCAATGATGTTTCCATTCGAGTCCATTTGATGATTCCATTTGATTCCATTTGACAATTCAGTTTGATTCCTTTCGCTGATTCCCTTCAATTCCATTCAATGATAATTCCATTTGATCGCATTCGATGATTGATTCCATTCGATTCCATTCGTTGACGATTGAATTGGACTGCATTCAATGATGATTCCATTTGATTTCATTTGATGATGATGACATTCCATACCATTCGATAATTCCATTCGATTCCTTCTAATTATTATTCCATTAGTGTCCATTCGGTGACTCCTTTTCATCCCAATTGAAGATGATTCCATTCGATTACATTTGATGATACCATTCAATACCATTCGTTGATGATTCCAATCGGGTGCATTCGATGATACCATTCGATTCCATTCGATGATTCCATTCAATTCCATTCTACGATGATTCCATTCGAGTCCATTTGATGATTCCATTGGACTCCATTTGATGATGATTCCATTCCAATATTCCATTCGTTTCTATTTGATGATGATTCCATTCAATTTCATTCGATGCTGATTCCATTCAATTCCATTCGATGATTCCATTTGATTCCATTCAATGATGATTCTGATCGATTCCATTCAATGATTCCATTCGATTCCATTCTTTGATTCCATTTGATTCCATTAGATGATTCCATTTGATTCCATTCGATAATGGTTCTATTTGAGTCACTTGATGATTCCGTTTGATTCCATTCGATGATGACACGAATCAATTCCATTCGATGACTCCATTCGATTCCATTCAATGATTCCATTAGATTTAATTTGATAATGATTCCATTTGATGATGATTCCAATCAATTCCATTCGATGATTCCATTCGATTCCATTCAATGATTCCATTTGATTCCATTCGATAATGATTCCATTCGAGTCCATTCTATGTTTGCATTCGAGCCAATTTGATAATTCCATTTCAGTCCAACCAATGATTCCATTCGAGTCCATTCGATCATTCCATTTGAGTCCATTCGATTATGAATCCATTCAGGTCCATTCGATGATTCCATTCGAGTCCATTCTATAATTCCATTTGAGTCCATTCGATGATGATTCCATTCAATTCCATTCATTGGTGATTCCATTCAATTCCATTCATTGATTCCATTCCATTCCATTCGACCATGTTTCCATTCGATTCCATTCGATGATTCCACTCAATTACACTTGACGAAGATTCCATTGGATTCCATTCGATGATTCCATTTGATTCCATTCGATGATTGCCTTTGATTCCATTAGATGATTCCATTCGATTCCATTCAATGATGGTTCCGTTCAATTCCATTTCATAATTCCATTTGATTCTATTGGAGGATTCAATTTGATTCCACTGAAAGACGATTCCATTCAATTCCATTTGATGTTTCTATTCGAGTCAATTCAATGATTCCATTCGAGTCCATTTGATGATTCCATTAGATTCATTCAATGATGATTGCATTAGGGTCCATTTGATGATTCCATGTGAGACCATTTGATAATTCCATTTGAGTCCATTTGATGATTCCATTAGAGTCCACTTGATGATTCCATCCGATTCCATTTGATGGTGATTCCATTCGAGTTCATTCGATCATTCCATTCGATTCCATTCAATGATTCCATTTGAGTCCATTCGATTATTCCTTTCGAGTTCATTCAATTATTCCATTCGAGTCCATTCGATGATTCCATTCAATTCCATTCGATGATAATTGCATTCGTGTCCATTCGGTAATGATTCCATTCGATTCCATTCGATAATTCTGTTCAATTCCATTCTATGATTCCTTTTGATTCCTTTCGATGATGATTCCATTCGATTCCATTCAATGATGACTGCATTCGTTTCCATTCGATGATGATTCCAGCAGATTCCATTCGATTTCTCCATTCGATTCCATTCAATGATGATTCCATTCGATTCCATTAGATGATGATTCCATTAGATTCCATTGGATGATGATTCCATTCGATTCCATTCGATAACGATTCCATTTGATTCCATTCAATGATGATTCCATTTGTTTCCATTCGATGATGATTCCATTCATGTCCATTCGACGATTCCATTCAAGTCCATTTGATGATTCCTTTCAATTACATTCATTGATGATTCCATTCGAGTCCATTCAATGATTCCTTTCGATTCCACACAATGATGATTCCATTCGAGTCAATACGATGATTCCATTTGACTTCATTCGATGATGATTCCATTCAATTCCATTTGATGATTCCATTCGAGTCCATTCGGTGATTATTCCATTCGAGTGCATTAGATGAATCCATTCGAGTCCATTTGATGATGATTCCATTCGATTTAATTTGATGATTCCATTCGAGTCCATTCAATGGTTTCATTCGATTACTTTCCATGATGTTTCCATTCGTGTACTTTCGATGTTACCATTTGATTCCATTCTATGATGATTCCATTTGATTACATTTCTTCATGATTCCATTTGATTCCATCTGATGATGATTCCATTCGAGTCCATTCAATGATTCCTTTTGATTCCATTTGATGATGATTCCATTAGGGTACATTCCATGATTCCATGTCATTCTATTCGATGATGTTTCCGTTTGAGTCCGTTTGATGATTCCACTCAATTCCATTCAAACATGATTCCATTTGGGTCCTTTCGATGATTCCATTCAATTCCATTTGATGATGATTCCATTCGATTCCATTCAATGGTGATTCCTTTCAATTCCATTCGATGATTCCATTCGATTCCATTCAATGATGATTTAATTCGATTCCATACAATGGTTCCATTCAAGTCCATTTGATGATGATTTCATTCAATTGCATTTGATGATGATTCCATTTGATTCTATTCGATGATGATTCCTTTAGAATCCATTCGATGATGATTCCATTAGAATCCATTCGATGATGATTCCCTTACAGTCCATTCGATGATGATTCCATTCTATTCCATTTGATGATGACTCCAGTAGAATCCATTTGATGATGATTCCCTTACAGTCCATTAATTGATGATTCCATTCGAGTCCATTCAATGATTCCCTTCGATTCCATTCTATGATATCTCCAGTCGAGTCCATTTGATGATTCCATTCAGTTCGATTCAATGATGATTCCACTCGAGTCCACTCGATGTTGACTCCACTCAATTCCATTCGATGATGATACCACTCGAATCCATTCGATTATTCCATTTGATTCCATTCGATGATGATTCCATTCCATTCCATTCAAGGGTGATGCCATCCATTTCCATTCGTGATTCCCTTCGATTCCATTCGTTGATGATTTCATTTGTTTCCATATGATGATTCCTTACGATTCTATTTAATGATTATTCCGTTCGACTCCATTTGATGATTCCATTAGATTCCATTCAATGATTCCATTCAATTCCAGTCATTGATGGTTCCATTCGATTCCATTCAATGATGATTATATTAGAATCCATTCGATGATGATTCCATTCAATTTCATTTGATGATTCTATTGAATTCCACTCGTTGATGATGCCATTCAATTCCACTGGATGATTCCACTCGATGCCATTCAATGATTACTGCATTCAATTCCATTCGATGATGATTCCTTTCAATTCCATTCGATGATGATTCCATTCGATTCAATTTGATGATGATTCAATTTGATTCCATGTGAAGAGGATTCCATTCAATGATGATTTCAATCAATTCCATTCAATGAGGATTCCTTTCGATTCAATTCGATGATGATTCCATTCGATTCCATTCCTTGATGATTCCATTCAATTCCATTTGATGATGATTCCAATCGGATCCATTCAATGATTCCTTTTGATTCCATTCGATGATGATTCCATTCGAGTCCATTCAATGATTCCATTCTGTTCCATTCGTTGATGATTCCATTCGACACTTTTCAATTATTCTATGGGATTCTATGCAATGATTATTCATTTCGAGCCCATTCGATGATTCCATTCAATTCCATTCAATGATGATTCCATTCCATTCCATTCAATGGTGATTCCATACAATTCCATTCGACGATTCCATCCTATTCCATTCGATGATGATTTCATTCAATTCCGTATGATGATTCCATTCGATTCCATTCAAAGATGAGTCCGTTCGCTTCCATTCATTGATTCCATTCAATTCCATTGAATGATTTTATTCGATTTCAGTCGTTGATGGTTCCATTCGATTCCATTCGATTAAGATTCCGTTCAAATCCATTCGATGATGATTCCATTCGATTCCATTTGATGGTGATTCTATTCGATTCCATTCGAGGATGATTCCATTAGAGTCCATTCGATGATGATTCCTTTCATGTCCATTAGATGATTCCATTCGATTCCATTCGATGATGATTCCATTCAAGTCCTTTAAATGATTTCATTCCATTCCATTTAATGCTGATTAAATTTGGGTCCACACGATGATGATTCCATTTGATTCTTTTTGATGATGATAATATTCGATTCCATTCGAGGATGATTCCATTAAAGTGCATTCAATGATTCCATTAGAGTCCATTTGATTACACTCGATAATGGTTCCATTCGTGTCCATTCGTTGTTACCACTGGATTCCGTTCGATGATGATTCCATTTGATTACATTTGTTCATGATTTCATTTGGTTACATTTGATGATGATTCCATTCGAGTCCATTCAGTGATTCCATTTGATTCCATTTAATGATGATTCCATTAGAGTACATTTGATGATTTCATTTGATTCCGTTCGATGATGTTTCCATTCGAGTCCATTTGATGATTCCACTCAATTCCATTCGATGATTATTCCATTCAATTCCATTCAATGGTGATTCCATTCAATTCCAGTCGATGATTCCATTCGATTCCATTCAATGATGATTTCATTCGATTCCATACCATGATTCCATTCGATTCCTTTCAATGATGATTCCATTTGATTGCATTTGATGACGATTCCATTTGATTTCATTCAATGATGATTCCATTCGATTCCATTCGATGATGATTCCACTAGATTCCATTCGATGATGATTCCTTTAGCATCCATTCAATGATGATTCCATTTGCGTCCATTGAATGATTCCATTCAATTCAATTCGATGATGATTCCGGTCAAGTCCATTCGATGATTCCATTCGGTTCAGTTCGATGATGACTCCACTCGAGTCCACTCGATGATGATTCCACTCAATTCCATTCCATGATGATACCACTCATGTACATTCGATGATTCCATTCGATTCCATATGATGATGATTCCATTCGATTACTTTTAGTGGTGATTCCATTCATTTCCATTCGTGATTCCCTTTGATTCCATTCGATGATGATTTCATTTGTTTCCACATGATGTTTCCTTTTGATTCCATTTGATGATTATTCTGTTCGATTCCATTTGATGATTCCATTCGATTCCATTCAATGATTCTATTCGATTCCAGTCATTGATTGTTCCATTCGATTCCCTTCGATGATGATTCCACTACATTCCATTTGATGATGATTCCATTCGATTCCATTCCATGATGATTCCATTTGATTCCATTTGATGATGATTCCATTTGATTTCATTCGATGATTCTATTGGATTGCACTCAATGATGATGCCATTCAATTCCATTGGGTGATTCCATTCGATTCCACTCGATGATGATTCCATTCGATTTCATTCGTCGATTCCATTAGATTCCACTCGACGATGATTCCATTCGATGCCATTCAATGGTTACTGCATTAAATTCCATTCGATGATGATTCCAGTCGAGTCCATTCGATGATTCCATTCGATTCCATTCAATGATGATTCCATTCGTGTCCATTCAATGATTCCTTTCGAGTCCCTTCATTGATTCCATCTGATTCCATTTGATGATGATTCCATTAGAGTCCATTCAATGATTCCATTCGATTCCATTTGATGATTCCATTGGAGTCCATTCGATTATTCCATTTGAATCCATTCAATGATTCCATTCAATTTTATTCAATGATAATTCCCTTTGAGTCCATTCGATGATGATTCCATTTAATTCCGTTAGATGATTCCGTTCGATTCCATTCGATGATTCCCTTTGATTCCTTTCCTTGATGATTCCATTCCATTCCATTCGATGATTCCATTCAATTCTATTCCATAATGATTTCTTTCGATTCCATTTGCTGATGATTCCATTCGATTCCATTCGATGATGAGTCCATTCAATTACATTTGATGATGACTGCATTCGATTCCATTCATGATGATTCCAACGGATTCCATTCGATTTCTCCGTTCGATTCCATTCGTTGATGATTCCATTCGATTCTATTACATGATGATTCCATCTGATTGCATTCGATGATGATTCCATTCTATTCCATTCGATGATGTTTCCATTCAATTCCATTTAATCACGATTCCATTCCATTCCACTCAATGATGATTCCATTTGATTCCATTTGATGCTTCCATTCGATTCCATTCGATGATGATTCCGTTTTTGTCTGTTTGATTCTTCCATTTGTTTCCATTTGATGATGATTCCATTCGAGAACATTCAGTGATTCCATTCAAATCCCTTTGATGATTCCTTTCAATTCCATTCGATGATGATTCCATTCGAGTCCATTCGATGATTCCTTTTGATTCCTTTCAATGAAGATTCCATTCGAGTCCATTTGATGATTCCATTTGATTTCATTCAGTGATGATTCCCTTAGATAGCATTCAATGATTCCTTTCCATTCCATTCAATGATGATTCCATTCGAGTCCATTTGATGATTCCATTGGTGCCCATTTAATGATTACATGGGGTTCAATTTGATGAGGATTACTTTGGATTCCATTCTATGTTTCCATTCTATTCCATTTGTTGATGATTCCATTCAATTCCATTTGAAGATGCTTCCTTTTGATTTCATTCAATGGTTCTATTCGATTCCATTCGATGGTGATTCAATTCGATTCCATTCGATGATTCCCTTTGGTTCCATTCGATGATGATTCCATTCGATTGCATTCTATGATTATTCCACTCGAGTCCATTCGAAGATTCCATTTGATTACATTCCATGATTATTCCATTCGATTCCATTCAATGATTCCATTTGACTCCATTCGACGATGATTCCATTCAGTGCTATTCAATGATTCCATTTGATTCCATTTGATGATGATTACATTTGACTCCATTTGATGATTCCATTTGAGTCCATTCAATGATGATTGCATTCGTGTCCATTCGATGATTCCATTCAATTCCATTCAATGATGATTTCATCCGAGTCCATTCAATGATTCCATTTGATTCCATTCGATGATTATTCCTTTCAAATCCAATTGATGATTCCACTCGATTCCATTTGATGACTCCGTTCGATCCCATTCAATGATTCCCTTTGATTCCATTTCATGATCCTTAAATTTGATTCAATTCAGTGATTCCATTCGATTCTAGTCAACGATTGTTCCAATCAAATCCTATAGATAATGATTCCATTCAATTTCATTTGATTATGATTATATTCGATTCCATTTGATGATGATTCCATTCGAGTCCATTCGATGATTCCTTTCAGTTCCATTCGATGATGATTCCACTCAATTCCATTCGATGATTCCATTTGAGTCCATTCGAAGATTTCATTAGATTCCATTCGAAGATGATTCCTTTCGATGTCATTCGATGATTCCATTTGAATCCATTCAATGATGATTCCATTCATGTACATTTGATAATTCCATTCGATTCCATTTGGCGGTCATTCCATTCGAGTCCATTTGATGATTCCATTTGATTCCATGTGATGATGATTCCATCGAGTCCATTCGATGATTCCATTTGATTTCATTCGATGATGACTGCATTCGATTCCATTTGATGATGATTCCAATGGACTCCATTCGATGATTCCATTCGATTCCATTCATTGATGTTTCCATTCAATTCCATTCGATGATGTTTCCATTTGATTCCATAAATTGATGATTCCATTCGATTCCATTCGATGATGTTTCCATTGGACTCCATTCCATAATTATTCCATTCGATTCCATTCAATGATGATTACATTCAATTCCATTCGATGATTCCTTTTGATTCCATTCGATGATGATTCCATTCAGGTCCATTCGATGATTCCATTCGATTCCATTCGATGATGATTCCATTCGATGATTCCATTCAATTCTATTTGATGTTTCCTTTCGATTCCACTCGATGTTGATTCCATTGGAGTCCATTCGATGATTCCATTCGAGTGCATTCCATGATTTCATTCGATTCCATTCGACGATGATCCCATTCGAGTCCAATCGATGATTCCATTTTATTTCATTTGATGATGATTCCATTCGATTCCATTCGATGATCCCATTCGAGTCCAATGATTCCTTTCGAGTCCATTAAATGATTCCATTTGATTCCATTCGATAATGACTCAATTCGAATCCATTCAATGATGATTCCATTTGATTCCATTCTTTGTTTTATTTCGATTCTTTTTGATAATGATTCCTTTCTCTTTCATTCGATGATCCCATGTGATTCTAATCCATGATGATTCTATTCGATCCCATTTGAAGAAAATTCCATTTGATTCCTTTCGATGATGATTGCATTCGATTCTATTTGATGCAGATTCTATTCGATTCTTTTGATGATGATTCCATTCGATTCCATCTGATGATTCCATCCGATTCCATTTGATGATGATTCCATTCGATACCTTTCTATGATTCCATTCAATTCCATTCAATAATGATTCCATTTGAATCCATTCGATGACTCCATTCAAGTCAATTTGATGATTCCATCTTATTCCATTCGTTGATGATTCCATTAGGGTCCATTAGAAGATTCCATTCGATTCCATTCGGTGATGATTTCATTCGATTCCATTCAATGATTCCATTTGATTGCATTCAGTGATGATTCCAATCAATTCCAATCGATGATTCCCTTCTAATCCATTTGATGATGAGTCTCTTCATTTCAATTCCGTGATGATTCCATTAGATTCAATTCGATGGTGTTTCCATTTGATTCCATTTGATGTTGATTCCATTTGATTCCATTGGATGATGATTCCATTTGAGTCCATTCAGTGACTACATTCGATTCTACTTGATGATGATTCCATTCGATTTCATTCATCGATTCTATTCGATTCCTTTCAATGATGATTCCATCTGATTCCATTCGATGAATCATTCGATTCCATTCAATGATCATTCCATTCGTTTAAATCCGATGACGATTCCATTCGATTCCATTTGATGAATATTCCATTCGAGTAAATTCAATGATTCCATTCAATACCATTCGATGATGACTCCCTTTGAGTCCACTCGATTATTCCATTCGAGTCCATTCAATGATTCCATTCGAGTCCATTCAATGATGTTTTCGTTCGTGTCCATTCGATGTTTCCATTCGATTCCATTCGATGATGATTCCATTCGAGTCCATTCAATGATTCCATTCGATTCCATTGGATGATTATTCCATTCGAATCCTTTTGATGATTCCATTCAATTCCATTCAGTGATTCCATTCCATCCCATTCGATGATGCCCTTCGATTCCATTCAATGATCATTCCATTCAATTCAGTGATCCCTTTGGATTCCCTTAGATGATGATTTCATTAGATTCCACTCCATGATGATTCCATTCGTTTTCATGTGCTGATGATTCCATTAGATTCCATTCAAGGATTCCATGTGACTCCACTTGTTGAAGATTCCATTTGATTCCATTCAATGATGATTCCATTCAATTCCATTCGATGATGATTCCATTCGTTTCCATTCGATGATGATTCCATTAAATTTCATTCGATGATTCTATTTAATTCCGTTCGATGATGATTCCATTCTATTCCATTCGATAATGATTCCATTTGATTCCATTAGATGTTTATTCCATTCAATTTTATCCAATGATTCTATTTGATTCCATTCGATGATGATTCCATTCTATTTCATTCAATGATTCTATTCAATTCCATTTTATGTTGATTCTATTCGATTCCACTTGATGATGATTCCTTTTGATTCCATTCGATGATGATTCCATTCGTGTCCGTTCAATGATTCCACTCGATTCCATTCAATGATGATTCCACACAAGTGCATTAGATCACTCCATTTGATTCCATTGGATGATGATTACATTAGATGCCATTCCATGATTCCATTCGATTTCATTTGATGATGATTCCATTCGATTCCATTCGATGTTGATTCCAGTAAATGCCATCCGATTATTCCATTCGAGTCCATTTGATGATTCCATTTGAAACCATTCGATGAGGATTCCATTTGATTCTATTCATTGGTGATTATATTCAATTCCATTCAATGATTCCATTCCATTCCATTCGACAATGATTCCATTAGATTCCATTCGATGATTCCACCTGATTCCATTTGACGATGATTCAATTCGATTCCCTTCATTGGTGATTCCATTCAATTCCATTCAATGATTCCATTCCATTCCTTAGGAACAATTAAAATATAATATTGTGAACATGTAAATTTACCCTATGTCTATTTTATGTATAAGCATATATGATTAAAAATATAGTTAAGAATTTTTAAACCTAGTATTATAAAGTAAAAATTAGTTAACTTCTGATGATTATTTGTTAATTAAGATTAAATTATTTTGATGTGGGTGATTTCAAATAAAGAAAAATATTAAATTACATGACAAAATTCTTTTTAAAATGTTTATGACTTTTACATTGGTTTTATCACTTTATTCCACTACTTTATTTTAAGATGACCTGCCTTGTTTAAAACACTGTATTCGTCTTAATTAAATTAAATTCCATTTGTAAAAAAATTAACAAGTGATTTGCTATATTGTACAGTGCAGTTATAAACTCAGTCAGTATCTCAAGATTTGTTCCCCATTATCATCATCTGTGGCCCTATTTGTTTTATAAATGTATTGTCTTTTTCCATGCCTGTCACATCTCCATTGCTCTTTCATTTTTCTCTTTGTCCCTTATAGGGAGCATTGCCTATCTCTAGATTAAGCAAAAGTTGCATCTTTAAAAAGCACAATAACCTGCTCAATCTTTCTCACACAGAGAAATGTTTGTTAAGTAATTAAAGTGTAGATGATGATACAATGAGATTGATTAAACTAGATGCCAAAGTACTCTTGTGATTCAGAATATGAATGGTATTTAATTTCTTTGAAATCATTAATTGCTGAGTGACATTAATTAATGCCAATATTCCAGAAGTTGTTCTAGTTAGTGAAATGTATACAACAGGCAAAAGATTCAGAACTCTGAAGGGCAACATTATTCTATAATTAAGAATTAAGAATTAATTCACATTAATTATCGGGGAGAAATAATTATTAAGAATTAATGACTGAGAAAATGATTTTATTTTTTATTTAGAAAATTATTTGTTGCATGAGCATTACCGCAAGTTTTGCAAGAAACATAAATTTAAAGAAACAATTATGTGCACAAGATGAATTTAATAACATCTTGATATTTTCCACGATTACAGTTTTATTTGGTAAATCTTTAAATGCACATCATCTAAAGATAATAAATGAATCTTGGAAATCTTGTGGGTAAGGGTAAATATTAGGATGCATCCAGTTACATTTACACACACATACAGTTACATTTAAACACACATACATGCATACAGACTTATACACGTGTGTATATATATATGAATTTACTAATTGATTTTAACTAATATTTATAAGAGCCAGTTGGATTTATATATACTGTTGAACCTGAAAAATATTCATTATATACCTGTTTAAAATACACACAGAAATAAATAGTAATTGCACTAGGCTTTCGAAACTGTACTAAAATATAAGCTGTGAACATTTTGTGATCATTACAAATTCTTACACTGAATAAATATTTTTATTTTTACAATATTAATATGATTGATACCTGTGTACATTTTTAACAATGTGTTATTTTATTTTTGTCATAGAGTCATGTCATGCATAATAATATTTCAGTCAAAGACGGATTACATATACAAAAGTGGTCCCATGAGATTATAATACATATTTTTACATACTTTTCTACGTTTAAGTATGTTTAGATACATGACCTCTTTCCACTGTGTTCTTATTGCCTGCAGTATTCAGTAGAGTAATGTAGTACACAGGTTTGTAGCCTGGGAGAGAGAGGCTATACCATATAACCTAGACGTGGTAGGCTGTACAATCTAGGTGTTTGTAATATTCTCTGTGATGTTTGCAAAATGATGAAATTGCCTATGGATGCATCTGATAAAACGTATCCCTATCATTCAGTGATGTGTGACTGTACTAAAATGCTCAAGGTAAGTTTCAATGCCCTCCATAAAATTGTTGTACTGTGAAATACAAATCTCTTACCCATGGCCTGAATATGTTTGCAAACTAAGCAGATCATGGGAAGGAGAATGTGCTGGCATCGCTGGGATGATTTTCTCACACTACATGAATAATATCTACAGACTTCGTGAATATGAGCCACTTGCATAGAGTTAAAGTAGGCATCTCTTTGCTGGGAAATGTATCAAATGGGAGTATGAAGTGTTTTTAAAAGATACTTGTTTGTAGCTGGTAGGCCTACTGTGGCTTATGGCAATGGTTGAGGTTGCTAAGATTTGGTGGCAGAAGGCAAAATGAAATGGCCACTTATATGGTATGTGGTATATGGATCACTTGTTTCTGTTGAGTTACAGACTCAGCTGGCTATTTCTCCCAATGTTAGTTATTTGGAGAAAAAAAACGTGACGGTAATTTTGGGGTAACAAATACAATATTTGATGAAAGCAAATTTATTGAGGGTTAGACAAACTACAAGATGCTTTAGGCTGCAAAGTCAACACGAGACTTCCGGCCCAAATTGTGCAGAGTTTGTGTCCAGCTGCAAAGTTCAAAGGAAGAGGCCATATAAGACGATTCTCACTTCTGACACCAACTGCCAGTTCAGGGGTTTCCCCTGAACACCCTCAGTTTCAAGAGTTTACTAGAAACACTCACAGAACTCATTGAATGCCATTGTACTCATGGTTTATAATAGAGAAAGGGTAGAAATTAGGACCAATTGAAGAGACATATCATATAAGGTGGAATCTAGGAGATTTTGAATGTTAAGTTTTCATTGTCTTCAGGACATATTACCTGTCATTGTTGTACAATAATAAACATGGAGTACTACCAACCTGGGGAGATCACCTGATGCTAAAAAGACACTATATAGAAAATGAAAAGACAAATGAAAGGATGAGATTAGATGACCTTCCACATTAAGGCACTGGAAAGAATAGCAAACTAAACCTAAAGCAAGCAGAAGGAAGAAAATAAAAATTAGAGAAATTAATAATTCATAATAATATTTGTTAGTGTTGAATAATTGATATTAATTCTTGACTAGCTTTTTTAAAAGAGAGAAATATTCACTTCCCAATTTATTCTGTGCAGCCAGTGTTACCTTGATACAAAAATTAGTCCAAATAGCATAGAAAAATAAAACTACTATAAGTATAAATGCAAAATTCCATGAAAAATACTAACAAATCATATCTAGCAACATATAAAAGAATTATACACAATGACAAAGTGAAATTTATACAAGTAATCCCAGGTTGGTTTAACAGCCCAAAATCCATTAAGGTAATACATCTTATCCATAGAATAAGAAACGAGAATTGCATGATCATCTCGATAGATTCAGAAAAGACATTTAACAAAATCCAAATGCTTTAATGATTAAAAATAAAAATAAAAACTCAATGAACCAGGAATAGAGAACTTTCTACACCAGATACATGGCACCTGTGAAAAGACAACAGCAAGCATGCAACTTAATGGTAAAGGATGCTTTCCTGCTATGGTCAGAGATAAGAATATTCTTATGATATATCATATTCTTATGATATATACTTTGAACTTTTCTAGTCAACACTTTACTAAAGATTTTATGCAGGGCAAATCGGCAACTAAAAAAATAAGATTCACCCATATTGAACAGGAAGAAATAAAATTTTATTTGAAAATAACATTCTTATATATAGAAAATTTTAAGGAATCCACTGAACGATAGAACTAGTAAATTATTTCAGCAATATTACAGCATACAAGATAAATGTACAAAAATCAATTGCACACATCTACAATGAAAACCCCAAAATGAAATTAAGAAAACACTTCAATTTAAAATAGCATCAAAAAAAATAAATAATAATTAATTTGGAAAATGGGATACAAGAATTTACTCTGAAAATTAAAAATTATTGTTTAAAGAATATCTAAATAATTAGCAAACATCTTACAGCCATGAATTGGAAGATTTAATATTGTAGTACTTTACAATTTGAACTACAGATTTGATGAAATCCCTGCAAGTATCCCAACAGACTTCTGTCTAGAAACTGACAAGCTGATTCTAAAATACACATGGAATTGTAAGGGACACAAAATACCCAAAATAATCTTGAAAAAAGAAAACATAGTAGGATAATTCACACCCCCATGCTCCAAACCTTACTGCAAAGTGTCAGTAATCAAGACAACACAATACAGATGAAGGAAAAATATATAGATTGATGGAAGAGAATTGAGAGTCCATATATAAAACTATGTGTCTATAGTCAATGGATTCTTACAGTGGTGCCATGTGCAATTCAATGAGGAAGAGACAGTCTTTGAACAAACTGGGTTAACAACGTAGACGTGGATCACCACTTGCAAAATAATAAATTGGAACCCTTACCCAAAGCATACAAAAATATTAACTCAAATGAATTATATACACACATGCAAGAGCTAGAATAAAGCATATGGGAAAATCTTCAGGATTTTGGATCTAGCAAAGAAATAGCTGTAACCCCAAAAACATGAGCAACAAAATAAAAATTCGATATTTAAAATTTCTTAAAAATTAAAGACATTGGTGTTTCAAAGGACAACCAAGCAAGTCAAAAGGCAGCTCAAAAATTGTGAGAAGATATTTGAAAAACACGTATCTATATGTCTGTATATATATGTGTCTTGAATATAGAAAAAATGTTTTAACTCAGTAACAAATATCCCAACTCAAAACTGATAAATGATAGCAATAGATGTGTTTCTCAAGAAGATACACGAGTGGTCAATAATCCCATAAAAAGATACTCAATAGCATCACTCATCAGGCAACTACAAATCAAAACCACAGTTAGATACTCTATGGCTAGAACTGGCCACTTTGGAAAATAATTTGATGGCTTCTGAATATATTAAACATAGAATTGTCATATGACCCAGAAATGTATTCCTAGGTATACACCCAGATTATTGGAAAGAGGTGTTCAAACACAAATTGTACACAAGTATTTTTAGCAGCAGTATTTAAAATAACCAAAGGTTGAACACAACTCAAATGTCAACAAAAATTTTATTGTATAAACAAAATGTTATATCCATGAAATTGAATGTTATACAGTTATAAAAAGAAATAAAGTACCAATACGTACATGAACCTTGACAGCATTAGGCCAACTGAAAGAAGCCAGGCAGAAAAGACCACCTATTGTATGATTCTATTTAGATGAAAACAGAATAGGAAAATCTATAGAGACAGAAAACAGATTTGTGGTTGCTTAGGATTGAGTAGGGGATGGATGCATAGGAGCTTAACAGCTAGAGAAGGTGGGGTTTCTTTTTGAAGTGATGAAAATGTTCTAAAATTCATTGTGATTATGGCGCCACTTATCTGTGCATATACTAAAAGCCAGTGACTTGTAGACATTAATGTGTGCACTCTACACTATGTAAATTATATCTCAATAAATCCTCTCAGAAATACACAGAAGAGTAAGGGGTTTTGGAATGTTGCAGCTGGGAGGCAGTTTGAAATACTGAATAGGCCTCATCGAGAATGTGAAATTTCAGTAAAGACTTGAGGAAGTTGAATGAGCTGATGAATGGATATATGGAGGGCTATCTTTCCAAGGAAAGAAATTAACTAGAGTCTTGATCATAAGGCAGCAGCGTGTGGGCATGTCCAGAGGACAGTGAGGTGGCCAGGACCACTGGTAAGTTCAAGGGTGAATATATAAAAGAATTTTGGTGGTTAACATGTGGCAGATCATGATGAGCTTGCAGACCATTATAAGAATTGTTGTTTTTAGTGTACATGAAATGGGGAGACAAGTCATTATCCCATTATCAATATTTGAATAAATTGGATCCATGAACCAAATCCAATGAGATTAAATCAATTAATAATAATATGCAAATTCATATTAAAATTACAAGAATTACTTGCACATTTGAGAACAGGAGAGTCATGATTGTTTATCAGCAATAATAAACATTATTAATTTTAATTGTGATCAGCTAATTGAGATTAATTGCAATACATCATGCTTTATAATGTGACTGTCAAAAGGAAAATATGATTGTAATCTTATACTACATCTATCAATGTCTTTGATTCATAAGACTATAGAGTAAGCCCCTAGTTTTCAAAGCCAACTTATGAGGCAGTGACATCTTATGCAAGTTTGCTGCTTTCTGCCACAGTGATCCTTGGTCAGCTGGCAGAAATTGTTTTACAAATGCCCCTAGGTCTAAAAATAGTTTGGATCACAATGAACACAGAAACACCTTCATCCCTTCAGAAATGCTTATCAATTACTTCGAATACAGAAAGAAAAATTGACAAAGGAAATATGTGGACTGTAAAAATGCCAGTTAGCTTGCATCTACATGAAAGAAAAATGCCATTTTCATTACATTAGATCATTGTTTTACATGAGTTTTGGCACAGCACAATGTTGAACCAAGGGCAAAGAGAAATGAATTAATGAAGTCTTAAGATATCAAGAATTTGAAAGAAAAGACAGGTCATCTTTGAAGGTTAGCGAAGTAGCATTCATCTTCTGTTGTCACCTTTTCCGTCATTCCCTGTATGCCTGAGGGACAGGTTTCACTCAAGTTCAGAGAACAACATGCAAAATCAGCTACCAATTAGTCTTTATGAAGTGAGCTGCATTTCTAGCCAGACTGAGCTTACGTTTTAGCAGGAAGCATTTTTGGGAAATGTTGATGTTAGAGTTTGCCCTTCTTTACAAGGTGAGACATAAATGTCTCCTTTAGAGACATGAATTAAGATGGGAAGATATTTGGGGGAATCATTTACTCAAACGCTAAATAATAAAGGTACACAAAGGGCAAATTATACTAGATTTCTTTCCCGCTTGTTTTCTATGTCTCATGCCATTCACCTTGATTCCCTTCAGTTTCTGTTTAATGTAGAAAGTGGCATTTTCATTATTTTAAGTTTCTAGCACAATGAAAGAATTTCTCTTTTTCATGAACTGCATCATAAATGAAAGGGAAGAACAGTGTCCTATATCATATTTATTGTTCAACAAAACACTGCTCCAAGGCTTCAATTTAGTTTAAAAAAGAGAATTTATTGAACATCTAACACATACATAAAGGCAGTAAAGACAAATGAGAAGAGGGCAGGATACTGAAGTATACAGACTTCAATGCTGAGTTTTATATCTTAGGATGTTACTCCACCTTACAGAGGCTCAATTTCCCCTGATTTATGAAGGCGATGCTAGTGGGTATTGCATAGGTGTAAGTATAAAAATGTTGTATTTAAGAGAATCCCACAAGCTTGGTATAAGGCAGAAAATAAATAGATATGACATGAGTAAGTAGTTTATTACATTTGTATGCTACCTGCGGACTAGAGGAAGCAGGAAACACAGCCACTATGCTTGATTAGCGTTATAGAGATGGTACAATGATAGTTGCCAGAAGCTGGGGGGAGGAAGAAATGGGGAAGTATTGTTTAATGTGTATAGAGTTTCAGTTTTGCAAGATGAAACGAATTATGGAGATGGATGGTAGGGACGGCTGCACAATGTTATGACTATATTTAGTACCACTGAACTGTAAACTTAAAGTGGTTAACAGAGTACATTTTATGTTATGTGTATTTTACCACAATAAATAAATAAAATATCTTAGGAACATTTTCATGAAAAGCCCACATAAAATTCATTTTAATTCAAGTGTTTATGTATAGCTTTCTAATTTTCTCTTTTCTCTTTATATTCCAAATTCTAATCAGAGAAGGGAATCCCCTTTGTACCTCCAGGATATTCAGTAAAGACCACTGGAGGTTCATGCCTTAGTGACAGTGCTCATTTAGCTCCAAATGACTGATGGCTCTATACTAACTCCACAAAGTGTAAAGAGAAGATTTAAAACAACAACAGACAAATACTCATCCTAAAGTTACTGAACTGCCTGCCACAACATTGTTCAAAGGTAGCCAATGAAATCTAGATATTCAATAGCATAACATCAAAATACCCCCAAAAAAACTCGAACATGCAAAGAAGCCATACAATATATATAATTAAGATATATATTAACAGGATAAAAATAAGTCATTTATAAATGATGGAAAAGAAGGAAATTTCAAGGTCCTTAAAGTAAATATATTTTATAAATACATATAGATAAATACATATATATGTCTAGGTACTTAAATGAAAATTGAACATAGGAGAAAAATAGAAGTTATAAAATGAAAAATGTGACATGTATAGATGAAAAATAAATATTTGAAATAAAAATTCCAGAGATAGAATAAGTAATGGATTTTACCCTAACATCAGAAAATTTATAGAAAAAAATAGAAGCTTTACAAACTAAAGGACAAAGGGTAAACTAAAATAAGAAAGCCAGAAACTCACTGATACGTCAGACAATATGCAGCAGTGTAACATACATGTAATTAATATCTCAAAAAGGATGGGTGGGGGAATTATAGGTGAATAAAGAATGGTACACTCATTCCTGAGGGCACCGAGGAAGGAGGATAGCGTTAGATTTCTAAGGGAGGGTATTATCCATTCATGAAGGTCCAACCCCATGAACAAACACCTCCCAGTAAGCCCCACCTGCAACATTGGGGATCAAATTTTAACATGAGATTGGAAGGGGCAAGCATTCAAACCATAGCAAGAGTTAAATTTCCTTTTTAAAAAAATCACTGATATGATTCCATTTCGCCATAGGTAAAAGCTAGTATTTTAGCCTACCACTGAGTGTGCTTATAGCTCACCAAAAGGGCACTCTGTCTCAGGAATATAAATTTGCCTAGAGGTATCCTATTGCAGTCAAAGAAAGAGCAATGAGGGATAGAAAAGGTTAGTGGCCGGGCGCGGTGGCTCACGCCTGTAATCCCAGCACTTTGGGAGGCCGAGGCGGGCGGATCACGAGGTCAGGAGATCGAGACCATCCCGGCTAAAACGGTGAAACCCCGTCTCTACTAAAAATACAAAAAATTAGCCGGGCGTAGTGGCGGGCGCCTGTGGTCCCAGCTACTTAGGAGGCTGAGGCAGGAGAATGGCGTGAACCCGGGAGGCGGAGCTTGCAGTGAGCCGAGATCCCGCCACTGCACTCCAGCCTGGGCGATAGAGCGAGACTCCGTCTCAAAAAAAAAAAAAAAAAAAAAAAAGGTTAGTGATGGAGACACCAGCGCTGCATTTTGCAACCAACAATGTAAAAATTTTACAGATTGGTTCTGCTAACTTACTACAGTTTACATTCCACTCAGGTGGAAGAATTGTTGCGTTTTTTCTCAAGATAGAAAAGCAATTCAGATAATCTGAAATCTCCAGAAGAAGGGTAAGAAGCACAGCAGAAACTATTCTGTGCAGGAAGTCAATCCTTTCAACAGTCTGTGCTCCATAGAAACAATTGTCTGCACTGGGAGTCATATGTGGTACAGACAACAGCCAGACCTCTGATCCTCTCATTAGTGATTTCAGAAGAAATTACCAGTCAACTGAGTAATTCACTGAGTAAAGTAAACATTTGGCACTGAAAGAGGTTAGACGGATAACTATTTGTATCACCATATTCATGAAGCTGCAATATTTTCCATTACTGGTATGACATCCGAATGGAAGACGTTAAAAGGTCTCTCATCTTGTAAGATGGATATGAAAGAACATTTTCTGAGAAATGAAATTATTAACACACCTGCGAGGTGGATGGAAGAGAAAAAAAAAGAAGAATAAGCTTGAGTTCTTCTCCTTGATAAGACAACTCACTAAAAACATAAAGAGAAAAATACAAGTTTAAAATAATTAACCAGAAGAAGATGACTCTAGAGATTTTAAATTGCTGATAAGATTTTAATTTGCTCCAAGTTGAAAATAATTATATTGCTTGTGTTTTAAGGCACATAATGAGCAATTATATCACACATGATAGTTTCAGCAGTAAAATATTATCCGTTAAAAGCTGGAACTCATAAAATCATAGCACAATGTGAAGATGGAATTTGCTAAAATAAACCATCTGCTGAAAACTACTATTCTGCAAATTTAAAAATAAAGTTTAAATGTTATTTGTCTGATTTAATAGGTCTGTGAAAAAAAAATGCACTCTTTGAAAAGTAGCTGCTACCTTAATTCTTTATATTAGACGGCTGGTTTCAGTAATGCACAGTAAGGTGCTACATAGATATATTGCTAAATTTTCTGCATATACTATGTATTTGGCTTAAATTATTTGAAATTTTATAGTTAAAATAACAAATGTATATTTAAATGTTTTGACACAAATTGCAAATATACCTTTAAAAAGCGTCTTACACTCTAAATATTATTTGTCACCTATGTATTTGTCTTTTCTCTATAGGAAAGTTTAAATTTTTCCCTTGAAGCTTTAATTATTTGAGTCTATAAAACAAACTGATGATGTATGATTTAACAGGAAAAAAAGGTTTACAGATATTTGCACAAGTATGCACTTGGAGTTTACATAATATATATAAATATACCTATACAAATATTTCTATATTATATATAGATATACCAATATATACTATATATGTAAAAAATCCAGGAAAGGCAAGGTAGTCAACACGCCTATGCTGTCTTGAGGTTACAGAAAACACAGAGCTGTAGGTTGGTAAATCAGGCTTTGCGGAAGAAAGGTGATGACAAGGAAGAAAGAGGAGCCTGGCAGCAGAGGTGGGCTTGTTACATGGATGAAACCTCACAGGGAGCAGCCCTCCTCTTGGGAAGTATAGATAGGAAAAGGTTTTTAGAAATGTAAACGTGCCAGGCTCAGTTAATCTTTCCCAAACCCAGACAAGGGAGTATCTCACGGAAAGCCTGTCTATATCAATGCAGATTTTCTCTACAAATGCAAATCTCCCCAACAAACACAGCTTTTCAGCTCTTCTTGTAGAAGAAGCTATCTCCAGTCTTCCGAGTAGCCATCTTGAAATATGTCAAAAAGCTGGCCAGGCGCACGCCTGTAATCCCAGCACTTTGGGAGGCTGAATTGGGTAGATCACCTGAAGTCAGGAGTTGGAGACCAGCCTGACCTACATGGTGAAACCCCGTCTCTACTAAATACAAAAAATTAGCAGAGTGTGGTAGTGCATGCCTGTAATCTCAGCTACTTGGGAGGCTGAGCTAGGAGAATTACTTGACCCTGGGAGGCTGAGGTTGCAGTGAGCCAAGATTGTGCCATTGCACTCTAGCATGGGCAATAAGAGCAAAACTCCATCTCAAAAAAAAAAATGTACCTTAGGGTAATCTTTTGAGTATCTTTACCTCCATATGTACAATAAATATTATTGTGCTTTTTAATCTTTTCTGTGGAGAAAACACAGGTGTGATTTCTAGTGTAGCTGAACATCGTTTATTTGACAATATTGCACTTGCGTGTGGGTGTGTGCGTGTGTAGCTACTCTTTAATTGTGTTCTCACATAATGATTAGGTATTGACAATTCAGTAACATGTATGTTTTGCAATATTTCTCCATGTTATCATGCTTTAAATTAGTTTAATCATGCCCCTATAATGTGTACATTTTAACCTTTGACTATAGGTCTCAATCTTACTTTGGTTCCTCTATTTGAATTTATGCTAATAAAGTCCCACAGCTAAAAAAGATTATATAAACTTTTCTACATTTTTACTAGTATTCTGGTGTCATTTTAAATTATGTAATGAAATCAAATTTTAATTTGGATTATTGTTATCTGAGTTAAGGTCTAAATTTTTAATTTTCTTATAAATATTACATAATTATTTCTGAACCATATATTGACTAATCTGCCCTTTATATGATGTGCATTATAAGAGCTTGGGATTGTTTCATTTGCAAAGATGAATGCTTGAGAAGTAGATATTTAATCATAACATTTCAAAATCTACTGGATAACCTAGAATTGAAAAATAGCCTATAGGTTGAAAAACTCCTGTAGTGAAGAAAGAAAATAACTAATATGCAGTGACAATATAAATATTATAAGTATTTATTTTCTTATCGCCCTGAAATTTGATAATACAAACATGTAATATCTACATAACATCCATATATCAGGTCATAAAAAATCAATACATTCTTCAAAAATTTAGCATAACAGAAAATGCACTCTCTCTCCTTGATGGAATTAAGTTACAAATAAAAGTAAAAATAAGTAGATAAGTAGATGGAAGTAGATGTTTAAAAACAAAGAATAGTATTTGTTTTGGATAACATACAATCTCAATGGACAATTCCAATATTTCCAGAACTTTGTCTGTCAACTGATGGAGAGTTTTCCCCAGGAGACATTTGTCAATGTCTAGGGTTATTGTGGGCATGTTAAGACTGGTGGAGGTGTGAAATTTAGAGGTCAAACGAAACACCTAGCATTGCTAGGGCAGCCTCCCACAACAAAGAATCTTCTGGTCCTAAAGGTAAGTAGCACCTAGGTTGAGAAACCATAATCTAGACAGTAAACACTACGTAGCTATTCCAAGTGCTCAGGAAAACACATCAGTGCCCTCGAGGGGAAAAGAGTAAACATTTTAATTGCTGTACATGGTGACACAAATCCATGTTGTTAATGTAAGTGGAAGGGGCTGAAGCACAAAACATAATTCAAAGAGTTTACTTGAGCCACAATGAGGACAGCTGCCTGGAAGAAACAGACCCAAGTATCCTTGGATATGAACTCCCTTTGGAGCTTTGCAACAAGCAGTTTCTTAAAGGCAAAAAAGGGTCCAGAAGTGGGATGATGCAAAGAGGTGTGTCACAAATTCTCATTGGCTTATGGAAATAACATTTATTAGTGACTGGCTATACACTGTTACACTATTATGGGGTGTGGATTATAGTATCTGGTGTGGCGTTATTGGTTAATTTATAGCTACTGTGGCAACAGCAAGCAGCCTAGATGAACACACAGCTCAAAGCGGAGCAGGATAGAACTGCTGTCTCATTTGAATATCTCTCTGGGCCTGATTATTTAAAAGGACTTGCATTTCTCACATGAAAGTTATTTTCTTTTCTCAATGTCCATAAATGAGAATAAATAGACATAAAATAGATCTTTTCGAGGATGAAGTAAATGGAATGAAAAACAAAACCCAAGCTGACCAGAAATCACAGAGGGAAGAAAAGGTTATAAATATATGGATTTTTCAAAGTGATTTTAAGCTATTAGGAATCAGTTAAATGTTGGGGGATTTTGTCTGAGAATGGGCTAAAGGAGAATGTCCCTTTTGCCTTCTGAAGTTTCCCTGAAAATCACTGATAGGAGACAGATAAATAGTAGAAAAGGCATACAGGTTTCTGCAATGTGTGTACACTGGAGCCCTTAGAACGAAGACCCAGACACACGATGCATGCAGAAGCTTATCTACCACAGGAAGTTTACAGAAAGAATGGGGTCTTGGATCACAGGGAAAAAAAAAAGGTTATGTGAGAAAACGACCCTGGCTAGCAACAGTGGACTTATTATATAGGTGGAACCTCACTGGGAGCAGTCCTCAGAGAGAATAAACAGAAAATGTTTCTTTCAGACCTTTGGAGACCTCAGACTCTCAGTTAAGCTTTCCTAGATCCAGACAAGGAGGCAGACCTCAGAGAAAGCCTGGCTGCATCAAGGCAGATTCTCTACCGATGCAAATCTCCCCAAGACAGCTTTGCATCTAGGTTTGCATTTCCAGCCCTTCTCAATAGCCATTTTGAAATATATCAAGGAAATATATTTAGGGGTAAAATACATTTGTTTCCTTCATACAGCTATAAAACATACAGGAATACTCTTTGTCAATGTCTACTACAAATCCAATATAGCCGTAATTATAAAAACCACCAGATATTGAAGAAAAAATATGTAGAGTACATCAATTACAAATGTTGATACTAAAATGCCAAATAAAATAAAAATAATATCCAACAATATTTGAAAAAGTAAGAAAAGAAATTGGCAAAAAAAAAATAAAACAAATATCCACCTTGGGGATGAAAGTGTGTTTCCAAATTTGGTAATCCAATAATATTAAAAATCATATTGATTAGCCCAAATTAAAAATAAATAGGGGATTCTCAGTACATGCTAAAATATATTTGTTAAAAGGCAATATTCATGTCTTTAAAGATTTTAAATGCTATAAAGAGTCTGATATTCTATATGCAAACGTGTATGTCCATTAGAAGAAGAGAGGCCTGATTTTCATATGTTACTACGTAGAGATAGAGAAGTGGATAGATTAATTTGCATATGCATAGAGAAAGCATAAAATAGAAATTTACTATCATATTAAAGGAATTTTAATTCAACAATAAAATAATTCAAAGTTAAAATTTTAAATATTTTTAACAGGTATATTATTAATATTAGATAATATTTATAATAATTGTGAAAATATTCAATGCAAAAATAAGATACAATGTCTCAACATCAGTATTAAAACTAGTATAATTATTTGCTTGTTTATACTACGAAAATTCAAGCTCGACCTAAAATTATATAGGAAGTAAAAGAAAAATTTTAAGGGAGCTCTTTAATAACATAAACATATATATATACACACACACACATATAACATGTATATATGTTATATGGGATAGATATAGATTTAACATGTTATATCCATATTTGTATCTACAACTACAGCTGTATGTATCTACATTTCTATATATTTACTCAGTGATATAAATATAGACTGCAATAATTACAAAGACTCATATGATTCTTGGATAAAAAGGATTTAGTATCATAAAGACAAATTCTTTCCAAATTCACTTATGAATTCACAACAATATACAGTTTCATTAGTATAATTTAAAATTTTTAAATAAATTCCAAGATTCATTTAAAGGAATATACATGTACAAAAGCAGTCAAGAAAGAAGCAAGAGTGCACTAAACTAACTTGCTATTAAAATACATTTTTAAACTTAGTAACTAAAACTAAGCAGTACTGATTTGGAGTACTGGAATTTCGGTATATGGGATCTCAAAAGCGAAGAGCTCAAAGGAGACCACTGTATGCACTAGAGCTTAGGATGTGCTTTAGAAGGCATTACCAAACCACGGGCAAAGTTACTTTAGTGTCTTAGTCTTACTAGGTTTGAAAAGCCAGAGAAAAGACTCAAGATCACCATATAAGAGCAAAACAAAAGGACAGGGAGAGAGTGTGAAGATACTGAAACATTTTACATAAAGTTGTATAAAACATCCTTTAAAGAAAATATAAAGTTTAGGATATACATCAAAATCAGCAGAGCCACTAAATAAATAAAAATGCATTGTAAAATAGCAAGAGAAAATTTAAATGGATTTCTAAAAAACATTGACACCTATGATTTTTAAAATATGTTTAAGAAATCATGTATTTCACAGGGTAGCCTTTCACAACACAGATATGTTAGGACATAAAGCTCCTTCGGTTTTTTATTTACTAGTGTTTATAGGGTTACAAATATCTTCTACCCTTGTCTTTTTTCTGATGGTGCAAAAAATTTTCATAAGCATGTATTTCTGAATGCCTGATGGATTGACATATAGAATATGCTGCTAGTATTAAAATATGAGACGGAAAACGCATCCAATTTCTCACTGTTTACATAAATTCTAGGTATCTCCTATTTACCTCAAGCACGTATGGAACGAGTTGTTACCTTTTAATATTGCCATGGCATTCACATTGAACATAAGTTGAACTCTCTCATATGTTAGCTGGGTTCAGATTCCCTTGACAATTTCCAGTTCTAACCCTCACAGTTCCTCAGTGTGGCTGGTCCAGATATGGACCCTACACAGTTGCCTCCTCCTGGTGACTACCAGCTATGGAACCGTTGGATACAACCTACCTGACTCACCCCACAGAGCTCACAGTGCACATGGACAGACCCCACACGACAGAGTGACCTGCTCGGTTGCAGCGGGAGTCAAGAAATGTGCCTGCTGGCACTCAACCCACCGACTAGTGCCCCATGGAAAACTTATTTGGGTAATGTTCTGGGCCCAATAAAGGCTGGAGTCCCAAAGATCAATTTTCTCTCTCCTGCTCCCCACTCATCTTCCCCATTTTGTTCAGCCCTATGAGGTGTGCTACTCTATTAGTCCATTTTCACACCCCCGGTTAAGACATGCCCAAGACTGGGTAATTTCCAGAAGAAAAAGGTTTAATAGATGCACAGTTCCACATGGCTGGGTAGGCCTCACAATCATGGTGCAAGTTGAAAGGCACGTCTCACATGGCAGCAGACAAGACAAGAGAGCTTGTGCAGGGAAACCCCCCTTTATAAAACCATCAGATCTTCTGAGACTTATTCACTATCAGAAGAACAGCATGGGAAAGACCTGCCCCCATGATTCAATTACCTGACCTGTTCCCTCCCACAACATGTGGGAATTCAAGATGAGATTTGGCTGGGGACACAGCTAAACCCTCTTCTCAGCTACCCTCTTCTCTCTGGATCTTTGAGTAATAAACCTACTTCTGTGATTTCCCATGTTTGGTTCTGTGGCCTCCATGGGTCTGAGCTGACCTACACTGGAACCTAACTCTCCTACTGGCCAAGGTCTCTGAGAGTGGCTCTTGTCAGAAATACACAGGACACAGGTCAGGCAACAGTCACCAGGCATCTCCTAGTCTCAACAAATGTTCTGTGAGAGGGAGGCCTGGTCGTGGGATGCACACCTGGCCACTGCTGGGGTAAGGAAGTGTCCTGTGGAAGGCACATGTTAAGCATCCACAACCCCCTGACCAGAAACCCAGAAAGGCAGGGCTCCAATTGACAGTCACTCTCCAGAGACAAACCTCAAGCCCTAACTGGAGGAAAAGAAAACAATGTAAATGTTGAATTTATCTTACTATTTCAATGATCCAGTAAAGACATTCTATGCCTGTATACCACATATTTTCTTCGATTGTGGATTTATTTTAGATAGAATTTTATGTCTGGCTTTCACTTTAGCCTGGTCCCTACCTCAAGCATAAGGTAAAGATTCTCCATGTGTTGTTTTCTGGTACTACTGTCTGCCAGGGTGGGGTCATGTCCTAGACTATCTTGAGGGAACCCCCTGTTCATTATTGTCAGAGTGAGACTGTTAAGTCTTGATTTCCCTGGACAACTTCACTGCATGACTTTTAATATGATTTTTTAATATACCCTTTACTGGACAATAAATTATATAGTTATCTGAGTAAGAGATATGGTCAGGAAGAGGCATTGCCTCATTCAGCTTTTCTCTTTGGTGAACTCGCATATGTTCTCCTCACCCGCCATTCACCTCTAAACCGTATTGTTCCAAGACAACAAACAGAACTCGAGTGTGTATCTTTCACCACTGGATTTGTGTTTGCTCCGTAAAGCTTCATGCTTAATAGGGTTTCTGTTAGCATTTTCTCTATTTATTTTCCCATAAAATATCACAGGCCTTCTTCATATGGAATTATGGGTGGTTTCCTTCAATCTGCATCATATCAAGTTGAGGTTCATGTTGACCGAAAGTAAAACATACGTTGAAAATATCAGTAATGATGTTTTCCCCTCCTTTTTAGCACCTGTGCTTGTGATACAAGCACATTTTAATACAACTGTTGTCTCATGCTTTGATCATTCCTATGATGAAAATAACATTTTTAGATAAAACATCTTAGTTTTATGAGGCCTTTAGTATGTGACGTGATAGAATATCAGAAGACCATACTTTTTTCTAGTTTTCGGTGCATTTCTATCATTGTTTCATCTTTACTCCTACCAGAGTAATTTTCCAAAACAGATATCTTGTCATTCTTCCTCTTGTTATCAGTAAATAAGTGAAATGAAAAGCTAGATTATATAATTTATGTAGAACAAGAAAGTAGAATTGAATCTGTATTCATTAATGAGACTGACCAGTCAATTATCCACATAGACATTTTACATTTTGAAGATCATAAGGACCCATTGTCAGAAATATTATTACTTATGTCTATGTGGACATCACCTGTGCATATTTACATAGAAATCAATGAGAGCTGATTTTTATTTTTATTATATATATATATATATATATATATATATATATATATATATATATATTTTTTTTTTTTTTTTTTTTTTTTTTTTTTTGAGATACGGTCTTGCTTTTTTGCCCAGGCTGGAGTGCAGTGGTGCAATCACTGCTCACTGCAGCCTCAGCCTCCCAAGCTCAAGCAATCCTTCCACCTTGGCCTCCCAAATAGCTAGGACAACAGGTGCACATCACCATGCCCACTTTTTTTTTTTAACCTTTGATAGAGACTGGGTCTTGCTATGTTGCCCAGGTTACTTTTGAAATCCTGGGCTCAAGGAATCCTCTCATTTTAGCCTCTTCAACTGCTGGTATTACAAGCATGAACCACCATATGGGCTGGAAGCTGATTTTTAAAATACTGAGATCATATAGATGACAGCACCTGAAAAATAGACAACACCAAGGTTCATGTTAAAAGGTGTGAGGGTATCAATACTGTTGTGGCTATTGGGGAGGAAAACATTAGTAAAACCAGTAAGTTAAAGTTCTTCCTTTAAACTTTGGCTTTAATTTAACAAATGTTCTATGGAGTGAGAGTATGTATGTAACCATGCTATGCCCATTCACAGATGAAATAGAGGGAAGAATTTCTCAAAGACAACTGTTCTAAGACTCAAATTAAACCATACTGGGTTTGAAAAGAGAAAGTCCAAGAATTACCAAATATTTTAGATATCAGGTAAAAGAGAATGCCAGGTATGCGATGAAAATCAGCAATGGTTGTTCACACAATACATCACATCAGTATTTGAATTAGCTTTTGAATTACAAGGACAAATGGATCAAGTCTAGATTCTTTAGTAGATAAATCTTATTAGGCTGAGATGTGTTTTCCCCTGGTTTTCCACAAGGAGATTACAAATTTGCAAACCTCAGTTGCTCTCATTTTATACTCTCACAAAGCCAAAAGCTGAAGTTCATTAATCAGTGTGTCTAAGTGTTCACTGGTTATATACCATTTTGTAGTTTCAGCTATCTTTCCCACTTCCTAAATCATCACCTTCATTTGATCTTGTTTTTTTCCACTATCACTTCTTTATTGACCATATAAAGAATATAAGTAAGTTCTTATTTTGTTATTGTTCATTTTAGTCTAATTTCATCAAAATATCACAATCTTTTAATTTCATTTTAATTTCAAAGATTAAATGAATCCTACATAGAAATGAGTGTAAGATTTGCATTTGCATTATTTTGGCATCAATTTGTTATCCTCCCTCATGCACATAAGAGATCATTTCCATGTACGTGATTTCAAACATCCAAGTGCAGTATTAAAAGCAGTTGTAAATTATGGTTCTCATTTTCATGATACAATTACAATATAAACTTCCTCTTGCTGCTGTAACCAATTACCACAAACTTCATCTCTTACAATAAGGTGACCGTTAATCCTACAGTTCTGTAGTTCAGAAGCCTTAAATGAAACTCACTGGGCTAACATCAAGTTTTGGGCAGGGCTGCAGTCTTTCTGAGGGCTATGTGGCAGAATCTATTTCTTGATTTTTTTCAGCTTCCAGAGGCCACCTTTATTCCTTGGAAGATGACCTCTTTCTTATATCCTATTTTCCTTTTTTATTTTTTGGTGATGGAGTCTCCTTCTGTCACCCAGGCTGGAGTGCAGTGGCACGATCTCAGCTCACTGCAACCTCTGCCTCCCGGGTTCAAGTGATTCTTCTGCCTCAGCTTCCTGAGTATCTTGGACTACAGGCACTTGCCACCATGCCCGTTATTTTTTTGTATTTTTAGTAGGGATGGGGTTTCACCATGTTAGCCAGGATGGTCTCGATCTCCTGACCTCGTGATAAACCCACCCCAGCCTCCCAAAGTGCTGGGATTAGGCATGAGCCACCGCGCTGGGTCCTCATTCTTGTATCTTAAAAGTCAGTGATGTTGAGTAATTTCTCATGCCACCACCTCCAAGGTTGTCTTTCTTCTGCCTTCTTCTTTCACTTATAAGGAAGTTTGTCATTTCATTGATCCCACCCACTTAAGAAAACCTCTCTATCATTTTCCCGCAACCTTAATTTCACTTGAAATCTAATTTCACACTGCCGTGCAACGTATCATATTTGTATGTTAGACTCTGGGAATTAGGACATGAAAATTTTTGGGAGGCCATTCTTTTGCCTACAGCAGACATAATATGTTTACTTGTAGATTAAAGCGTTCCTCATTTTTCTGTCTCCCTCTCTTAGTTTTTTAAAAATAATATGAATTGTAGTAAAGAGAAAGAAAGAAAAGAAAACAAAGAAAGAAAAAGGAACGAAAGAAGGAAGGAAAGAAATAAAGAAAGAAGAAAGAAAAGAAGGAGGAAATGATGGAAGAAGGGAGGGAGGGAGGAAGGGAGAAAGGCAGGAAGGGAGAAAAAAGAAAGCATGAACACAAGAAAGAAAGAAGGAAAGAAGGAAAGAGAGAAAGAAAGAAAGAAAGAAAGAAAGAAAGAAAGAAAGAAAGAAAAGAAAGAAAGAAGGAAACAAAGAAAGAAAGAAAGAGAAAGAAAGAGGGAAAGAGAGAAAGAAAGAGAGAAAGAGAGAAAGAAAGAAAGAAAGGAGGAAGGGAGGAAGGAAAGGAGGAAAAGAGAATGGTAAAAGGGAGGAATGCAAAGAAACATGGAAAATAAAGAGGAGAAGGAAGGAAGGAAAAAGAGGAAAGGAAGGGAGGGAGGGAGGAAGAAAAGGAGGGTGGGAGGAAGGGAGAAAAAAGGAAAGAAAGCAAGAACGTGAGAAAGAAAGAATATGAGAAAAGACGGAGGAAAATGGAGGGAGAAAGGAAGGGAAGGAGGAGGGAAGGAAGAATAAGAGGAAGGAAAGAAAGAAGGAAAGAAGGAAGGAAGGAGAAAAACAAAGAAAAGAAAGAAAGGAAAAGAAAAAAGAAAAGAAAAGGAAGAGGAAAAGAAGAAAGGAAGGAAGAAGGTAAGGGAAGGGAAGAGAAGAGAAAGGAAGATGGAAAGAAGGAAGGAAGAACCCAAATATTAGAAATTCTGGGTTTGTTAGAGAATATGCCATACTGTTTTTTTTTTCACTTGAAAGGAAAGAGTATCTGCCATTGAAGATCGGATGTCTTGTTGGTGATATTGTTGTTCTTATCTTCCACATGATTACTGAGTTTGTGTCTAGTGTTTCCATTACTAAGACAAAAGTCTTGAAGTCTGCAAATATAATTTTGGATTTTTCTAGTTCACCTTTGATTTCTTTCCTGTTTTACGTCATGTATTTGGAGGTTCTGTTGTTAGTTGCATACCCTACTTAGTAGGATATTTACATCTTCTTGAGAATTGATTATTCTATTATCTATTATCTCTCATCTCTGATACTATTTCTTGTTCCGAACTCTGTTGTGTCTAATATCAATGTAGTCCTTCCACAGCCTTATTTTAGTATTTCCATGATATAGCTTTCTCCATATCTTGATGATAACCTATTTATATCTCTATATATTTGGAGCAAGATATAAAATTTAGACTTGATTTTTTAAAGATTTTTCAAGATGTAATTCTTATTTCTTTTTGTTCTATTTGACATTCTCTGAGTTTTCCTAGATTTGAAGTTTGATTTTCTGTCACTTCTTTTAGAATATTTTTGGCAGTTATTTTGAAAAATTTTTCTTTTGCTCCATTATTTTTCCCTCTTTTCTTTTTGGGATTTCAATCATAACTAGAGTAGGTAATTTCATCTCAGTCTTATGCAGGTACTTTTTCTCAGGGTCTCACGAATGTAGCATTCTCACACTTCTGTTCTTTTCCTGGCTGTGTTGGTGAGCTCAGTGATATTCCTCCTTCACCTTCAAGAGCAGTTTTGTTTTGTTTTTCCTGTTTTCATACTCCCAGCATCAGGAGTATTCTATGTGTGGCAGTTTTTGTTGCCTTCCCCTACATATTAAGTGGAATATCTTGGTCTATGTGGACTCTTATAACAAAATAACATAAACTGGGTGACTAAAAAACAACAGATATTTCTTTTTTCACACTTCTTGAGGCTGTAAGATCTCAGGCCAAGATGCTTACAAATTCAATGTTGATGAGACCCAATTTCATGGTTCATAGATGGTGCCTTCTTTCTATGTCCTCACATAGTGGGAGGCACACAAGAACTCTATTGAGCTTCTTTTATAAAGTCACTAATCCCATTCATAAGGGCTCGGCCCCCAAGACCTCGTCACCTCCCAAGTGTTCTGCTCTCCCTGATCTGTGTCATATACAGACTCTCTTGGATTCCTTACCAATTGCTTGAGAGATCACAGTGGGTTTGTGGGGAAAAAGTTTTCAAGATGATGGATCTTTCCCAACTTCTGCAGCTGTCAGCCATCTCCCAATCTCACCAGCCCCACTTTGTCTTTAGGAATTTATTGATTATTCCAGCTTTACTTGTCATAGTGGTGTCTATTTGCATCTGTCCTATGTAAGTGCATCTGTCCTTTTTCTCCTTGCAGGTGCAAGTACTCAGGAGTACACTGTTGTTACTAATTATTGGTTACTCAGTATTGGTTGGTACATTGTCAAAGATCAAAAAACATTTTTAAAGTTAAAAAAATTCTTGGATATTGTGTAATGAAGGGTTAATTCTGCAGACATGGCTTTCCAAAACCTTGCACATTCCAAAGGTCTTCAGAACTGGCCCTTGAGAAGCTCCTGGCAGATGATAACCTATGAGCCCTTGGTATATGCTGCCTGATGAGAGTCTTTGTATACCTGAAAAAGTAGGTCATATCAAATAGCTGATGCTAACAACGTGATTTCTTGTGAGCACCTGTTTCTGTATGCCTATGACTTTGTGTAATGCCATATTAATATGACCTCTCTTACGGCATAGGGAGGTTGGGAACTAAGTAGCTAAGTTCAGTCACAGGACGCTCAATGTATATGTGGTGGATTCCTAATAAAAACCCTGGACTCAAGACTGACTGAGCTTCCCTAGTTGGCAAGAAGTTCACACAGGTTGTCTCACACCATTGTAAAGAAAATTAGTCAGTGTGAAGTCCCCACTATGAAAGGACACCTGTAAGCTCACATCTGGTTTGTCCTGGACTCAACTTTACGTGCTTTTATGCTTCTGATTATTTTAATCTGGTTTCTTTCACTGTTAGAAACTATAACCACAGAAAAAATCAGCTTTTTTGAGTTATGTGAATCTTTAAACCAAAGGGCGAATTGGGGACCCCCAATAGAAAGTATATATGTTCTTAAAAAGAAAAAGAAAACTGGCTATAGCAGATATTGCTGATGACTTGTCTTCTATGTCCTGGACTCAATGTGTTCACCTGGAATTCACCTGTTTCCAGCTAACTTAGAGCTCCCCACATCATGCCTGTCTTTCTGATTTTTGGGCCTGCCTGCAAGCTTCTTGAGGGTAACCAGTGCTTCTCAACCACACATAGGAACAAAGAAGGAGTTAGGGGTGGGGAGTTAATGATTCTAAGGCAATCCTTAAGCAATAAGAGATGGGGATTCCAGCATCCTCATCTCTTTGTAAAGTTTTTTTGAGACAATGTCCATACCTCCATCATTACGGAGCACATAGCAGTAACTACTCATTCACACTGGCTTCGTGTTCTGTTTCATTTTCTCCACTTCTGTGCTTTCTCACTCAATTTCTGATTAAAGTATCTGACCCCAGATATTTGTTTCATAGTCTATTTTTGAGGGAATCCAGAGCCAAGATAATAACAACGGGAGCTTTGCAATGAGGGAGGGTGAGTATAATCATCAGAAGTTTACCTACCTCACTGGGAACATGAAGGCCTGGAGAGCTTGCTGTTTCAATGAGAGAAAAATGTTGAATCTCAGTTGAATACCTATATATATATAAATATGTGCAATAAGACGTGCCCTTTACTTACATCAAAGGAAATTGCTCTTTACCTCTCTTTGTTGTTGTGTTTTTATCACTATTGCCTACACAAGCAGAATATCATACCCAGTATTTAAAGCCCTCTCTGCAGGATTTTCAAGCTCATGTTTTTATCATAAGTCACTCTGCTTCCATGTGTTTTAAATCTAATCCTCATTCCTCTGCTTTTACACCAGAGAATTCATCACTGACTTATTTTCGACTGACCTGTTTATAGAGCTGTCAAGTACACAATTTCTGCTGTGACCTTTCTCTTAGAGTTCAGTCATATAGTCTCTCACTAGATATCATTTCCTCTTATCTTTCCTAATAATGAATTGTCAGTTAAAACTCAATATTTTTAAGATTGAGCTTACCGTCTGCACACACACACACACCATTATTGGTGTATTCTCATAGCCTTGAAACACTAATGTCACGTTGATGTCTGCCTTTTCTTTCTCTGCTACCTCATTCCTCATCCTTAGATTATTCTAAAAGATTCAGTTAGATCAAGTTGGCTAATTATATTTATAAGATCCTCTCTACCCTTACCAACTTTTCGTTTAACAAAATTTAAAAATTTCTGGCAGGAGACTGTGGAAATCCCCATGGATGACTGTGGTTTTATTATTTTACCTTTCAGTTTTAATAGGTTTAATATTATGTATTTTGAAGTAATGCTATTGTGTGCATACATATTTCTTATTTACATGACTTCTTGGTGTATTTTCCCCTTTGTCATTTTGAAATGTTATTCTTCATCCCCAGTGATATTTCCTGTTCTGATGTCTACTTTGCTCATCACAGTTTTAGTGGGTTTTGGTTTGTTTGTTTTTCTATTTTTTGGTTCAACTAAGTTTCTTATAAATCTGTTCGATTCCATTTGATGATTCCATTTGATTCCATTCGAGGATTCCACTTGATTCCATTCAATGATGATTCCAATCGAGTCCGTTCGATGATTCCATTCGATTCCATTCCATGATGATTCCATTGAAGCCCAGTCAATGACTGCATTAGAGTTCATTTGATGATTCCATTCGATTCCATTCGATTATGATTCCATTCAATTCCATTCAATGATGACTCTGTTTGGTTCCATTTGATCATGAATCCATTCGATTCCTTTCAGTGATGATTTCATTCAGTTACATTCGATGATGATTCCATTGGATTCCATTCGATGATTATTCCATTTGATTTCATTCGATCATTCCATTTGTGTCCATTCGATGATGATTCCATTCTATTACCTTCGATGATTCCATTCGATTCCATTCGATGGTGATTCTATTCGATTCCATTTGATGATGATTCCATTCTATTCCTTTCAGTGATGATTCCATTTGTGTCCATTTGATGTTTCCATTCGATACCAACTGATGATTATTCCATTCGAGTCCGTCAGATGATTCCATTTGATTCCATTCGATGATCATTCCATTCCGTGTCATTCGATTATTCCATTTGATTTCATTCGATAATGATTCCATTGATTTCTTTTTGATGATTCCTTTCCATTCCATTCGATGATTATTCCATTCGAGTCCATTCAATGATTCCACTCGATTCCATTCGATGATGACTCCATTCTTGTCTATTCAATGATTCAATGCAATTTCATTTTATGATGATTCATTCGATTCTATTCAATGACTCCATTCGATTCCATCTGATGATGATTCCATTCGAGTCCATTCTATGATTCCATTCAATTCTATTCGATGATTATTCCATTCTAGTCCATTAGATGATTCAATTTGATTCCATTCAATGATGATTCCATTCGAGTCCATTTGACGCTTCCATTCGAGTTCTTTTGATGATTCCATTCGAGTCCAATTTTTCATTCCATTCAATTCCCATCAATGATGATTCCGTATGATTTCATTTGATGATGATTCCATGTGATTCCATTCAATGATGATTGCATTCTAGTCCATTCAATGATTCCATTCAATTCCATTCGATGATGATTCCATTCGATTCCATTAATTGGTGATTCCATTCATTTCCATTCATTTCCATTCCATTCCAATCGACAATGATTCCACTCGATTCCATTCGATGATTCCACTCAATTAAACTTGACGATGATTCCATTCGATTCTATTCGATGATTCCATTTGATTCTATTCGGTGATGATTCCATTCAATTCCATTCATTGTTGATTGCGTTCGATTCCATTAGATGATTCCATTCGATTCCATTTGATGATGATTCCATTCGATTCCAATTGATGATTCCATTTGATTCCATTTGAGGATTTCACTCGATTCCATTCAATGATGATTCCATTCGAGTCCATTCAATGATTCCATTCGAGTCCATTTGATGATTCCGTTCAATTCCATTCCATGATGATTCCATTAGAGTCCATTCAATGATTCCATTTGATTCCATTTGATTCCATTCAATGATAATTCCATTAGAGTGCATTCGATGATTCCATTCGATTCCATTTGATGATGTTTCCATTCGATTCCATTCAATGATTCCATCTGATTCAATTCAATGATGATTCCACTCGAGTCCCTTCATTAATTCCATTCGATTCCATTCTCTGATGACTACATTCAGTTCCATTCAATGATGATTCCAACAGATTACATTCGATTTCTCCATTCGATTCCATTCCTTGCTGATTCCATTCTATTCCTTTAGATGATGACTCCATTAGATTCCATTCGTTGATGACTTCATTAGATTCCATTTGATAATGATTCCATTCGATTCTAATCAATGATGTTTCTATTTGATTCCATTCGATGATGATTCCATTCATTTCCATTGGATGATTCCATTCAATACCATTTGATGATGATTCCATTCGAGTCCATTCAATGATTCCATTGAAGCCCATTTGATGTTTCCTTTTGATTGCATTCGATGATGATTCCATTCGAGATCATTTGATGATTCCATTCAATTCCATTCGATGATGATTCCATTCAAGTCCATTCGATGATTCCGTTTGATTTCATTCGATGATGATTCCATTCAATTCTGTTCGATGATTCCATTCGATTCTGTTCGATCATTCCATTCTTTTTGATTCAATGATTATTCCATTTGAGTCTGTTCGAAGATGCAATTCGAGTCCAGGTAATGATTCCATTGGTTTCAATTCAATGATGATTACATGGGATTCCATTCAATGATTCCATTCTATTCCATTCGTTGATTATTCCATTCGATTCATGTCAATGATGATTCCATTCAATTCCATTCGTTGATGATTCCATTCGATTCCATTCGATGATGATTCCATTCGATTCCATTCGATTCCATTCGATTATGACTCCATTCGATTCCATTTGATGATGATTCCATTCGATTTTATTCGATGATTCTATTCGATTCCATTTGATGATGATTCAATTATATTCCATTCGAGGATTCCTTTCAATTCCATTCGATGATGATTCCATTTGATTCCATTTGATGCTGATTCCATTTGATTGCATTCGATGATGATTCCATTCGAGTGCATTCGAAGATTCCATTCGATTCCATTCAATCATGATTCCATTCGGGTCCATTCGAAGATTATACTCGATTCCATTTGATGATGATTCCTTTCCTATCCATTCGATGATTCCATTCCATTCTATTTGATGATGATTCTATTCGATACCATTTGATGAAGATTCCATTCAATTCAATTTGATGATGATTCAATTTGATTTCATTCAATGATTACATTTGTTTCCATTCTGAGATGATTCTATTCTATTCCATTCGATGAGGATTCTATTCGATTCCATTTGATGATGATTACATTCGTTTCCATTTGATAATGATTCCATTCGTGTCCATTCGAGGCTTCCATTTGATTCCATTTGACGATGATTCCATTCGAGTCAGTTAGATCATTCTATTCGATTTCATTCAATGATGATTCCATTCAAATCCACTTGATGATTCCATTCCATTCCATTCGATGATGATTCCATTTGAGTCCATTTGACGATTCCATTCGATTCCATTCTATGATGATTCCATTCCAGTTCATTCGATAATTCAATGCGATTTCATTCGAAGACGATTACTTTCGATTCTATTCGATGATTCCATTCGATTCCATTTGATGATGATTCCATTCGAGTCCATTCGATAATTCCATTGAATTCTATTCAATGATGATTCCATTTGATTCCATTCAATGATTCCATTCAATTCCATTCAATGAATATTCCATTCGTGTCCATTCGATGTTTCCGTTTGATTTCATTCCATGATGATTCCATTTGAGTCAATTCGATGATTCCATTCGAATCCATTTGATGATTGTTTTCAATTATATTCGTTGATGATTGCATTCAAGTCCATTCGATGATTCCATTCAGTTCCATTCGATGAGGATTCCATTCGGGTAGATTAGGTGATTCCATTCGATTCCATTCGATGATGATTCCATTCGAGTCCATTCGATGATTCCATTCAATTCCATTCGATGATGATTCCATTGGGGTCCATTAGATGATTCCATTCGATTCCATTCGATGATGATTCCATTCGAGTTCATTCGATGATTCCATTCAATTCCATTCTCCAATGATTCCATTCTATTCCATTCAATGATGATTCCACTCGATTCCATACAATGGTGATTCCATTTGTTTCCACTCTATGATTCCATTCTATTCCATTCCATGATGAATCCATTCGGGTACAAAAGATGATTCCATTCAATGATGATTCTATTCCTGTTCATTAGATGATTCCTTTCAATTCCATTCGATGATGATTACATGCTATTCAATTCTCTGATGATTCCATTCCGATCCATTTGATAATTCCATTGGATTCCATTCGATGACGATTCGTTTCTATTCCATTCAATGATGATTCCATTCGTGTCCATTAGGTGATTCCATTACATTCCATTCGTTGATGATTCCATTTTTATTCCATTTGATGATGATTCCATTCGTGTAAATTAGTTGATTCCATTCTATTCTATTCGATGATGATTCCATTCTTGTAAATTAGTTGATTCCATTCTATTCCATTCGATGATGATTTCATTTAGGTCCATTCAATGATTCCATTCTACTCCATTCAATGTTGGTTCCATTCAAGTCCATTTGATGTTTCTATTCGAGTCCATTCAATGATTGCTTTCAATTCCATTCGCTAATGATTCCATTTGATTCCATTCAATGTTGATTCCATTCGATTTCATTCACTGATCCTATTCGATTCCACTTGATGATGATTCCGTTCGATTCAATTGGATGATTCCATTTAATTACATTTGATGATGATTCCATTCAATTCCATTCGATGATTCCATTTGATTCTATTCAATGATGATTCCATTCGAGTCCATTCAATGATTCCTTCTGATTCTATTCAATGATGTTTCCACTTGAGTCCATTGAGTCAATGGTGTTTAAATTAGATTCCATTTGATGATTCCATTTGATTCCATTCAATGATGATTGCATTCGATTCCATTCGATGATTCCATTTGATTCCATTCAAAGATGATTCCATTCGATTCAATTCGATAATTCCATTTGATTTCATCCTATGATTCCTATGGATTCCATTTGATGATGATTCCATTCAAGTCCATTCAATGACGCCATTCAATTCCATTTGATGATGATTCCATTCGAGTGCATTCGATGATTCCAATCGATTCCATTCAAAGATGATTCCATTCAAGTCCATCCAAGGACTCTTTTCAATTCCATTCTATAATGATTCCATTTGAGTCCATTTGATGTTTCGATTCGAGTCCTTTCAGTGATTCCATTTGATTCCATTCGATGATGATTCGGTTTGAGTCCATTCGATGCTTCCCTTTTCATCCATTTTATGATTCCATTCGAGTCCAACTGATGATTCCATTCAATTCCATTCTATGATGATTCCGCATGATTCCATTCGATGATGATTCCATGTGATTCCATTCGATGATGATTCCTTATGATTCCATTCGATTATGATTCATTACGAGTTCATTCGACGATTCCACATGATTCCATTCGATGATGATTCCATTCGAATACATTCAATGATGAGATTCCTTTCCATTCAATGATGATTCCATTCAAATTCGTTCAGTGATTCCATTCGATTCCATTCAATGATAATTCCATTCGAGTCCATTCGATGATTCCATTCTATTCCATTTGATGATGATTCCATTCGTGTCTATTCAATGATTGTATTCGAGTCCATTCCATGATTCCATTCGATTCCATTCGATGATGATTGCATTTGAGTCCATTCAATGATTCCATTCGATTCCATTCGAGAATGACTGCATTCGGTACCATTCGATGATTCCATTCGATTCCATTTGATGATTCCATTTGATTCCATGCGATGATGATTCCATTTGATTCCATTCCATGATGCCGTTAGATTGCATTTGATGATGATTCCATTCAAGGCCATTGGATGATTCCATTCGATTACATTCGATGAAGATTCCATTCGAGTCGATTAAATGATTCCATTCGATTCCATTATTTGATAATTCCATTTGATTCCATTCGATGATTCTATTCGATTCCATTCAATGATGATTCCATTTGATTTCATTCTATGATTACATTCGATTTCTTTTGATGATGATTCCATGCGTGTCCATTCGATGATTCCATAAGATTCCATTTGATGAAGATTCCATTAGATTTCATTCGATGATTCCATTGGATTCCATTCATTGATGATTCCATTTGATTCCATTCAATGATAATTCCATTCGATTCCCTTCATTGATGATTCCATTGGATTACATTCGATGATGATTTAATTCGACTCCATTTGATGATGATTCCATTTGATTTCATTCGATGATTCCATTCGATTCCATTCGATGATGATTCCATCTGGTTTAATTTGATGATTCCATTCAATTCCTTTCAGTGATGATCCCATTCAATTCCATTTGAGTATGATTTCATTTGATTCCATTGCATGATGATTCCATTCGAGTCCATTCGATGATTCCAATCGAGTCCATTCGATGATACCATTCGAGTCCATTTGATGATTCCATTGGACTCCATTTTATGATTATTCCATTCAATGTTTCCATTCAATTCTATTCAATGATGATTCCATTCAATTTCGTTCAATGCTGATTCCTTTCAATTCCATTTGATGATTCCATTTGATTCCACTTGAAGATTCCATTCGAATACAATCGACGATGATTGCATTCGATTCCATTTGGTGATTCAATTCTATTCTATTCTACGATGATTCCATTTGATTCCATTCGATGATGACTGCATTCAATTCCATTCGAAGATTCCATCTGATTCCATTTCATGATGATTCTGATCGATTCCATTCAATGATTCCATTCGATTCCATTCGATGATTCCATTTGATTCCATTCAATAATGATTCCATTCGAGTCCATTCGATGATTCCATTCAAGCCCATTCGATAACTCCATTTGAGTCCAATGGATGATTCAATTCGAGTCCATTCGATCATTCCCTTTAAGTCCATTTGATGATGATTCCATTTGTGTCCATTCGATGATTCCATTTGAATCCATTCGATGATTCCTTTCGATTCCATTAGATAATGATTCCTTTCAAGACCATTCGATGATACCATTCAATTAATTTGATGATGATTCCAATTCAATTCCATTCGATGATTCCATCAGATTCCATTTGAGGATGATTCCATTCGGTTCCGTTCGATGACGATTCCATGCGATTCCACTTGATGATGACTCTTTTCGTTTCCATTCGTTGATGATTCCATTCGGTTCCATTCGATGATGATTCCTTTGGATTCCATTTGATGATGATTCCATTCGACTCCATTTGGTGTTGATCCTTTTCGATTCCATTCGATGATGATTCAATTTGATTCCATTTGATGATGATTCCATTCAAATCCGATCAATGATTTCATTCGATTCCGTTTGATGATGATTCCGTTCGATTCGATTCGATGATTCCATTCAATTCCTTTCGATGATTATTCCATTCAAGACCATTCGGTGATTTATTTTGATGCCAATTGAAGATTATTCCACCTGATTCCATTCAATGATACCATTCATTGATGATTCCATTCGAGTGCATTCGATGATACTATTCAATTCCATTCAATGATGATTCCATTCGATTCCATTCGATGATTTCATTCAATTCCATTCTATGATGATTCCATTCAAGTGTATTTGATGATTTCATTGGACTCCATTTGGTGATGATTCCATTCAATGATTCCATTCAATTCTATTCGATGATGATTCCATTCGGGTCCAATTGATGATTCCATTTGATTGCTTTCGATGATGATTCCATTCGATTCCATTCAATGTTGATACCATTCGGGTCCATTGGATGATTCCATTGTATTGCATTCGATGGTGATTCCATTCAAGTACATTCAATGATTCCATTCAAGTCCATTGGATGATTTCTTTTGATTCCATTCGATGATGATTCCATTCGAGTACATTCAATGATTCCATTCAAGACCATTGGATGATTCCTTTCAATTCCACTCGATAATAATTCCATTCTAGTCCATTCGATGATTTCTTCTGATTCCATTCGATGATGATTCCATCGAGTCCATTCGATTGTTCCATTTGATTCCAGTTGATGTTGTCTGCATTCGGTTCCATTCTATGATGATTCCTATGGACTCCATTCCATGACTCCATTGGATACCATTCATTGATGATTCCAATTGATTCCATTTGATGATGATTCTATTTGATTCCATTCGATGATTCCATTTGACTCCGTTCAATGACGATTCCAATCGAGTCTATTCGATGATTCCATTAGATTCCATTCAATGATGTTTCCATTCGAGTCCATTCGATATTTCCTTTCGATTCCAGCTGACGTTGATTCCATTTGAGTCCATTCGATGATTCCATTCGTGTGTGTTCCATGATTTCATATGATTCCATTCGATGATGATGCCATTCGAGTACATTTGATGATTCCATTCAAGTCCATTATATGATTCCATTCGACTCCATTCGATGATGATTCCATTCGAGTCCTTTCAATGATGATTCCATTCGATTCCATTCAATGAGTATGTTGTATTCCATTCTTTGTTTTATTCGATTATTTTTGATGAAGATTCCATTCAATTTATTCGATGATCCCATTCGAATCTATTCAATGATGATTCCATTTGCTTCCATTTGATGAAAATTCCATTCGATTCCATTCGATGATGATTCCATTCTATTCTATTCGATGCCGATTCTATTCAATTCCTTTCGATGATGATTCCATTTGATTCCATTTGATGATTCCATTCGATTCCATTCGATAATGATTCCATTTCAGACCTTTCGATGATTCCATTCAATTCCATTCAATGATGATTCCATTCGAGTCCATTCAATAATTCCATTCAAGTCCATTCTATGATTCCATCTGTTTCCATTCGATGATGATTCCATTCGAGCCCATTCGATGATTCCATTTGATTCCATTCCATGATGATTCCATTGAAGCACAGTCGATGATTGCATTCGTGTCCATTTGATGATTCCATTCGATTCCATTTGATTACAATTCCATTCAATTCCATTCGATGATGACTCTGTTCGGTTCCATTTGATGATGAATGCATTCGATTCCTTTAAGTGATGATTCCATTCAATTACATTTGATGATGATTCCATTCAATTACATTCGATGATGATTCCATTCGAGCCCATTCGATGATTCCATTTGATTCCATTCCATGATGATTCCATTGAAGCACAGTCGATGATTGCATTCGTGTCCATTTGATGATTCCATTCGATTCCATTTGATTACAATTCCATTCAATTCCATTCGATGATGACTCTGTTCGGTTCCATTTGATGATGAATGCATTCGATTCCTTTAAGTGATGATTCCATTTAATTACATTTGATGATGATTCCATTCAATTACATTCGATGATGATTCCATTCGATTCCATACAATGACGATTCTATTCGATTTGATTTCATGATGATTCCATTCAATTCCATTCGTTGATGATTCCATTTTGTCCATTCAATGTTTCCATTCGATTCGATTTGATGATTATTCCATTCACGTCCGTTAGATGATTCCATTCTATTCCATTCGAAGATGATTCCATTTTGTGCCATTCAATTATTCCATTTAATTTCATTCGATGATGATTCTATTGATTTCATTTGATGATTCCTTTCCATTCCATTTGATGATTATTCCATAGAAGTCTATTCGATGATTCCATTCAATTCCATTTGATGACAACTCTATTCGTGTCCATTCCATGATTTTATGCAATTTCATTTGATGATTATTATATTCGATTCTATTCAATGATTCCATTCTATTCCATTTGGTGATGATTCCATTCGAGTCCATTCAATGATTCCATTCGAGTACTTTTGATTATTCCTTTCGATTCCATTTGATGATGATTCCATTAGAGTCGATTCGATGATACCATTCGATTCCATTCAATGGCGATTCCATTCATATCCATTTGATAATTCCATTTGATTCCATTCGATGATGATTCCTTTCGAGTCCATTCAGTGATTCCATTCAAGTCCATTCGATGATTCCTTTTGATTCCATTTGATGATGATTCCAATCGAGACCATTCTATGATTCCATTTGATTTAATTTGATGATGATTCAATTCGATTCTGTTCGATGATTCCATTCTATTCCATTCAATGATGATTCCATTTGGGTCAATTCGATGATTCCATTTGACTCCATGTAATGATTCCATTGGGTTCAATTCGATGATGATTACATTGGATTCCATTCAATGATTCCATTCGATTCCATTCGGTGATTATTCCATCTGATTCCTGTCAATGATGATTCCATTTGATTCCATTCTTTGATGATTCCATTTGATTCCATTCGATGCTGATTCGATTTGATTCCATTCGATGATGATTCCATTCGATTCCATTCGATGATGATTCCATTCGATTTCATTTGATGATTCTATTCGATTCCATTCGATGTTGACTCAATTCTATTCCATTCGCGATTCCATTCAATTCCATCCGATGATAATTCCAATCGATTCCATTCGATGATGATTCCCTTCGATTGCATTCGATGATTTTTCCATTCGAGTGCATTCGAAGACAACATTCGGTTCCATTCAATCATAATTCCATTCGAGTCCATTCGAAGATTAGGTTTGATTCCATTCGATGATGATTACGTTCAAGTCCATTCGATGATTCCATTCCATTCCATTTGATGATGATTCTTTTTGATTCCATTTGATGATGATTCCATTTGATTCCATTCAATGATCATTCCATTTGATTTCATTTGAAGATTCCGTTTGTTTCCATTCTGAGATTATTCTATTCTATTGCATTCGATGATTCCATTCAATTCCATTTGATGAGGATTCTATACGATTCCATTTGATGATGACTCCATTCGATTCCATTCCATAATGATTCAATTCGTGTCTATTCGATGTTTCTTTTCGATTTCATTCAACAATGATTGCATTCCAGTCCGTTAGATCATTCTATTTGATTCCATTTGATGATGATTCCATTCGATGATTCCTTTCTATTTCATTCGATGATGATTACATTCGAATCCATTTGATTATTCCATTCCATTCAATGATGATTACATTCGAGTCCATTCAATGATTCTATTCAATTCCATTCAACGATGATTCCATTCGAGTCCATTCGATAATTCAATGCGATTTCATTCGATGACGATTACATTCGATTCTATTCGATGATTCCATTCGATTCCATCTGATGATGACTCCATTCGAGTCCATTCGATGATTCCATTCAATTCTATTCGAAGATGATTCCATTGGATTCCATTCCATGATTCCATTCTATTCCATTTGACGACCATTCCTTTCGAGTCCATTCAATGATTCCATGTGATTTCATTCGATGATGATTCCATTTGATTCCATTCGATGTTTCCATTCGACTACATTTGATGATTGTTTCAATTATATTCGATGATGATTCCATTCTAGTCCATTCGTGGTTTCCATTTGATTCCATTCAATGATGATTCCATTCGGTTCCATTAGATGATTCCATTCGATTCCATTTGATGATGATTCTATTCGAGTCCATTCGATGATCCCATTTGATTCCATTTCATGATGATTCCATTCGGGTACAATAGATGATTACATTCGATGATGTTTCTATTGCAGTCCATTAGATGATTCCATTCAATTCCAATCGATGATGATTCCATTCTATTCAATTCTATGGTGATTCCATTCAGATCCATTTGATGATTCCTTTGGATACCATTCGATGATGATTCTATTCTATTCCATTCAATGATGATTCCATTCGTGTCCGATAGATGATTCCATTTGATTCCATTCAATGATTATTCCATTCTATTCCATTCGATGATGATTCCATTTGATAACATTCTATGATTCCATTTGATTCCATTCGATGTTGATTCCATTCGATTCCATTTGATGGTTCTAATCGATTCCATTCGATGATGATTCCATTCGATCCCATTCGTTGATGATTCCATTTGATAACATTCTATGATTCCATTCGATTCCATTTGATGATGTTTCCATTCAATTCCATTTGATGATTCCATTTGATTACATTTCATGATGATTCCATTTGATTCCATGCGATGATTCCATTCGATTCCATTCGATGATGATTCCATTCCAGTCCATTCTATGACTCCTTCTGGTTTTATTCAATTATGATTCCATTCGAGTCCATTCAATGGTGATTCCATTCGATTCCATTTGATGATTCTATTCGATTCCATTCAATGATGATTGCATTCGATTCCATTCGATGATTCCATTCCATTCCATTCAAAGATGATTCCATTCGATTCCATCCGATAATTCCATTCCATTTCATTCGATGATTCCAGTGGATTCCATTTGATGATGATTCCATTCGAGTCCATTCAATGATTCCATTCAATTCCATTCGATGATGATTCCATTTGAGTGCATTCGATGATTCCAATCGATTCCATTCGATGATGATTCCCTTTGAGCCCATCCGAAGAATCTATTAGATTCCATTCTATAGTGATTCCGTTCGAGTCCATTTTATCATCTGATTCCATTCCTTTTGATGATTCCATTTGATTCCATTCGATGATGATTCCTTTCGATTCCCTTCATTGATGATTACATTAGATTACATTTGATGATGTTTCCATTTGACTCCCTTCGATGATGATTCCATTCGATTTCATTCGATGGTTCCATTTGATTCCATTCGATGATGATTCAATTCGATTCCTTTCGAAGATTCCATTCAATGATGATTCCATTCGATGATTCCATTCGATTCCATTTGATGATGAGCCATTCGATTCAATTCCATGATGATTCCATTTGATTCAATTCGATGATGTTTCCATTCTATTCCATTCGTTGATGATTCCTTTTGATTCCATTAGACGATGATTCCATTCGACTCCATTTGATGATGATTCCATTTGAGTCCGTTTGATGATGATTCCATTCGATTTTATTAGATGCTTCTATTTGATTCCATTCCATGATGATTCCATCTCATTCCCTTCAATGATTCCATTTGATTCCATTCAGTGATGATTCCATTCTATTCCATCTGATGATGATTTCATTTGATTCCATTCGATGATTATTCCATTTGAGTCCATTCGATGATTCTATTTGATTCTGCTCAATGGTGATTCTATTTGAGTCCATTCGATGATTCCATTCAAGTCCATTCGATGATGATTTCATTCGAGGCCATTCGATGAATACATTCGAGTCCACTTGATGATTTCATTCGATTCCACTCGATAATGATTGCTTTCAAGTCCATTCAATGATTCCATTCGAATCCATTCGATAATTACATTCGATTCCATTTAATGATGATTAAATTTGAGGCCATTCGAAGTTTCCATTCGAGTCCATTCAGTGATTCCCTGTGATTACAATCGATGAGGACTCCATTCGAGTCCATTCGATGATTCCATTAGGTTCCATTCGATGATGATTCCATTAGAGTTCATTCAAAGTTTCCTTTTGAATCTGTTCGATGATTCCATTTGATTCCACTTGATGATGATTCTTTTCGAGTCCATTCAATGATTCCTTTTGAGTGCCTTCAATGATTCCATTCAATTCCGTTCGATGATGATTCCATTTGAATCCATTCAGTGATTCCATTCTGTTGCATTTGATGATTCCATTCGGTTTCATTCGATGATATTTTCATTCGATTCCATTCGAAGATTCCATTTGATGATGATTCCATTCGATTCCATTCGATGATTCCATTTGATTCCATTTGATCATGAGCCATTTGATTCAATTCCATGATGATTCCATTTGATTCAATTCGATGATGTTTCCATGCAATTCCATTCGATGATGATTCCTTTTGATTCCATTAGACGATGATTCCATTTGACTCCATTTGATGATGAATCCATATGAGTCCGTTCGATGATGATTCCATTCGATTTCATTCGATGCTTCTATTTGATTGCATTCAATGATGATTCCATCGCATTCCCTTCAGTGATTCCATTTGACTCCATTCAGTGATGATTCCATTCTATTCCATCTGATGATGATTTCATTTGATTCCATTTGATGATGATTCCATTCGAGTCCATTTGATGATTCTATTCGATTCCACTCTATGATGATTCTATTTGAGTCCATTCGATGATTCCATTCGAGTCCATTCAATTATTCCTTTCAATTCCATTTGATGATGATTCCATTCGATTCTATTCAATGATTCCATTCCATTCCATTCGATGATGATTCCATTCGAGTTCATGTGATGATTCCATTCGATTCTGTTCGATGATGATTTCATTCGAGGCCATTCGATGATTGCATTCAAGTCCATTCGATGTTTTCATTCGATTCCACTTGATGATGATTGCTTTCGAGTCCATTCGATGATTCTATTCAAGTCCATTCAATAATTCCATTTGATTCCATTTAATGGTGATTCAATTTGAGGCCATTTGACGTTTCCATTCGAGTCCATTCAGTGATTCCCTGTGATTACAATCGATGAGGGCTCCATTCGAGTCCATTCGATGATTCCATTAGGTTCCATTTGATAATGATTCCATTCGAGTCCATTCAAAGATTCCTTTCGAGTCCGTTCGATGATTCCATTCAATTCCACTTGAAGATGATTCCTTTCGAGTCCATTCGATGATTCCTTTCGAGTGCCTTCAATGATTCCATTCAATTCCATTCGATGACGATTCCATTCGAATCCACTCAATGAGTCCATTGTGTTGCATTCGATGATTCCATTTGGTTTCATTCGATGATGATTCCATTCGAGTCCATTTGATGATTCCATTCGATTCCATTCGAGGGTGATTCCATTCGAGTCCATTCGATGATTCCATTCGATTCCATTCCATGGTGATTCCATTAGATTCAATTCGATGATGATTCCATTCTATTCCTTTCAATGAAGATTCCATTCGTGTCCATTCAATGATTCCTTTTGATTCCATTCGATGGTGATTCCATTCGATTCCATTCGATGATGATTCCATTCGTGTCCATTCGATGATTCCATTCAAGTACATTTGATGATTCCACTGGATTCCATTCGATGATTATTCCTTTGGAGTCCATTCGGTGATTCCTTTAGATTTAACTTGCAGATGATTCCTTTCAATTCCATTCCATGATACCATTTGATTCAATTCGTTGGTGATTCCTTTTGATTCCATTTGATGATTCCATTCCATTCCATTTGATGATGATTCCATTCGATTTCTTTTGATGATTCTGTATGATTCAATTCGACGATGTTTCCATTCGTGTCCATTTGATGATTCCATTCTTTTCCATTCAATGATGATTCTATTCGAGTATATTCGATGATTCCATTCGAATCCACTCAATGATGATTCCATTCGAGTCCATTCGATGATTCCATTTGATCCCATTCATTGACGATTCCATTCGATTCCATTATATGATTCCATTGGATTGCATTCGATGATTCCATTCGAGTACATTCAATGATTCCACTCGATTCCCTTTGATGATTATTCCATTAGAGTCCATTTGGTGATTCCTGTGGATTCCACACAAAGATGACTCCATTCGATTCCATTTGATGATACCATTCGATTCCATTCGTTGATGATTCCATTAGAGTGCATTCAATGATACCATTAGATTCCATTCGATGATGATTCCATTCGATTCCATTCAGTGATTCCATTTGATTCCACTCAATGATGATTTCATTCGAGTCAATTCGATGATTCCACTGGCCTCCATTTGATGATGATTCCATTCAATGTTTCCATTCGATTCTATTCGATAATGATTCCATTCGATTCCATTTGATGATGATTCCATTGGATTTCATTCGATGATTCCATTTGAATCCATTCAATGATTCCATTCGATTGTATTCAATGATGATTCCATTCAATTCCATTCGAAGATGACTGCATTCGATTCCATTCAATGATTCAATTTGATTCCATGCGATGATGATTGCGATCAATTCCGTTTGATGATTCCATTCGATTCCATTCTATAATGATTCCTTTCGAGTCCATTCGATGTTTCCATTCGAGCCCATTCAATAATTCCACTTGAGTCCAATTGAAGATTCCATTCGTTTCCATTAAATGATTCCTTTAGAGTCCATTCAATCATTCCGTTAGAGTCTGTTTGACGATGATTCCATTCGAGTCCATTCGATCATTCCATTTGAGTCCGTTCGATAATTCCATTAGAATCCATTCGATTATTGCTTTCAATTCCATTCCACGATGATTCCATTTGAGTGAATTCGATGATTCCATTTGATTCCATTTGATGATGATTCCATTCGTGTCCATTCGGTGATTCCACTTAATTTCATTTGATGATGATTCCATTCGACTCCATTCAGTGATTCCATTTGATTCCATTTGATGATGATTCCATTCGAGTCCATTCTACGATTACATTCGATTCCATTCGATGATGATTCTACTAGAGTCCATTTGAAGATTCCATTCAAGTCCCTTCATTGATTCCATCCAATTACATTTGATGATGATTCCATTCGAGTAGATTCGTTGATTCCATTCGATTCCATTTGATGATTCCACTGGAATCCATTCAATTATTCCATTCGAGTCCATTCGATGATTCCATTCGATTACATTCAATGATAGTTCAATTTGAGTCCATTCGATGATGATTTCATTGGATTCCATTTGATGATTCCACTTGATTCCATTCGATGATTCCCTTCGATTGCTTTCGTTGATGATTCCATTCCATTGCATTCAATGATTCCATTCGATTCTATTCCACTATGATTCCTTTTGATTCCATTCTATGATGATTCCATTCGATTCCATTTGATGATGATTCCATTGGATTCCTTTCACAGCTTTCACAGCAAGATGTTTCCAATATTTAGAAATGGGCCTTGTGCATTATATACTTCATAAGAGCTTGGAAAACTCTCACCCAGGTATTACCAAATGCCAAACATCTCTGCATGCTTGCCATGTTCTCCCCACAGCCAAAATCCATTCTAGGTAAAATGCTGGCCTTGGCTGCTAAGGAAGTAATCTGGGGTTGTCAAGTGTTTCTCGCTCTCTCTGGGTCTATGGCAAAAAGGAGACACTGAAAGGCATTAAGTTTACTGCCACCTTTAGAGGAACTTGTCAAAGAAACACTCTTTGACTTTCCCCACCGGACTGTTATAGTCATATGTGGCCAACACCAACCTGAGTTTTTATAGCAAGTATTACATTATGATCACAATCACCTTCAAGTCCACATTCTAAGTCTTAGCCAGGTTTTGCAGAAACTCTGATGGTGTCCCACAGACCTTTAAGTGGATACAATCAATGAATTTGGAAAATAACTTGAATTTGGCTTGCTCACTGTTTCAACAGAATGCACTGGTGAATCTTGCTCTGTCATTGTATCTCACATGTGTGGCTATCCGACTTGCTGTGTTAGAAGTCAATGTTCCAGAATGTCGACTTCTACAAATACCCTTGTATAGAGCAAAGGGGAAACTCTTCAAGGCAAATGGAGTGTATGTTGTATCAGCGGGGGCTCTCTAGTCTTGGATTTCAAACTGTGATGTTTATTGTGCAGAAAGGAGATGGTTCTTTTCTCTATTTTATTTTTAATTTTTGTGATACATAGTATTGGTGGGGTACATGACAGGTTTTGATACAGGCATGCAATGTGAAATAAGCACATAATGGAGAATGGGATATCCATACCCCCAATCATTTATTCTTTGAGTTACAAACAATCCACTTACACTCTTTATGTTATTTTCAAATATATGATTAAGTTATTATTGACACTACTCACCCAGTTGTGCTATCAAATAGTAAGTTTTATTCATTCTATTTTTTGGTAGCCATGAACCATTCCTACCTCCCCCCACCCTCTCACTACCCTTCCCAACTCTGGTAAACACTCTTCTACTCTCTATGTCCATGAGTTCAATTATTTTGATTTTTAGATTCCAGAAATAAGTGAGAATGTGTGATGTTGGTCTTTTCTGTGCCTGGTTTATTTCACTTAACATAATGATGTTCAGTTCCATTCATGTTGTTGCAAATGACTGGCTTTCATTTTTTATGGCTAAATAGTACTCCATTGTGTATCTGTACCACATTTTCTTTATCCATTCATCTGCTGATGGACACTTAGGTTGCTTCCAAATCTTAGTTATCATAAACAGTGCTGCAGCAAACATAAACGTGCAGATATCTCTTTGATAAAGTGATTTCCTTTCTTTTGGGTATACACCAAAAATGAGATTGTTCAATGATATGGTTGATATGGCAGATCAATGTTTAGTTTTTTGAGCAACCTTCAAACTGTTCAAGGAGATGGGCCTGTTGTGATTATTTCATTGAGATATCCAACTTATGAGCATTTGAAAAGAATGCAAATTGCTGGAAAATCAGAGTGAAGAATGCAAAGTGATCAGGCTACAGTGTCATATCATTTTTCATTCTGAGGTGAAAAAGGCAGAGCATTTAATAGTAAATACCTTTCCAGAGTAAAATCTTAGGTGTATTGTTTTAGTGCCACAGTCTTGAACGATGGGCCCCTGGAAGCTCTCGACATCTCTTCTTGAGTGGAGAAAGTGTTAATCCCCAAAGTAAATGGAGTAGTACATTTTCACCTTTTGACAAGAGGGCAGAAACTTGATAATTCTGAGTGCTATTTAATAGTCTCTGCTTTAATTGAAAATGCAATACAAGCCAACTATGCTGCTGCTAACTCCTTGCTGGACATGTTCTGCTACTATCACAGGAACTGTGGTCTCACTGGACAATCAATTAACTGGAGAGCCTTGAGTCTTGAATGACTGCTGAAAAAACATTATCTTCAAAGCATTTTAGCCACCAAAGGAATACTAACTTTTCAAATACCGCACATCCATCAGTATCTTGAATCATGCTTGATTCTGAATAATTCTCAACAAGCCATGTCAAGGGGGCTGTCTGGCTTTGGATTTGAAATGGTGATGTTTATTATAAAGAAAGGAGATTATTTTGTTGTGATTATTTTATTGAGAAATCAAACATCTAAGCAGTTTACTAAAAGCAAGTTGCTGGAAAATCAGAATGAAGAATGCAGAATGATCAGACTACAATATACTGTCAAATTTTATTTCAAGAAATTACAGGAAAACTTTCCTAAGTTCCATCTAACAGAATTTATTTCTGCAAAGAATTCTAAGATAAATTCAATTTTCTGGTAGAGTTTGACTTGGTTTTTACTCATTATTCATCTTAAGTATCAACAGATGAGCTACAGAATTCATGAATACAAAACTCAAGACATTCCAGTATCCACATTGCTTACATAATTAGGCATAGACTCAATGTTAGCTATGACAATTGAAAATAAGCTCTTCTGTGATTTAACGGTTCATATTCCTCCAACCCAACTGCTTGATCCAGATGCAGCTCTGCAGATCTTAAAATTGTTTCTGGAAGAAAAATCAACTAAGACTTAAGAGAAGAAAAGAGTGGCCATAATCCACCTGAAATTAAAAAAAAGACCCCAGCTATGCAGCATGCCAAATCAGAATGAAAACAGAGGTACAAGATTATAAACAGAATGCATCAAACTTAAGTTTACCTAAAGTTTATTTTTGTCAGGCAACCTTGATCAATATTAAATTGACATTCTAACTAACAAGTCTTTATATGTGTCAGTGAATTTATATATGTTAGTAAACATTCCCTATATTAATTAATTTTATTATCCAAGGCTAAATCTAAAATGTTTAAGTAAAATTAAAAATAAGTCTTCATTGATCAAAAAATAAAGTTTGTTAAATTTAGTACTTTCCCAATGAAATTGGTCATTGTTGGTGTTTTTGTTTGGGGCACCTGCAAAACTCCACTGAAAATAAATTAGTGGAAATTATTCCTAAAAACCAAAAACTGAAGAATTTTGTCAATTGGTTTCACAAAGAAAAAAAGGAAATTTGCTTAATTAGCAGAGTGTATCATCTTTATTATTTTTGTTGTTCTTGGATCAGTGTTCTGAGAGAGATATGATGGCAGTAATTACATAATTAAATATGTAGATTTTTAATTTTTATTATTTATTTATTTATTTGTCTCTCACCCAGACTGAAGTGCAGTGGCATGATATTGGCTCACTGCAACCTCTGCCTCCTGGGTTCAAGCGATTCTCCTGCCTCAGCCTCCTGAGTAGCTGGGATTACAGGCACGTGCCACCACACCAGCCTAATTTTTGTATTTTTAGTAGAGAAGAAGTTTCACCATGTTGGCCAAGCTGCTCTCAAACTCCTGACCTCAAGTGATCCTCTTGCCTTGGCCTCCCAGATTATTTTACCTGGCTGATAAAATAATCTGTACAACAAATCTCCATGACATAAGTTTACCTATATAACAAGGTAATAGGAACCTGCACATATACCCCTGACTTAAAAGTTAAAAAAAAAAAACTATTTTGGGCAAAGAAAAAGGAGCACAATTGCTGAATTGTATGCTAAGGGCATGTTTAGTTTTGTAAGGAACTGGCCATATTATTGCCATTTTTAAAAAAGATAGTCCATGGGACCATGTTTGCATAATGAAGCATTGATTTCATGAAGAAATAATAACGGCACAAAGAAAGATGTGGGCCAGGCGCAGTGGCTCACACCTGTAATCCCAGCACTTTGGGAGGTTGAGGTGGGTGGATCACCTGAGGTCAGGAGTTCAAGACCAGCCTGACCAACATGGTGAAAACCCGTCTTTACTAAAAATACAAAAATTAGCCAGGCATGGTGGCGGATGCCTGTAATCCCAGCTACTTGTGAGGCTGAGGCAGGAGAATCTTTTGAACCTGGGAGGTAGAGGTTGCAGGGAGCCAAGATCATGCCACTGCACTCCAGCTTGGGTGACAGATTGAGACTTTGCCTCAAAAAACAAACAAACAAACAACAACAACAAACAAAAAAACAAAAGAAAAATGTAATTTCATTATAACATTACCTTACAAATGAGACTGGATGTCTTCTCATTCTCTTATCTATGGTGTATCCTTTTACTGACATGATGAAATAAAGAAGGCTAGAAAGTTACAGACCTGTGCATATTATCTTTAGAGATGGTAGAAAGATGAGGCTGTTCTTGCCTCATGGGATCTAATTTTTGTATGAATTATTGGGCAAGATACCAGGTAAAAGCCACATGAGTAAAGGTTCAAAGGACATGGAGAAGATTGTTAGAGATGTTGGGTTTCTGAGGAAAGGGTTTTATCAGCCAAATGTGAACTTAGTAAGTTCTGGACAGTGTTTATGGCCAATCTGGTGTGTAGCTAGTTTTGAATTTGTGTTGATACCACCTGGCTACTTTTCTACATTGTATCTGGCTCAGCTGAGTGACATCATTGAAGAAACATAGTGTGGGGCTCATCCAAGTATGGGATTGTGCCAGAAAAAGCACAGCAGTAAATCAGGGAGTTAAAGGTACTCATAAGAAAGTGACTCTCTCAAGTGGGTGAAGTGAAGAAGACCAGCTGTGTTTTTTGTGTTTGGTATTTGGGGAAAGGACGTGTGTGTTTTGATGGGTCAGTGTGTCATTTGTTTATTCTTTTGAGAGATCAAATAATGGGGTTGATGGATTATGGTTCTGGACAAGGTGGAAGAACTCTTAAAGTAGAAGTATTTGTGCAAGTGATTTGACAGGATAGGATGGTGCAGTCAGTCTGTTTACCCAGAAATCAAGAGAATCTGCAGTAGATCAGGATGGGGATGGTGTCACACACCTGTAGTCCCAGCCTGTAGTCCCAGATACTGGGGAGGCCGAAGTGGAGAATCCCTTGAGGCCAGCAGTTTGAGGCCGTAGTGTGCAAGGATCGTGCCTGTGAATAGCTGCTGCACTCCAGCCTGGGCAACAGGGTGAAAACACGGCTATAAAAATGTACATACATAATAGCTCAGACTCAGGTCTTTTAAAAAAAAAAGATAGAAAAAGGAAGTCCTCATAGCAACTGGTAGCTTAGTGGTAACAGAATTGTCCCAGAATAGGGACTCCTCTGCCTTTAGCCCAGTCAGCTATTGTTCTGGCATGGTCCCTGCCCCACCCCAGCCCCATGTCCACACCCACATCTCTTCTGCCCTCAGGCAGAGTCACAGTGGAAAGGCCCATGAAGACGGGTATATAGGAGTGCAGTCCCAGAATGAGTCTCATCTCAGCCTCAAATATCTTGCCACTGTGTCCACTTTGCCCAAGACATCAATTCAATGCTATGCCTGTATGATTTCCTGAGGACAAGGGGCCTAGTTCGGTCCTTAAAATGAAACCCCTTGCCTTTCTCCCCGGATCCACTGGCCAGGTCGATGCATTCAAATACACTTGATTCAACTGTTTATTCCAATGCAGAAAGCTTTTCAGAAGTTGGAGCTTTTGACATGGCCTTGAGCTTCTTTTCATTAAAGGGCTTCTTCAACACATCCACTGTTACATTGTGACTTCCAAACTGAAGGAGCATGTCTGAGACACTGGTCCATCTGAGGCAAACATAAGTCTCTATTTTTTTAACCAAGGAAACCCCACTAAACCATTTGTCAGTTATTGGCTTGGAGGCTGATGTCTCACTTTATGTCATCCTTGGGCATAGCTGAGTGAAGGGGGTTGCTACACAGATTATGTTGGTGTCTTTGAGCTCATATTTCAAAAGAAGGAGTAATGAGGATCAAGGCCTAGCAATGGGTGGCTGTAACCTACCAACCCTGGGTTATGGGCAAACCCCCTCCCATTGTGGAGGATTTTGTGTGTGTGTGTGTGTGTGAGAGACAGTCTCTCTCTGTCACCCAGGCTGGAGTGCAGTGGTGCAATCTTGGCTCACTACAACTTCTGCCTCCCGGGTTCAAGTGATTCTCCTGCCTCAGCCTCCTGAGTAGCTTGGATTATAGACGTGCACCAGCATGCCCAGCTAATTTTTGTATTTTTAATAGAGACAGGGTTTTGCTATGTTAGCCAGACTTGTCTCGAACTCCTGACCTCAGGTGACCTGCTTGCCTCGGCCTCCCAAAGTCCTGGGATTACAGGCGTGAGCCACCCCACCTGGCCCCATTGTGCAAGTTTTTATCATTCATCTTTAAGGTCCATTCTGCTGCCCGTTTCCCAGGAGAAATCTTCAGTCTAATTCCACATATCCGTGGCCAAGGCCTGTTGGAAGTTGAAACCATCTTTGTAGAATTATAAGTCATGAGATCAATCTAACATAACTGACTCCATCTTGCTTCTAACCTCACAGGTTAAATCTTTTTTTGCTTATTCTATCATGGAGGCCAAGATAACCATGAGAAGAATTTACTGTATAGTTAAACTTTGAAGCAAAGAAAGCTGACCTCCTCCTCATTCAGAGATCGAAGATGCATTTACAAGACAAGATGAGAATTATGGTAGGGTGTGAAGTTTGTAAAGAACAGGGATGGTTAAACCGTGCCTGCCATTGCTTAGCTTGTTTTCTATAAGTTATTTCCTGCCCCAGGGTCATGTAACTGGGGGTCACCAGATTTGTGATTTCCCCAACCACGCCTATAGATAACATCACAGTTGTGAGACCTAAAGGACTGGTCTTTGAGATACTTTTCTGATTTAGGGTTTCAGCAGACCAAGAGATGCCACCTGGTCCTAAGACCCCCTCCCAGGAACTGACTTTGCGGAGACAGTTTTAGACACCTCCATGATTTCATCCCCAGCTGAAAAAGTACAGATGCTCCTATGACTTGTGTAAGTTTCTGGGTGCAGCCTCAAACCTTGGCTCAATAAACCTCTGCTGAGGAGTCCCTCGCCTCAGTCATTTTTGTTGGGAACATGTGCTAATCTACCCTTATTTTTCTCCATAAAACTTATTACCTCCTGATATGCTCCATTCTATATTTAATTGTACTGTGGAGTTTCATCCTTTTCTCCCTAAAATGTCAGCCACATGAAGACAGGGACTTCCTTTGTCTTCATTACTCTGTCTGTGATGCAAAGGCATTTCTGGTGATGCTGTCTCTGTCGTTGATCTCATGTGACTCCCCCACCCCTTCCAGTTATTTGCAGTGTCATTTGCTGCTTCCCTTCCACTGTGACACTGACAAGTTTGTGCTCATTGCCTAACGGGGAGACATAACTGGTGACTAAATGTATGAATGATAGGAACCCTGGCTTAATTTTGGGGGAGAGAAGCCCCCTGTAGCTTTTTTTAGCTTTCCACTAAAAAGTGTTTTTGATGAATTTGAGACGGGTTGAGGAGTAGCAACGTGGAGTTCTCCAGTGTTGTCCCAGGGGATCTATTACTCATCAAAAATCTCTCCCTACATTACTCATGTAGTAAAAGAAAACAATTTCTGTGGAACTTGTCAATTTTTTTAGAAAATATCCATGATTATATAAAAATATGAATATATGAATATTAAATTATAACAATTTCTATCTAAGCATACCAGTTAACTCTATCCCCCCTCAAAAAAGCTATTTTTTTTTTGAGACTGAGTGGAGTCTTGCTCTGTTGCCCAGGCTAGAGTGCAGTGGCAAGATCTCAGCTCACTGCAAACTCTGCCTCCTGGGTTCAACCGATTCTCCTGCCTCAGCCTCCCAAGTAGCTGGGATTACAGACATGCGCCACCACACCCGGCTAACTTTTGTATATTTAGTACAGACGGGGTTTCACCATGTAGGCCAGGCTGGTCTCAACCTCCTGACCTGAAGTGATCCACCCGCCTCAGCCTCCCAAAGTGCTGGAATTACAGGCGTGAGCCACTGCGCCCAGCCTTCTTTTGTTTTTTAATGTATACATACTTAAGCAAAAAATGTGGCTTTAATTTATGACATAACTATTGGGAATATAACTCTAGAAAAAAATATTGCTAGAGAGTACTGAAAATCTTTACTGATAAAGTGCATATATTTTCAAAGTATAATTAGTATGTAGAGAATAAAATATCAGTTATTCACTTACAATAACATATGAATGATACAGTGAATTGTTTTGAGAAATGTAGTTTGATAGTGTTTCAATTAGAAGAAAAGATGAAGCGCTCAAGTACAGTCGTTCTTCCACTGCACAAGGAAATCTGAACTTTTTGTGAAGAGAAAGTAATGTAACCAAGTCCAACACGACCTCATTCTGCTCCTGCCCACCAGCCAATATGTCAGGAGACAAGGAGTTGGGGCAAGGAAGGTGACTTTAGTTTGAAGATCCAGAAAATGAAGAAGATGGTGGACTAATGTTCTAAAGAAGCAGGTTAAGTTAGTACAAATGTCAGGGTCTTTTTATGTAAAGGGCTGGCAAAGGGGAGGGGGTTGAGATCCAGAGGGGGCTAAGGACCACAGACACCTGGGAGCCAGCGAGGGTCTGAGGAGGTTGGGAACTTCCTTGTCCTTGGCCAGGTCACAATGTTCCTGTAAATCTCCACCAAAACATAGTTGTTTATATACTTCCCCTTTAACCTCAGAGTTAGTTTCAAAAACTATATGATTGCTGCTTTTCATTTTATCTCAGTGCTGTAAAATTATCCTCACCTATGTGCAGGAAAAGAAGAAGGTGCCTTAAATGGAAATGAAGTTAGTTATGTGAATTATTTTGCTGTTTCACTGTTACATTAAGTCCCATATTTCTTGGTGTGTTTCAGAATCTCCAATATTATTTTAATGTATAAGAATCAACTATGAAGGAGCTGACTGCTGTGTCCACTGCTGTGTCCAGCATGCGACAGTGGAGGAATTCCGGCCCAGCAGAAAGCTCCCCTAGATCCACTGGCCTTAGTGACCCTCAGATGCAGCTGATGTCAGTGAACACAGCCTGGCAGATTGGGAGTCATTGGTGGAGAGGAGGGAACAATGCTGCTTTAAGGTCCAGGCTCACTGCTGGGGAAGAAGTCAGCAGGGCTCAGCTCAGGTTATTTCTCCACTGTGGCATAAACAGGAGACTGAAAAAACAGAGTAGTGCTTTCCATGCCTTTATTAATGACTTTTCTCCTGGGTAGCCTCAGGCATACCCTTCAGCAGCACAGTGAGTTGAAAGGGCCTCCGCTGGGCATGGTGGCTCATGCCTGTACTTTGGGAAGTGGAGGTGGGCGGTTCACAAGGTCAGGAGTTCAAGACCAGCCTGGCCAACATGGATAAACCCCATCTCTACTAAAAATACAAAAAATTAGCCATGCATGGTGGCAGGTGCCTGTAATCCCAGCTACTCGGGAGGCTGAGGCAGGAGAATTACTTGAACCCGGGGCATAGGTTGCAGTGAGCCATGATCATGCCACTGCCCTCCAGCATGGGTGACAGAGTGAGACTTTATCTCAAACAAACAAACAAAAAAAGGTCTCTTTTGGAACATCTTTTTATTTTGAAAAATGATATATCAAAATTAAATTTGTTTTACTGTTGATTTTATTATAAAGTTGGAATCTCAGAAAATGTGCAAAAAGTGCATACATGAAAGGGGGGAACCTCTGTAAATCCTGGCAGATACAGGTCACCTGGTGGAAACACTGGGGTCCGGCACTGTGCTCTTGTCTTTTCACCTGCATTTGTGGCCCTGCGGGGAGATTCTCAGGACTAGCATTGCTACGTGCTTCTTTTCTGTATTTTATTTATTTATTTAATTATTTGAGGCAGAGTCTCGCTCTGTCGCCCAGGCTGGAGTGCAGTGGCACAATCTCGGTTTACTGCAACCTCCGCCTCCCGGGTTCAAGAAATTCTCCTGCCTTAGCCTCCTGGGTAGCTGAAATTACAGGCACGTGCCACCATGCCCGGCTAATTTTTTTAAAATGTATTTTTAGTAGAGACAGGGTTCCACCATGCTGGCCAGGTTGGTCTCAAACTTCTAACCTCGTGATCTGCCTGCCTCAGCCTCCCAAAGTGTTGAGATTACAGGTGTGAGCCACCGCACACAGCCCCTTTTCTGTGTTTTAAATGTTAATAGATATTGTCTGGTTGCCAACTCCTAAATGTGAAAACACTTTATAATCCTAATATGGAATGTATTAGAATTCTGTCCTTATTCATCATCACGTTAAATATTTATTCATTTAAATTTTTATCAGTCTAAGCAGTTTAAATGAGATATGTTTTCCCTGGTTCACCATTGTTGAAATGCCTTTCCTTTTCATGCTAAAGAAAAATTGATATTTCTCTATATCGATGCCTATATATCTACGCATGTCTATAGAGATATATCTAACTGAGCACTTCTCCAAGATTAATATAATTGTGCTACACCTGTTTTCAAAGGTTTAGGATCATAAAATAAATTTTTTCAAAAGCAATTCCTTTCTAAAGTATTTTATTTAACCTATATAACATACTAAGAAGTAAAATTTATGGTTTAATTTTCTTATGGAACACCAGATATTGCTGCATTATTTCTTTTTTTCATATATGTATATATGACAGGAAAGAAAACATAAGAGTAATTATTTTTAAATACTTATAATGTGAAACGCATATGGGACACATCCGTGGAAAAGATATAAATTGGAGATAAACAAATCACAGGATTAAAACGGGTCATTAATGATGGACAAGGGACTGGATATAATATTTAATCATATGACTAATTATAAGTTCAAAATAAAACACAACTCCGAGCCAGGGATAGATTCCAGTGTGGGGGGGATTTAACTTCAGTGAGAAGAGGATCTTTTATTTCAGAAATGGGGCTGGGCGCAGTGGCTCACACCTGTAACCCCAGCACTTTGAAAGGTCAAGGCGGGAGCATCGCTTGAGCCCAGGAGTTTGAGACCAGCCTGGGTAACATAAGGAGACCCCATCCCTACAAAAAATAAAATAAAAAATAATTAGCCAGGCGTGGTGGCGGGTGCCTGTAATCCCAGCTACTCAGGAGGCTGTGGCAGGAGAATCGCTTGAACCTGGGAGGCGGAGGTTGCAGTGAGTGAGCCGAGATCGCGCCACTGCACTGCAGCCTGGGCGACAGGGTGAGACCCTGTCAAAATAAACAAACAAAAAACCTACAAGACAATCCACAGAATTGGAGAGAATATTTTTTGAAAAGCTCGTTAAGTTTAAAACTCTAAGTGTGGAATAAACAAAGTCGGGCAAGCGCGGACAGGCGCCGGCGGACTGGAAGGGAACTCGAGCCGGCGTCCTCGGGGCTGTGAACGGGCCTGGCGGAGCCTCCAGCAGCCCAGCGCGCTCCGCAGTCAGCGGCGCCGGGCGTCTGAGAACCCGGCAGAGGCTCCGGCGCGGCGGGGACACGCCTGGAGTCCCGAGAGTGAAGAACCAAGAAGGGGCCCGGAGCCAGGACGCCGGGAGGAGCAGGGTAAGAGCGCGTGGTCTGGCGGGTCAGGGCCTGATCCGGAGCGCCGAGGTTCCCAGGACGGCGGCAGCCTTGCCACAGCCCGCAGCAGCCGGGGGCCTAGGCCTGGGTGGCCGCCGGGAGCCGCAGCCCCGCTCCCCAGGCAGCGCGGCCCCTCGCGACTGCAGCGCCGCCGGCAGGACCGCGCTCCCTCAGGACCGGGCTGACCAGCAGCGGATCCGCGTGGCGGGAAGTGCAGGCCGGGGGCGCACGGGAGACCCAGGGACGGCGGCCGAGAGCGTGGAGGCCTCGAAGCCCGGGCGCCCCATCGGCCCTCAGCGCCTCTGTTCTTTAAACCCTGCCACATCCTGAGACCCTGTCCCTGCTCCGGCTGCTTTTGCCGACGGAAGCCGTCTCCTGCCGCCTCCGAGCTCCTTCCCGGGAGGCTTCTCCTTGGCCTTGGCCGACAGCTTGGGTGTCTCTCCTGATGGAGGGGCCTGGGCCTCTCGGGGGCTGGAACGGGAGACACGCCCCGGCCTCGACGCCTCCCTTCTCCCCTCACATCCTCCCGCCCAGCTTCTCACACACCCGCACCTCCCGTGGTTGGGGGAGGCGGAGACTCCAGGACCCCCAGGCAGGGGCTTCACGCAGTCCCCACAGTGGGAGCCACTCCTTGTCCCTGGGATGAGGGCGGGGCTCCGCCTTGTGTAGGAACCGGTGCGAGGGGCCCTGCCTCTCTTTCTCAAAGAGGGGGCTGCTGTTCCACCGGGGTCTCCCTCTCCACCTTCTCCCTCCTCCAGGGCGACGATAGGAGCGGGGCGAACGCTCCCTCCCCTCCCCGTGCGTTCCTAGCATCCAGTGATTCTGCCTCTTGCCCACGCAGGCCTGCAGTGAACAAAGGGCGCCCCAGGAAGCACGATTTGGGTCAAATTCGCCTTTCTTAATTGTAGGACAGCCGCAGGAAGGAGGAGAACGGGGAGTTCTCCCCTGCAGCTCCCCCAACTCCAGGGATCTGCGTTAGGTGGGCCGCCCCTCCCTGCTCCTGCTGGGAAGATGCCATGGGCCTTCCATGGCCTCCTCTCCCCAGCTCAATGCCAAGTGGACTTGCAAATGCACAAAGCCGGCAGGGACCACTATGTCTCCAAGACCTGGCGTGCAGAGGCAGGAGCATGAGCGTCTGCGGGTGTCTGACACGCGAGTGTGAGAGATGGGGCAGGCGGCATGTCCGCAGGTGTCTCTGGGCCTGTGTGCAGTTGGGGGTTTGTGGGCCTGTGCAGAGCCCTCTTCCCCTGATAATTTCCTCAAAACCCACAGTGAGAGGAGAGGGCCCTGGGGGAAGAGAAGTTCCTTCCCTTGTCTTTGAAATGAATTCCTCCTTCCCGAATCTCTGAGTGGAGAAAGCCCAGCCATCTGCCTTTGCAGTGTGCAGAGCAGAAGGTAAGGGGCTGGTGTAGCCTAGGTGGGGGCCGCCCTTGAGTCTGCAGCTCACTGTGGGTAAGGGCTGGGGGAAGGCTCTGTCACTCCAGGCTTATTTTCTTCTCCCATCTGTGTCTGGGGCTGCAGAATAGGGTACCAGAAGGACCCCGTTTCACCCACGTTGTGTGTATCTCACCATGGGGGCTCTCCCTGCAGGTCTCCCCCTCACATAAAGCCCCTTTGAAACAAGAAAGAGGGTCCCCGGGCTACAAAACTGAAAGCACAGCCTCCAGGATGTGAAGGGGAATGATGGTGCTGTGTTCAAGTTCCTTCTCTCTGCTGGTTGGTGGCTGTGACAACTCTGGCCTGACTTTATTCATCTCTGGTTTTTCTTGCCACCCTTCTGTCTCCCTCCCATCTTCACCCTGAGTCCAAACGGGCTCTCCTGTTGACCTCCTGTCCCTTTGCACAATTGTAACCCGCAGGCGAGGGACAGGGCCTGTTCAGTCATTAGTCATCATGAGTGTTTTGTCAACTGTTTATTAATGTATTTGGGGATATTTGCTCCAAATCAGAGGTTGAGGAAATGACTAAATAACGGCAAGGAGCCCCTGCCTGACCAATCCTTTTCCTTTTGGCCCCAGCTTAGGTGGAAGTGGGTAGAGTATCTTATATTGGGCAGTTTGGGGGCTGGGGAGGCAGAGAATCTCTTGGGGAAGTGATCTTGGGAGTCTTGGGGGTGGTGCTGGTGCATTCTGTTTCCTCTTGCTCTCAAAGTACAATGTGGATTTGGGGACCAAAGGTCAGGGACACATCCCATTAGAAGACCTGCATTTGGGAGAATGGTGAGTGGTGGGAGGAGGGCCCAGAGCAGCAGGAAGCAGCCTGTCATAGCTCAGCTTAGTTTCCCTTCCCAGACAAGGGGAGCCAGCCATGGAATCTTGCTGCAGGGCCTCCTCCTCCTACTCTTTCTGTCCTCAAAGTAGGGGCCATTTTCTTACACATCCCCAGAGAGAGGAGGGACCTTCACACTGGTGCTGAGGGGCCCAGGGCTGCTGGGCATCTTTGTTCCTTACCAGAGCCATCCATCCCTAGAAAAGCACAGAGCCCTGAAGGCTGGCCTGGGCCTCTGGTCTTCTCTACAGTTCCCAGAGGTCTTTCAGCCAGTCTACTCCCAGGAAGGAAGATGCCTGGAAGCTACAACGTGAATATAACTTTTGTGGACCAATAATAAAACGCAGGGAGCCCAAGGGTGAGAAGAGTGAACTGTCCCAACACTGCTTCCTGTTTCCTCCCCTTCATGTTCCTCCAGGGAAATCTACTTTATTGCTGAATTTCTGCCTTTCCCCCCTCACATATGCACTTTTGGGCCTTTTCTTGTAGCTGGAAAAATCAAAATCCCACCCCACAAACCAGTATTTAAAAAGAAACAGAAATGACCATGTGAAATGTGCCTCTGTGCACATCATCGGGGTGTGTGTGTGTGTGTGTGTGTGTGTGTGTGTAGCCACTCATTCATCTCTTTATATGGGGTATTGTCTTATTTCAGCCTGTTTTGATTTCCCCCTTGAGGGCTTTGCTCGGGATCAAACCTTTCTGTCCTGTTATGATTCTGAACACTTGATTTGAACCACAAGTGAATCTTTCTCCTGGTGACCCAAATAAAAATATAATTTAAAAATAAAAAATAAAGTATAATACAACTAGTATATAGGGAATAAGATAGAAATTGTTTACTTAAAAGATTAATATATAAATAATATTTAAAAGCATTGTCTTGAGAAATAGTTTGATAATCTTTCCATTTGAATAAAAGATGAGACTGTCATGTACAGCATCTCTTTCACTGCTAATAGAAAAGAATGCAAACTTTCTGTGAAGAGAAGTAAACACCACATCAAAGAAAAGATAGATGTGTTACTAATTCAAGGCTACATGGAGATTTTGTTGTTTTTGTTTTTGTTTTTTTCTGAGATGGAGTTTCGCTTTTGTTGCCCAGGCTGGAGTGCAATGGCTTGATCTTGGCTCACCGCAACCTCTACCTCCCGGGTTCAAGTGATTCCCCTACCTCAGCCTCCCGAGAAGCTGGGATTACAGGCATGCACCACCATGCCCGTCTAATTTTTTGTATTTTTAGTAGAGATGGGGTTTCCCCATGTTGGTCAGGCTGGTCTCAAACTCCCGACTTCAGATGATCCACCTGCCTCGGCCTCCCAAAGTGCTGGGATTACAGGCGTGAGCCACTGTGCCTGGCCAGATTTTTTTTAAAAAATACAATTCAGTCAGTCCTCATTGAAATATAAACAACTGGAAATGTAATGCTAAACTCATTTAAAACTGATTTTTAAAAAAATGTCTCTTTATATTTTTAAGATTTAGGGGCTGGGAGCGGTGGCTCACACCTGTAGTCCCACCACTTTGGGAGGCCGAGTCAGGTAGATCATGAGGTCAGGAGTTCAAGGCCAGCCTGGCCAAGATGGTGAACTCCCGTCTCTACTAAAAAATACAAAAAAAAAAAAAAAATTAGCTGGGCATGGTGGCGGGCACCTGTAATCCTCGCTACTGGGGAGGCTGAAGCAGAGAATTGCTTGAACCTGGGAGGCAAGGGTTCCAGTGAGCCGAGATCATGCCACTGCACTCTAGAAACAAAAAACAAAAACAGAAACAAAAAAACCCAAAATGATTTAGGTATACTTTCAAATCTATTTTAATTTAAAAAAGCTATGAAAAGATTTACATGGCCATTACTTATATTGTTTAAAAAACTTTAAAATTAGACCATATAAGCTATGGATTTGTACCTAAATTTAGAATATAAGTATGCAAAATTACTGTAGATTATTTATTTATTTATTTTTGCTTACCCTACCTGGACTGAGACTGTAGATACTTTATTTAGTGAATATAGAATATGCCAATAAGAAAACCAAGTCATCCTAGGCAGATTTGATGGCTGATGCCTGTAATCCCAGCACTTTGGGAGGCCGAGGTGGGCAGACTGCTGGAGCCCAGGAGTTCGGGACCAGCCTGGGCAAGACAGCAAAACCTCATCTCTACAAAATTTACAAAAAGCTGGATATGGTGGTGCATGCGTGTAGCCACAGCTACTTGGGAAACTGAGGTTGGAGGACCCTTGACCCTGGGAAGTCGAGGCTGCAGTGAGCTGTGATCTCCCTCCTGCACTCCAGCCTGGGTGACAGAGTGAGACTCTGTCTCAAAAAAAGAAATATCGTCATCTAAAACATCAAAGATTAAATGAGAGGACTACATTCACTGAGTACATTATTCTATACCCTTGTAAATGTCTCATAAGTAAATTAACTTAGAAAAATATGTTCTATCAGATGACATTTTGATGATTTATGATGACAACATTCACGAAATGGATTTCCACACAGTTTCTCCCTGATGGACTCAAAAGTGTTCTCTGTGGAAGACACTGAGCCAGACCAAGAAGCATCCAGGCCCGTCAGAAACATGGCAGACAGAGCAAGAGGGAGGACAGTGTAGAGGTCAGAGCCCAGGCGGGATACAGCACAATGCCACCGCCATGGGCTTCCGGGAAGGAGTGCCAAACGGGTGACTTGGCCAGAAAGGCCAGCGTTGGAGTGACAGAGATCCTTGCCACATCCCGTTCTCGACTTCTTCTCCAAGCCTGTGTCGCGGTGGGGCTCCATTTCTCAATGGGAAGAGAGGGCGGGAGGAGTTAGAACCATCTTCTTGGAGGTCGGTCTGCACCTCTCCTGCAGAAGAACAATGAGCTCCGCTGATGCTTTTTTAAATACTATCCTTGGGTGTGGTGAGACCGTCTTGATCCTAGAAAAGAGGCCTCTCAGGATGGGGAGTAGATTTCAACCCCTGCGGGTCCATCGCAGCTACCCGCATTGCCAAGGCCTTCACAAACCCAAACTGGAACCGCCGGGAAAAAGACCAACAACTGGTCAGACGTCCCAGGCAGAGACACAGAAAGAGTCTCACCAAATACAGACCGACATGCAAGAAACAGCCCTCCAGCGCACAGGGCACATTCATCCCAAAACACACACGCACATGGGCACACACAGCCACAGAGGGAGAGAGGAGAGAGAGAGGAAGGAGTGAAAGAAAGACATACACACACACAGACATACAGCAGCGGCACAGAAACACCCAACCCCAGGTAGCCCTTGAGGCTGCCGGGTTCTGCTCTCCGCGAGAACGACAATCGGGTAAGAGAGCAGCCCACGGGCATACTGCAGGCCTGTCCTGTAGATCAGAGGGGGCGCGAGTTGCGGGGAGACTTGCCCACACACCGTCTGGGCAGGCTGAGGCTGGGATCCCGCGCTGCTCTCCTGGGACTCCGCCTGAAGTTTCTTCATCCTGGTCGGCCCTCCGCGACTCCTGGCGTCCGGAGACCATCCCTCTCGAGCTCCTGGAGACGTCAGGGTGGAGTCGCGACACCGACGCACTGCCACGAAGGGGTCCTGCTTTGCCACGCCTCAGGGACCCATCACCAGGCGGACCGTGAAAGTCTCTGTGACTCAAGAATCAGCTCAGGCCTCGCGCATGCGCATTGGCTGCGCCGACTTAAGCTCTGCTCCTGTAAGTCAGGCTGGGGCCTCTTTAAAAAATGGCGGTGGCCTGGCAGTAGCAGCAAGACTGCAATGGCTAGGGTCGGGGAAGCGGGTGGGGGGGCGGGTAGAGGGAGGTGTGGGAGAGTGGGCTGCAAGCAACCCAGAGCCAGACATTCCCCTAGGAGTCCTGTCCTCCTTGAGCTGTCTAGGATAATACATGTAATTATGAATTTATATCAGACTTGACAAGCCCCTTCATTTTATTTTTAATATGATTGTTTCTCTTGAATAATACATGAAAATTATTTTTATTAATTTTCTATAAATTATTGGGGTACAGGTGGTATTTGGTTATATCATATTTTGATGGGATTTTTTTTCTTACTGATTTGTTTGAGTTTGTTGTAGATCCTAGATGTTAGTCTTTTGTCAGATGTATAGATTGTGAAGATTTTCTCCCATTCTGTGGGTTGTCTGTTTACTCTGCTGACTGTTGTCAAAAAGTGGACTAAGGATATGAATAGACAATTCTTAAAATAAGATATACAAATGGCAAACATATGAAAAAATGTTCAACATCACGAATGATCAGGGAAATGCAAATCAAAACCACAGTGCGATACCACTTTGCTCCTGCAACAATGGCCATAATCAAAAAATTAAAAAGCAGTAGATGTTGGTGTGGACGTGGTGAACAGGGAACACTTCTAAACTGCTGCTGGGAATGTAAACTAGTACAACCACTATGGAAAACAGTGTGGAGATTCCTTAAAGAACTAAAAGTAGACCTACCATTTGACCCAACAATCCCACTACTGGGTATCTACCCAGAGGAAAATAAATCATTATTCAAAAAAGATACTTGCACACGCATGTTTACAGTGGCACAATTCACAGTAGCAAAGTCATGGAACCAACCCAAATTCCCATCAATCAACAAGTGGCTAAACAAACTGTGGTAATATATAGATGATGCAATACTTTGCAGCCCTTAAAAGGAATGAATTAACAGCATTTGCAGTGACCTGAATGAGATGAAAGATTATTACTCTAAGTAAAGTAAATCAAAAAAGGAAACCAAACATCAAATGTTCTCACTCATACGTGGGAGCTAAGCTATGTGGATGCAAAGGTGTAGGAATGATACAATGGGCTTTTTGGGGACTTGGGGGGAAGAGAGGGAGGAAGGAGAGGGAGAAAAGACTGCAAATATGGTGCAGTGTATACAACTCAGGTGATGGGTGCACCAAACCTTCACAAATCAACACCAAAGAACTTACTCATGTAACCAAATATCACAATCCTAAATATAGATGCACTTAACACTGGAACTCCCAAATTTATAAAACAATTGCTGATAGACCTAGGAAATGAGATAGACAGCAACACAATAATAGTGGGGGACGTCAATACTCCACTGACAGCACTAGATAGGTCATCAAGACAGAAAGTCAACAAAGAAACAATGGATGTAAATTGCACCTTGGAAGAAATGGACTTAATAGATACATACAGAACATTTTATCCAACAACCACAGAATACACATTGTATTCAACAGCTCATGGAGCTTTCTCCAAGATAGACCATATGATAGGCCATAAAATGAGCCTCACTAAATTTAAGAAAATTGAAATTATATCAAGCACTCTCTCAGACCACAGTGGAATAAAACTGGAAATCAACTCCAAAAGGAACCTTCCAAACCATGCAAACACATGGAAATCAAATAACCTGCTCCTGAATGAGCATTGGGTCAAAAATGAAATCTAGGTGGAAGTTAAACCATCCTTCGAACTGAATGACAATAACGACACTACCTATCAAAACCTCTGGGATACAGCAAAGGTGGTGCTAAGAGGAAAGTTCATAGCCCTAAATGCCTACATCAAAAAATCTGAAAGAACACGGACAATCTAAGGTCACACCTCAAAAAACTAGAGAAACAAGAACAAACCAAACCCAAACCCAGCAGAAGAAAGGAAATAATCAAGATCAGAGCAGAACTAAATGAAATGGAAACAAAAATTACAAAAGATAAATGAGACAAAAACCTGGTTCTTTGAAAATATAAATAAAATTGATAGGCCATTAGCAAGATTAACCAAGAGAAGAAGAGAGAAAATCCAAATAACCTCACTAAGAAATTAAACAGGAGATATTACAACTGACACCACTGAAATACAAAAGATCATTCAAACCTACTCTCAACACCTTTATGCACATTAACTAGAAAACCTAAAAGAGATAGATAAACTCCTGGAAAAATACAACCATCCTAGCTTAAATGAGGAAGAATTAGATACCCTGAACAGACCAATAATGAGCAGCAAGATTGAAATGGTAATTTAAAAATTACCAACAAAAAATGTCCAGGACCAGGTGGATTCACAGCAGAATTCTACCAGACATTCAAAGAAGAATTGGTACCAATCCTTTTGACACTATTTTGACTACTTTTGACACTATTCCACATGATAGAGAAAGAAGGAACCCTCTCTAATTCATTCTAAAGTTGGAAAATTTCTGCAAACAGAAGCTTCTCCAGTGGGAGGATGTGTTAGGGGGAGGAGCGTCTCCCTTTTCCACCTCTGCAGTTGGGGCACTCACAGTATTTGAGGTATCTCCTGGGTCCTGCAGGAGCAGTCCACTTCCTTCAGAGGGTATGTGGGTCCTCTCAGTAGTGCTGGTTTTTCTTGCAGTCAATCTGGAGATAAAATTCACAATGGAAGCCTCCAGATGGTGCTCTATCTGGAGCTGCAATCTAGTCCTGCCTTCCATCCGCCATGATCCCCTCCATTCTGAAAATTATTTTTGAAAATACATGTTTCTTTTAGGTTTTAAATGCACCAAGTTTATGTCATTATGATCTTTATTTCACCATTTTTTCTGATCTAAAGATGTGATTGATTTTCAAACTTTTTTTTATGTCTTTCAGTAAAGTTATGTAAGTTTACACAGTAAAATTTAGAAGAAGGTACAGTGTTCTCATATATATCCTGTTCCACACATACCCAGTTTTCCCCATTGTCCACCCATGGGAGTTCTACATTGTTACAGCTGATGAATTTATATTAACACTTTTTTTTTTTTTTTTTTTTTGAGATGGAGTCTCCCTCTGTCATCCAGGCTGGAGTGCAATCGCTCGATCTTGGCTCACTGCAACCTCTGCCTCTTGGGTTCAAATGATTCTCCTGCTGCAGCCTCCTGAGTAGCTGGGATTATGGGTGCCAGCCTAATTTTTGTATTTTTAGTAGAGACGAGGTTTCACCATGTTGGCAGGCTGGTCTTGATCTCCTGACCTCGTGATCTGCCTGCCTCGCCCTCCCAAAGTGCTGGGATTTCAGGTGTGAGCTACCACACCCGGCCACATTAACACATTTTTATCACCCACAATCCGCTGTTTCTATTAGGTCTCACTCTTTTTGTTATATTGTCTATGGGTTTGAACAAATGTATAAGGACATGTATTTACCATTATAGGATACATGAGTCATATAGAGTACCTGTAGTGCCTTAAAATTTTGCTGTGCTCTGCCTATTTATTCCTCAGTTTTCACAAACTCCAGGCTACTGATTATTTTGCTACCTCCATAGTTTTGCCTTTTTCAGAATGTCAAATAGTTGGAACCATGAAGTTTGACAACGGGATGGGTGCAGCATGAGCCACTGTACCCATCCCATTGTCATTTTCAATTAATATTCTTTGGTTATATGCAAGCTTTCTCATGCAAGAGAGCTGATGTTATAACAATAGCTAAAACATTATTTAAAATGTATTTTTGGTCAGGCGCGGTGGCTCACGCCTATAATCCCAGCACTTTGGAAGGCTGAGGTGGGTGGATCACCTGAGATCGGGAGTTCGAGACCATTCTGACCAAAATGGTGAAACCCCATCTTTACTAAAAATACAAAAATTAGCTGGGCATGGTGGTGGGTGCCTGTAATCCCAGCTATTCGGGAGGTTGAGGCAGGAGAATCACTTGAACCCAGGAGGTGGAGGTTTCAGTGTGCTAAGATTGCAACACTGCACTCCAGCCTGAGCGACAGAGTGGGACTCCATCTCAAAAAAAAAAGGGGGGGCGGGGGGAGGAAGTTTCTCATGTGACCTTTCTGGAGAGATCACCAGTGACAAAGGTACTTGTCTTACTTGATAAGTTACAAAACAATTAAATATTACTGATAAAATAGCATTAGACTAGGCTAACTGAATTGACTGGATTGTCTTGATCAAAGGTATTACATATTGATGAGAATCAGATCCACTTCCAGTGGAAAACATAAGTTGACCCCTTATGAAATAGTCACCAGAAGAGCTTTGCTCCTAATAATGCATGCATGTATTATTGCATCTTCATGCATCTTCTGCTTCTAAACTCTGATATGAATAAATGCTTCAAAGCCTTAATGCACTATGTATTTTCACCGAGTAAAAACAGCTTGTTGTGATATGCCAATTGAGGAGAATTAAACCATTCATGATCTAAAACCCAGAGACTTTGTCTTCTGGAAACAACATCAGGGAAATACTGCCCTTGTCACTCACACTGTAGAAAAGTTTCAGGACCTGAAACCTTGGGTTTATAATCTGACAACTCAGAAGGTCCCATCAAGAAGGTCCCATCAAGACTTTTGGAACTGTGCACTCATTAGAGAACTTAAGGTAAAGCTAACCAGGAAACTTTCTCCCCAGAAGCAGATAACATCCTGAACATAAACAGCCATCCCAAGATTACAAATCAAGACTTCTCTACTATTATGACACTTTTACCTCAATTTTTTTCTTGCTCCTGCCTCTATAAACAATCAAACTATAAAATGGATCTTGTGTAAAAGGGATATACTTATATTTGTGAAGGATTTTACAACCAAGCTTAAAAGAGATGACTTTATGCCTTGATATATAAATGATGAAGAGACAAAATGGGTGAGAAATTGGAACAGTATATTTGTTGCCTCATAGTCAGAACATTGGTCCACTTCTCTTAACATATATCATAGGTTAGAGAGCATTGCCAAGAGGCCTTCACTCTTCTGGATGTGCATTATTTGTTTGGTCTGTTTGTATGGTTTGAAGTAAATGAAGCAATGATTAAACGTTTATCTCTCATAAAACTCCCTGAAGCAGATTCTACTGTAAAGGCTACAGTTGCATAACAGACTTCTCTAAATTATCTAGCTAAAGTTGTGCTAGATAATATACTCTCTCTAGATTACTTACTGGATGAACAGAAAAGAATCTGTGCAGTTGCTGACACTTCTTGTTGCACACAGATGAATACAGCCACTATTATACAGACCCATTTGTAGCTTGCCCACCCCTGCACCATCTCCACTAAAGTTACAAATGCATGCATGGAGGCCAGGAGCCCCACACCCATGATTGTCCCACCATCACCATCGCAGGCATAACTGCAAACATGGATACCAGCATCCCCATCCCAGCATGCACCCCATATCCTGCATAAGCATGAGCAGGAGCACTGTAGCCTCATTTGTGTGGGTACGCTTCCCCAGCCAATGCATATCCATACTGCTGCACTGCCACGACTGCTAGCATGCATGGATGAGAACAAATCCTGCTGCCATCACCCTGATGAAGTGCTTTGGCTAGCACCACCCATCAGAGTGTTGTGGCCAGAGGACTGAGAACAACTCAGTCCCTCTAGCACAGCAGCTTTTTATCCTGGAGAGGCCAGAGAACAAAGCCAAGGTTCTACTATCAGCCCCTGAGAGTTAGACTATGCAGCCCAGGAATGCTGAGTTGAGCCTTGGCACTTTAAAATCTTCCAGAAATGAACCCAGTCAACTGCACCCACCTTATACTACGATTAACTCAAAAGGGAATCACAGAAGATAAATGCCAAAAAAAACCCATGCAATTGACAACAACTTTAACCCTTTTCCCATTTAGAAAAAAAAGTACAGCTTACTGCAAGCATTCATTTAATTTTACATAGACATACTCTTTGAGGCTGAAGCAAATCTGACTGATTTTCAATGTGAAAATAAAATATAAAAACTGTTCTTGAAGTTATTTATAAACAGAACTAACATCAGAATCATCTGAATAATCAGAATCATCTATTTCAGAAAAATCAGAATTCGTCACATGACTCTTTAGCCAACAATTGTTTGAGAATGATGTTAATATCACATGTAGAAATGCTGTTTTCTAGGATTGGTCATTTTCAGCAATCAAGAAATACTATATATTTTACTGAAAATACCATCACTAAAAACAAGATGCTAAAAATAGAATAATGTCTTTTATTTCCAAAGTCAATATACTAGAGTGATGCAAGAATAATAATAAAGGTGATATATTTTGTGACAAAGTTATCTTGGGCTAAATTCTGCAGCCACAAGCACTACTGGTGAGTATTCTCAGGGCAAACAGGAAAAGGGTTAAAGGTTGAAGAAACATTAGCCCACACAGATGAGAAAAAAACACTGCAAGAACTGTGGCAACTTAAAAAGTCAGAATGTCTTTGCCCCTCCAAAGAATCATACTAGTTTTTCAGCAATGGTTTTTAATGAGGCTGAAATGGCTAAAATGACATAAATTGAATTAGAATATAAATAAAAATGAAGATCATTGGCATCCAGGAGGAAGTTAAAACCCAATACAAGGAATCTAAGACACAAACAAAACAATACAGAAGACAAAAGACAAAAATAGACATTTTAGTAAAGAACAAAACTGATCTGATAGAGCTGACAAATTCACTTCAAAAATTTTATAATACAATCACAATTATTAACAGTGGAATTGACCAATCTGAGGAAAGAATCCCAGATCTGAAAGGCTTATTCTCTGAAATAACTCAGCCAGACAAAAATAAAATAAGATAAAGAAGTATGAACAAAACCTTTGAGAAATGTGAGATTATGTAAAGAGAAAAAAATCTATGGCTCATTGGCATCCCTTAAGGAGAGGAAGATAAAGTAAACAACTGGGAAAACACACTTGAGGATATCATCCACAAAAATTTCACCAATCTTACTAGAGAGGCCAACACTCAAATTCAAGAAATGCAGAAAACCCCTGAAAAATGCTATCATATTCTCCAAGATTTAAATGAAAGATTACATTCAAATGTAATCCTACAAGCCAGAAGAGATTGGGAGCTTATATTTAGCATTTTTTAAGAAAATAAATTCCAACCAAGAATTTCTTGTCCAGCCAAACTGAGCTTCATAGACAAAGGAGAAATAAGACCCTTTCCAGACAAACAAATGCTAAGGGAATTCCTTTACTACTAGGCCTGTCTTACAAGAGGTCCCAAAGGGAGTGCTAAATATGGAAAGGAAAAACCACTACTTGCCACAAAACACACACACACATACACACACACACACTCACTCATATACATACACTATTGAGAGTATAAAGCAACCACACAATCAAGTCTGCATAATAACCACCTAACAACAAAATGACAGCATCAAATCCGCACAAATCAACATTAAACTTATACAAACAGGCTAAATGCCCCCCAATTAAAAGGCAGAGTAGCAACTTGGGTAAAGAAGCAAGATCCAACTATATCTTCAAGAGATCCATCTCAAATGCAAAAACATCCATAGGTTCGAAATAAAGGGATGGAGAAAAATCTACCAAGTAAAAGGAAAACTAATAAAGCAGGGGTTGCTATTCAAATTTCAGTCAAAACAAACTTCAAACAAACAAAGAACAAAAAAGACAAAGAAGGAAATTACATAATGAAAAAAATCTATCCTTAATATACATGCACCCAACACAGGAACACCCAGATTCATAAAGCAAGATCTTACAGCCTTATGAAGAGATTTAGATAATCACACAAAAATAGTGGGAGACTCCAATACCCCATTGACAGTATTAGACAGATCATTGAGGCAGAAAACTAACAAAGATATCTGGGACCTTAATACCTACCAAATCGTCCTAATAGACTTCTAGAGAACTCTCCACCCCAAATGACAGAATATACCTTCTTCTCATCTGCACATGGCACATAATCTAAAATTGAACAGACATTCAGCCATAAAACAATCCTTAGCAAATTTTTAAAAACAGCTTAGTTTGGGCTCGGTGGCTCATGTCTGTAATCCCAGCACTTTGGGAGGCAGAGGCGGGTGGATCACGAGGTCAGGAGATCGAGACCATCCTGGCTAACACGGCGAAACCCCATTTCCACTATAAAAAAAAATACAAAAAATTAACCGGGTGTGGTGGCGGGCACCTGTAGTGCCAGCTACTTGGGAGGCTGAGGCAGGAGAATGGCGTGAACCTGGGAGGCAGAGCTTGCAGTGAGCTGAGATCGCGCCACTGCAACTCCAGCCTGGGCGACAGAGCGAGACTCCTTCTACAAAAAAACAAAACAAAACAAAACAGCTTAGGCCTTTTACTTAACTTCTCTGATCACTACTTTCCTTGCCTATAAAATGGGGGTGATAATGTACCTACCTTGAAAATAGGAGGATTCAATGAGTTTGAAACCCGGACAGCACTTAAAAGATGCTGGGCATACAGGAAGCATTCAGTACATAATAATGAGTTCTTTTATTGTGGTAAAATATACATAACAAGGCCGGGCGCAGTTGCTCATGCCTGTAATCCCAGCACTTTGGGAGGCTGAGGCGGGGGATCACCTGAGGTTGGGAGTTTAAGACCAGCGTGACCAACATGGAGAAATCCTGTCTCTACTAAAAATACAAAATTAGCCAGGCATGATGGCGCATGCCTATAACCCCAGCTACTCGGGAGGCTGAGGCTGGAGAATCGCTTGAACCCAGGAGGCGGAGGTTGTGGTGAGCCAAGATCAGGCCCATTGCACTCCAGCCTGGGCAACAAGAGCGAAACTTGGTCTCAGAAAAAAAAAAAAAAACATATATATATATACACACACACACACACACACACACACACACACACACACACACATTTACCATTTTAACCATTTTTATTTTTATATTTATTAATTATTATTATTATTGTTAATTTTTTTTTGGAGACGAGTCTCGAGCTATTGCCTAGGCTGGAGTTCAGTGACGTGACCTCAGTTCACTGCAACCTCTGCCTCCTGAGTTCAAGCACAATTGTCATGCCTCAGCCTCCCGAGTAGCTAGGACTACAGGCTCTCGCCACCATGCCTGGCTAATTTTTTGTGTATTTTAGTAGAGATGGAGTTTCACCATGTTGCCCAGGCTGGTCTTGAACTCCTCAGCTCAGGCAATCCACTGCCTCAGCCTCCCAAAGTGCTAGGATTATAGGCGTGAGCCGCCGTGCCTGGCCGTTTTAACTGTTTTTAATTGTACAGTCTGTGGCATTAAGTATGTTTACATTGTTGTGCAACCATCACTACCATCTATCTCCAGAACCTTTTCATCTTGCCAAACAGAAACTCCGTGCCCGTGAAACAACAACTCCCCATTCCCTCCTCCCCTAGCCTCTGGCAACCATCGTTCTACTTTCTGTCTCTATGAGTTGACTACTGTAGGGATCTCCTAGAAATTGCATCATACAGTATTTGTCCTTCTGTGATTGGCTTACTTCCTTTAGCATAATGTCCTCAGGGTCCATCCATGCAGCATGGGTTAGAATATCCTTATTTTTTTTAAGGGCAAATAATATTCCATAGACCACATTACCCAGAAGTGGAATTGCTGGATCCTTTGGTCATTCCACGTTTAATCTTTTGAGGAACCGCCATGCTGTTTCCCGCAGTGGCTGCCCCACCATTCTTTTGGTTTCAGACCCCATCTATAGGCTGATGAATTCCAGCTTTATATCTACAGCTTTACGCCACCCCTGAGTTGTAGACAGATGTATGCAGTTTCCTACTTGATTTTGTCAATTAGATGTCTAACGAATCTTCTTTAAACTGCACCTCCCACTTGCCCTTTCTTACTTTCCCTCATTTTGGTAAATGGCACTAACTGAGCAGCACATTGCCCCAACTGAAAATTTTCTGCAGAGCCTAGTACAGAGGGAAGATGTGGAGCCTCAGCCAGGAACGGGGAAGTCAATCCCCTCTTCCTACAAGCCCGTGGCCCCAACCCACGGCGGACAGGCCACCCTAAAAGGATCCAGGGTGGTTGAGAGCCCTGGATCACTAGGGAAAAGATTCCTTGACTCCACTTGGGGAGGAATTTATCCTGATTGAGCGTGTTCCATGTGCCAGACATCATCTGGGTGATGGGGATACAACAGAGAACAGAACAGACAAAATCCTGTTGTCATGAAACTTTTATTCTGTGATGTTGCACTTACTCTATGTCTATTACTAAGATCTTGTCAAGAGCCAGGCCCTGACCTTGCACTAAGATACAACAGCGAGCAAAATGCACAAACGTATAATTACATTCGGTGATAAATTAATTCATTTAGCCAGTAGTCCAGATTGCTATATGAACACATAACAGGTGATTAGATCTGACTCGAGGAACTGGGGAATTTCTCAAAAATGTAAATTAAATGAACTTTATTTTCTGAGCCAGAGTCTCTGTTGCCCAGGCTGGAGTGCAGTGGTGCGATCTCAGCTCACTTCAACCTCCACCTCCCAGGTTCAAGTGATTCTCGTGCCTCGGCCTCCTGAGTAGCTGGGACTACAAGTGTGCACCACCACGCCTGGCTAATTTTTTGTATTTTTAGTAGAGATGGGGTTTCACCAAGTTGGCCAGGCTGGTCTTGAACTCCTGGACTCAACTGATCCACCTACCTCAACCTGCTAAAGTGCTAGGATTACAGGCATGAGCCACTGCACCCGGCCAAATGAAATTTATTTTTAGGAATGGTTATAGATTTACAGAGAAATCATGAAGTTAATACAGAGAGTTCCCATATATCTTGCACTGTTTCCCATGTTTCTAACATCTTACATCAGTAGGGTACATTTGTTACAGTATTGGACCAGTGTTGATATGTTGATACCTTATTATTAACTAAAGTCCATAAAATATTCAGATTTTTTTGTTTTGTTTTGTTTTTTTTTGGTGATAGAGTCTTCCTCTGTTGGCCAGGCTGGTGTGCAGTGGCATGATCTTGGCTCACTGCAACTTCCACCTTCGGGTTCAAGTGATTTTATGCCTCAGTCTTCTGAGTAGCTGCAATAGCGTTTTGCTGGAATTTAAGATCCAATGCTTTCATTTATGTTTTCCTGCATTGACTGCAGTGTTTGGCAGGAGCTGTGGCAACAGAAAGACCTGGATTCAGACCTGGCTCTCCCTCTTACACTCTATGTGACTTTGGACAAGTAGTAAACTCCTCTGAACATTATTTACCTCAGCTTTGAAACAGAGTTCTGGTATCTATCCCACGTGGTATTTGCAATGCTGCAAGATAAAGTCTCATCTTAAATCTGCCAGATTGTTGGGTACCTCTGACATCTCAGCATCCACAACTAGAGACCAAGCCAGCTCTTATTTCAAATGTGTACGGTAGGTCAGACACAGTGGCTCACACCTGTAATCCCAGCACTTTCGGAGGCCAAGGCGGGTGGATAGCTTGAGTCCCGGAGTTCAAAACCAGCTTGGGCAACATGGTGAAACCCCATCTCTACGAAAAATACAAAAATTAGCCAGATGTGTTGGTGCACACCTGTAATCCCAGCTACTCGGGAGGCTGAGGCAGGAGAATCACTTGAACCCGGGAGGCGGAGGTTGCAGTGAGCCGAGATCATGCCACTGCACTCCAGCCTGGGCAACAGAGTGAGACCCTGTCTAAGAAAAAAAACAAGTGTGTACAATGTGACCGAGAAGCTGGGTTAATCCTTTGCAGAGCAAAGTGCCATATGATGGGGAGGAAAGGAAGAGCAAATGTAGACTCAAAAATGCCTGAGTTTGAAGGTTTGGAGTAATCATCTAGGAAGGAAAGAAGGTATATAAGGAAATCTAGATTGGGAGATTTGGAAGATTTGGAAGTTATTAGAAGCATGTTGAGAAGGATCAGGCCATTTTGCCACTAATTTTCCTGTTTATTAGTTATGCATAGTTCCCATCAACAGGGGCAGAGCCCTGCTGTGGGCAGATCTTGTGGGGTTTTTTTTGTTTTTTGTTTTTTTTGAGATGAAGTCTCACTCTGTCGCCCAGGCTGGAGTGCAATAGCATGATCTTGGCTCACTGCAACCTCTGCCTCCTGGGTTCAAGTGATTCTCCTGTCTCAGCCTCCCAAGTAACTGGGATTACAGGCATGTGCCACCACGTTAGGGTAATTTTTTTGTATTTTTGTAGAGATGGGGTTTCACCATGTTGGCCAGGCTGGTCTCAAACTCTTGATCTCAAGTGATATGCTGGCCTCAGCCTCCCAAAGTGCTGGGATTACAGGCATGAGCCACCGCACCTGGCCTGCAGATCTTGTTTCTAATGACCCAGTAGAACAAAATGTTCAGCGATGCTCCCAGGTGGCAGTGTCCCAGAGGAAGGGATTGGGTTGTCCAGTGCTTTAGCTGCTTTGTAGTTTAATGTAACAGAGATCTAAGTGCAGAGGAGAGCAATAAAAGGCAAGCGTTAACTCTCGCCTGTCAATGTTGAGAGGGTGGTGGGAAGAAACAATGATAACCAAAAAATTGAAACCAGAAAGGGCCAGGCACAGTGGCTCATGCCCGTAATGCCAGCACTTTGGGAGGCCAAGGCAGGTGGATCACCTGAGGTCAGGTGGTCGTGACCTCAGATCCTGACCTAGAGACATGGCAAAAGTTGGTCTCTACTAAAAATACAAAAAATTAGCTGGGCATTGTGGCTAGTGCCTGTAGTCCCAGCTACCTAGGAGACTGAGACATGAGAATCCCTTGAACCCAAGAGGCAGAGGTTGCAGTGAGCCGACATCACACCACTGCATTCCAGCCTGGGTGACAGAGTGAGATTCCATCTCAAAAAAAAAAAAAAAACTTAAATCAGAAAGGTCACATTGAAGAACTCAGCAAAAAGGAGAAAGGACAGGCACCTGAATAATAAAACCTTGGGCATTTACACAAATCTATAAAGGAAAAGAATTGGAAAAAGGGTTTATTAGTAAGTGTTCAGTAGAAAAAGCAGAAATCACCTTAGATATTTCAAAGAGAGAGCTTGAATACAGGGAATTAAGTTATAAAGCTGGTGGAAGGACTGGGAGAACAAAAATGGGAGAGGTGTGTTACCCAGAGATTAGAAACTACAGGAAGTTGGGAACATACTCCATGTAGTTAAATTCTGGGCATTAAAACTGCTTATCATCTGAAGTTTTATGAACAGCTGTGGGTAGAGTGTGGTGGCTCACACCAATAATCCCAGCACTTTGGGAGTTGAAGGTGGGAGGGTTGCTTGAGGCCTGGAGGTCAAAGCTGCAGGAAGACCAGCCTGGGCAACATAGCTAGACCTCATTTCTTTTCTTTTTTTTTGTTTTGAGACGGAGTCTTGCTCTGTCACCCAGGCTGGAGTGCAGTGGCGCCATCTCGGCTCACTGCAAGCTCCGCCTCCTGGGTTCACGCCATTCTCCTGCCTCAGCCTCCCGCCTAGCTGGGACTACAGGTGCCCGCCACCACGCCCAGCTAATTTTTGGTATTTTTTATAGAGACGGGGTTTCACCATGTTTGCCAGGATGGTCTCGATCTCCTGACCTCGTTATCAGCCCGCCTCGGCCTCCCAAAGTGCTGGGATTACAGGCGTGAGATACCGCACCTGGCTGACCCCATTTCTAAAAAAAAAAAAATTTAGCCAGGCACGGTGGTGCATGCCTGTAGTCCCAACTACTTGGGAAGCTGAGGTAGGTGGGTTGCTTGAGCCCAGGAGTTCAAGGCTGCATTAAGCTATTGATATAGAAGTTAAAAAGAAATTATTTAGGCAGATAGTCAGGGTAAGGAAGTCCTCGGTAAGGTTTTAAAAGTTTTCCTTTTACTGAAAAGCAGCCCCCAAATCATTTCTTTTCTAACAAAGATCAGCCTATAATATCGAGCTGCAGACATACATATCTTATTGAGTTGTCAAATGAAAGACTCTATGTACAATGCCTGGCACGTGGTAGGTACTCAGATATTGGCTGTTATTATTACAAATCAGCTCACTGTGCCTACATTTGAAGCCTGCCCAGTGGTTCCACAGAATTCAAGCTGGGGTGTAGGAGGATAAATGTCTCATCTGGATCCTGACAGCATGTGGATAAGGAAGAATCTTACCCCACAAACTAGCCTGTGATGTTGGGGAAGTCACCTAACCCCCACCGAACATGCTCTGTATTGCAAAGGGGAGATAATATTTCTCTTACAGGGTTGTTGTAAGAATGAAATGAGATCACGTGGCCAAGCCTGACCACAGAACATGTTCAGTTTAGCTCTTATTGTTAGGTGCACATTTTTGGCAAAGGAGGCTCTTGGGAATGGTGGAGGTGTCAGAGGCGTTTGAACCAGAGCAACCCCATCCTGAATAGGGGCTGGGTAAAATGAAGCTGAGATCTACTGGGCTGCATTCCCAGATGGTTAAGGCCTTCTAAGTCACAGGATGAGATAGGAGGTCATCACAATATACAGGTCATAAAGACCTTGCTGATAAAACAGATTGCAATAGAGAAGCCAGCCCAAACCCACCAAAACCAAGATGGCGACGAGAGTTCCTCTGGTGGTCCTCACTGCTACACTCCCACCAGTGCCATGACAATTTACAAATACCATGGTCATGTCAGGAAGTTACCCTATATGGTCTAAAAAGGGGAGGCATGAATAATCCATTCACTGTTTAGCATATAATCCAGAAAGAACCATAAAAAATGGGAAACCAGCAGCCTCCAGGGGCTGCTCTGCCTACAGAGTAGACATTCTTCATTTCTTTACTTTCTTAATAAGCTTTCACTTTACCCTATGGACTCACCCTGAATTCTTTCTTGGGTGAGATACAAGAACCCCTCTTGGTGTCTGGATCAGGACCCCTTCTCTGTAACTAAGGGGTGTCAATGTGAAAACAGATCGTGGTAGTGAAGGACACCCATTGGGGGCACTAATTTCGCACATTTTCCAAAGGTAATATTTATCAGTTAAAAAACGTTTTTTGTGGGGGGAGGAGCCAAGATGGCTGAATAGGAACAGCTCCAGTCTACAGCTGCCAGCGTAAGTGATGCAGAAGACTGGGGATTTCTGCATTTCCAACTGAGGTACTGGGTTCATCTCACTGGAGAATGTCGGACAGGGGCTGCAGCACACTGAGTGAGAGCCGAAGCAGGGCAAGGCATCGCCTCACCTGGGAAGCACAGGGGGTCAGGGAATTCCCTTTCCTAGTCAAAGAAAGGGGTGACAGACGGCACCTGGAAAATTGGGTCACTCCCACCCTAATACTGCACTTTTCCAATGGTCTTAGCAAATGGCACACCAGGAGATTATATCCCGTGCATGGCTTGGAGGGTCCTACGCCCACGGAGCCTCATTCATTGCTAGCACAGCAGTCTGAGACCAAACTGCAAGGCAGCAACGAGGCTGGGGGAGGGGCGCCTGCCATTGCCGAGGCTTGAGTAGGTAAACAAAGTGGCTCAGAAGCTCGAACTGGGTGGAGCCAACCACAGCTCAAGGAGGCCTGCCTGCCTCTGTAGACTCCACGTCTGGGGCAGGGCATAGCCAAACAAAAGGCAGCAGAAACCTCTGCAGACTTAAATGTCCCTGTCTGAGAGCTTTGAAGAGAGTAGTGGTTCTCCAGCATGCAGCTGGAGATCTGAGAATGGACAGACTGCCTCCTCAAGTGGGTCCTTGACCCCCGAGTAGCCTAACTGGGAGGAACCTCCCAGTAGGGGCAGACTGACACCTCACATGGCCAGGTACTCCTCCGAGACAAAACTTCCAGAGGAAAAATCAGGCAGCAACATTTGCTGTTTACCAATATCTGCTGTTCTGCAGCCTCCACTGCTGATACCCAGGCAAACAGGGTCTGGAGTGGACCTCCGGCAAACTCCAACAGACCTGCAGCTGAGGGTCATGACTGTTAGAAGGAAAACTAACAAACAGAAAGGACATCCACACCAAAAACCCATCAGTACGTCATCATCATCAAAGACCAAAGGTAGATAAAACCACAAAGATGGGGAAAAAACAGAGCAGAAAAACGGGAAACTAAAAATCAGAGTGCCTCTCCTCCTCCAAAGGAATGCAGCTCCTCACTAGCAATGGAACAAAGCTGGATGGAGAATGACTTTGACGAGTTGAGAGAAGAAGGCTTCAGATGATCAAACTACTCCAAGCTAAAGGAGGAAGTTCAAACCCATGGCAAAGAAGTTAAAAACTTTGAAAAAAATTAGACGAATGGCTAACTAGAATAATCAATGCAGAGAAGTCCTTAAAGGACCCGATGGAGCTGAAAACCATGGCATGAGAACTGTGTGACGAATGCACAAGCCTCAGTAGCCAATTTGATCAACTGGAAGAAAGGGTATCAGTGATGGAAGATCAAAGGAGTGAAATGAAGTGAGAAGAGAAGTTTAAAGAAAAAAGAATAAAAAGAAATGAACAAAGCCTCCAAGAAATATGGGAGTATGTGAAAAGACCAAATCTACATCTGATTGGTGTACCTGAAAGTGACGGGGAGAATGGAACCAAGTTGGAAAACACTCTGCACGATATTATCCAGGAGAACTTCCCCAATCTAGCAAGGCAGGCCAACATTCAGATTCAGGAAATACAGAGAACGCCACAAAGATACTCCTCGAGAAGAGCAACTCCAAGACACATAATTGTCACATTCACCAAAGTTGAAATGAAGGAAAAAATGTTAAGGGCAGCCAGAGATAAAGGTCGGGTTACCCACAAAGGGAAGCACATCAGACTAACAGCTGATCTCTCGGCAGAAACTCTACAAGCCAGAAGAGAGTTGGGGCCAATATTCAACATTCTTAAAGAAAAGAATTTTCAACCCAGAATTTCATATCCAGCCAAACTAAGCTTCATAAGTGAAGGAGAAATAAAATCCTTTACAGAAAAGCAAATGCTGAGAGATTTTGTCACCACCAGGCATGCCCTAAAAGAGCTCCTGAAGCAAGCACTAAACATGGAAAGGAACAACCGGTACCAGCCACTGCAAAAACATGCCAAATACCCACTAGACATTTGAAGTTCTACAATGAACCCATCAGAGATGCAAAGAAAAGGGCCTCCACGGAGATGGTAACACCAGTCACATGGATGGATAATCCTATAGAAGTATATGTTAATGATAGCGTATGGGTACCTGGCCCCACAGATGATCGCTGCCCTGCCAAACCTGAGGAAGAAGGGATGATGATAAATATTTCCATTGGGTATTGTTATCCTCCTATTTGCCTAGTGAGAGCACCAGGATGTTTAATGCCTGCAGTCCAAAATTGGTTGGTAGAAGTACCTACTGTCAGTCCCATCAGTAGATTCACTTATCACATGGTAAGCGGGATGTCACTCAGGCCACGGGTAAATTATTTACAAGACTTTTCTTATCAAAGATCATTAAAATTTAGACCTAAAGGGAAACCTTGCCCCAAGGAAATTCCCAAAGAATCAAAAAATACAGAAGTTTTAGTTTGGGAAGAATGTGTGGCCAATAGTGCGGTGATATTACAAAACAATAAATTCGGAACTATTATAGATTGGGCACCTCGAGGTCAATTCTACCACAATTGCTCAGGACAAACTCAGTCATGTCCAAGTGCACAAGTGAGTCCAGCTGTTGATAGCGACTTAACAGAAAGTTTAGACAAACATAAGCATAAAAAATTGCAGTCTTTCTACCCTTGGGAATGGGGAGAAAAAGGAATCTCTACCCCAAGACCAAAAATAATAAGTCCTGTTTCTGGTCCTGAACATCCAGAATTATGGAGGCTTACTGTGGCCTCACACCACATTAGAATTTGGTCTGGAAATCAAACTTTAGAAACAAGAGATCGTAAGCCATTTTATACTATCGACCTAAATTCCAGTCTAACGGTTCCTTTACAAAGTTGCGTAAAGCCCCCTTATATGCTAGTTGTAGGAAATATAGTTATTAAACCATACTCCCAGACTATAACCTGTGAAAATTGTAGATTGTTTACTTGCATTGATTCAACTTTTAATTGGCAACACCGTATTCTGCTGGTGAGAGCAAGAGAGGGCGTGTGGATCCCTGTGTCCATGGACCGACCGTGGGAGGCCTTGCCATCCGTCCATATTTTGACTGAAGTATTAAAAGGTGTTTTAAATAGATCCAAAAGATTCATTTTTACTTTAATTGCAGTGATTATGGGATTAATTGCAGTCACAGCTACGGCTGCTGTAGCAGGAGTTGCATTGCACTCTTCTGTTCAGTCAGTAAACTTTGTTAATGATTGGCAAAAAAATTCTACAAGATTGTGGAATTCACAATCTAGTATTGATCAAAAATTGGCAAATCAAATTAATGATCTTAGACAAACTGTCATTTGGATGGGAGACAGACTCATGAGCTTAGAACATCGTTTCCAGTTACAGTGTGACTGGAATACGTCAGATTTTTGTATTACACCCCAAATTTATAATGAGTCTGAGCATCACTGGGACATGGTTAGACGCCATCTACAAGGAAGAGAAGATAATCTCACTTTAGACATTTCCAAATTAAAAGAACAAATTTTCGAAGCATCAAAAGCCCATTTAAATTTGGTGCCAGGCACTGAGGCAATTGCAGGAGTTGCTGATGGCCTCGCAAATCTTAACCCTGTCACTTGGGTTAAGACCATCGGAAGTACTACGATTATAAATCTCATATTAATCCTTGTGTGCCTGTTTTGTCTGTTGTTAGTCTGCAGGTGTACCCAACAGCTCTGAAGAGACAGCGACCATCGAGAACGGGCCATGACAACGATGGCGGTTTTGTGGAAAAGAAAAGGGGGAAATGTGGGGAAAAGCAAGAGAGATCAGATTGTCACTGTGTCTGTGTAGAAAGAAGTAGACATAGGAGACTCCATTTTGTTATGTACTAAGAAAAATTCTTCTGCCTTGAGATTCTGTGACCTTACCCCCAACCCAGTGCTCTCTGAAACATGTGCTGTGTCAACTCAGAGTTAAATGGATTAAGGGCGGTGCAAGACGTGCTTTGTTAAACAGATGCTTGAAGGCAGCATGCTCCTTAAGAGTCATCACCACTCCCTAATCTCAAGTACCCAGGGACACAAAAACTGCGGAAGGCCGCAGGGACCTCTGCCTAGGAAAGCCAGGTATTGTCCAAGGTTTCTCCCCATGTGATAGTCTGAAATATGGCCTCGTGGGAAGGGAAAGACCTGACCATCCCCCAGCCCGACACCCGTAAAGGGTCTGTGCTGAGGAGGATTAGTAAGAGGAAGGAATGCCTCTTGCAGTTGAGACAAGAGGAAGGCATCTGTCTCCTGCCCGTCCCTGGGCAATGGAATGTCTCAGTATAAAACCCGATTGTATGCTCCATCGACTGAGATAGGGAAAAGCCGCCTTAGGGCTGGAGGTGGGACCTGCGGGCAGCAATACTGCTTTGTAAAGCATTGAGATGTTTATGTGTATGCACATCTAAAAGCACAGCACTTAATCCTTTACATTGTCTATGATGCAAAGACCTTTGTTCACGTGTTTGTCTGCTGACCCTCTCCCCACAATTGTCTTGTGACCCTGACACATCCCCCTCTTCGAGAAACACCCACGAATGATCAATAAATACTAAGGGAACTCAGAGGCTGGCGGGATCCTCCATATGCTGAACGCTGGTTCCCCGGGTCCCCTTATTTCTTTCTCTATACTTTGTCTCTGTGTCTTTTTCTTTTCCAAATCTCTCATCCCACCTTACGAGAAACACCCACAGGTGTGGAGGGGCAACCCACCCCTGCACTGAGGCAGGAGAATAGCTTGAGCCCAGGACGTGGAGGTTGCAGTGAGCCAAGACCACACCACTGCACTCCAGGCTGGGTGACAGAGCAAAACTTTGTTTCAGAAAAAAAAAAAAAAGGTGTTTCACTTTTCTTCCCTTTTTATCTTTTTTGCAGCTAGTTCTTAGATATACTCCAGCCCAGCTTATTTATCGTAAGCTTCAGGCAGCTTACTCTTTCCCCCAACCCCTCCCATCTCTCCTTTCCCATGTGATTTCATCTTTCCTTGGTAATGGTGTTTTGACTGGGCTTTTGTATAATGCTAAGTCACCATGAGACAGAATATTTCTCTCCTTATTTTTTTCAGGTGCTTTTGTTTCCTGAGCTGTTTTTGTAAGTGTGTGTGTTCCTGGTTTTGCTTCTAGTTGGCAAATAGGCCCAGTATTCAGGGAGAAGACTGGATACCATGGTGTGTCAATTGGTCTTTAAAAGAAATAAGCAAAAGTTGATCACATGCTGAATCTGAGGGCCAATGCAGAGCTGCCTCCCAAAAGGTCAATCAATTTCAACTAAGGAGATTAAAGTCCCGAGTGCAGAGAAGCTCGGTCACGTGTTTCTGGATGCCTGCCTCCTCCAGCAGCCTGACAGCAGGCAATGGAGTCCAGAGTGCTGGACTGAGCCCCTTGGGTCAATGTCAAGATGATAAAAAATAAGGAGAGGATACAAAAGGAAAAGCTAGCTGATGGGACTCAGTGATTCCTCATGGGGCTGTACTAGCAGCGTGGGCAGACCTTCCTTCTGCAGGACTGACTTGCTCAGTGTAGGATGTTTGGCAGTGCTGTCCTCAACCCCATCAAATATGAGTGGCTCTGGATCCAAGCCACTGTGCAGACCAAACCAAACCCAACCCTAAACAAAAGTGACGCCCCTGCACATTTCCTAGTGGACAGGTTCACCCTTGGTACCCAACAGCCCCACCTCTCATTTGCTCTCTAGGTGGAGAGGAGGCCTTGTGTGCCTCCCAGGTGGAGAACTAATTTGCCTTGTCCAGACCCTCCTCACAGGATTCTAGGGTTCCATGTTCCCTGACTGCCAGGGGCTTTGTAGAGCCTCAGCCACCGAGGGGCAAGGTCAGATGTGGCAGAGGAGGGAGAGGGGCAGACTGGCAAGGCCTGGCTGAGACTGAGGTGGAGAAGAGGGGCTTTGGCATCATATAGACCCAGGGCTGGACCTATCTCTGACTCTTACGGGCTCTGCATTGGCCCTGAGCTTCAGCATGTGATCTCCTTCTGCTTATTTCTTTGTAAGACAGTTTGGTATACGAGGTATCCAGTCTGAGCCCAGACTGAAAGTGAGCTACACTTTTGAAGTTTCTAAAAAAGAAGCCACCACCCACCTCAAAGGGGTTATGCCAAGCTCACAGGAGGTGGTGTGTGTACATAAAGTGCACAATAGTCCCTAGCCAGCCCTCTACTGCAGGCAGCTATCCAGTGACACCGGACAGGCAGATGGGGGCAAAAATCCCACTCAGCTCCCTGGATGTGTGGTCTGAATGTTTGTGTGCCCTCAAAATTTATGTGGTAAAATCTTAACCCCTGAGGTGATGGTATTAGGAGATAGGGTCTCTGGGAAGTGATTAGGTCACGAGGGTGGAGGTTTCGTGAATTGAATTAGTGCCCTTATAAAAGAGGCCCAAGGGAACCCTCTCACCCCTCCCACCATTCGAGGACACAGCATAAAGGCGCTGTCTATGAACCGGAAAGCACACCCTCACCAGACACCAAATCTGCCTTGATCTTGGACTTTCCAGCCACTAGAACTATTCACTTTCTGTGTTGAGAAGCCACCCAGTGTATGGTGTTTTGCTATAGTAGCCCTAAGATGCCAGAGCTGGTGATTTGTTTTAGAAGCTGACAAATCAATGTATTTTGGGGTTCAGTGGACATGCCCTGGCAACCATGAATGCTGTGCAAATGTCAGGTCTGTGGGATAGCACAGAGGCAGGAGTCAAACAGGGCCAGGGAGAAGGGTTGTGCAGGGAGGCAGGAGGGACTGAGCTGGGCCTTCACACTGGGTCTGGTTGGTCCCTGAAGGCAGGAAGGAGTAGGAGCATTTCAGGAAGGGGAGTAGCATGTGGCTGGTGGAAACCACAGGTATTTGTTGGGCAGGAAAGTTAAGTGGGCTGGGATGAAAGCCAGTCGGACAGAGGCCTGTGGATGTTAACAACGGCAAAGACTCACTCAGGCTTCCCAGGCAAATGGCAGGAGCCCAAAACCACAGTTCGCCTGGCCTTGAGGTGAGATCCTCTTTAGGGACCGACTGTTCATGCAGGGCCTCTTCCTTCTCTCTGCTGTCTTTTGGTTAGGATGGCCTCAAAAATGGAGTGGGAAGAGGGTGAGGCTCTACATGAGTCTATGCCAGGCCCTGGCTGCTTGTTTTGTTATCTAAAGCGGGGTTCCCCAACACCCGGGCCATGGACTGGTACTGGCCTGTGGCCTGTTAGGAACCGGGCTGCACAGCCAGAGGTGAGTGGCGGGCGGACGAGCAAGCAAAGCTTCATCTGTATTTACAGCTGCTCCCCATCATTCACATTATTGCCTGAGCTCTGCCTTCTCTCAGATCAGTGGCAGCATTAGATTCTCATAGGAGCACAAACCCTATTGTGAACTGCATATGCCAGGGATCTAGGTTGCATGCTCCTTATGAGAATTTAGTGCCTGATGATCCGTCACTATCTCCTGTCACCCCTGGATGGGACCATCTAGTTGCAGGAAAACAAGCTCAGGGTTCCCACAGATTCTATATTACGGTGAGTTATATAATTATTTCATTATATATTACAATGTAATCATAATAAAAATAAGGTGAACAATAAATGTAATGTGCTTGAATCATCCCGAAACCTTCCCTCACACCAGGTCAATGGAACAATTGTCTTCCATGAAACTGGTCCCTGGTGCCAAAAAGGTTGGGAACCATTTATCTAAAGGACAGGAGGGGCTGCTGTCAAAAGCACCTGCCTCAAGATCCAGAGGGTGGCAGAGCCCCAAACCCTCAGGGTAGGGAGGTTCATGCACTTGCCTGAGGTCACTGGGTGGTTAATGGCAGGGCTGGTTTCCTGCTGTCCAGTCAGGAGGTCCTTCTCCTATACCCCCAGCCTCATCCCTATTTCTTCCCAGATAATTGAGAAATGAATGGCCAGCGCTGCAGGCTTAGTTTTGTGGTAAACAGTTGGAACAGCCTGGTCACAGTGACTTATGCCTGTAATCTCACCATTTGAGGAGGCAGAGGTGGGTGGGTCACTTTAGGTCAGGAGTTTGAGACCACCCTGGCCAACATGGCAAAACCCCGTCTCTCATAAAAATACAAAAATTAGCTGGACATGGTGGCGTGCACCTGTAATCACAGCTGCTCGGGAGGCTGAGGCAGGAGAATTGCTTGAACCCAGGAGGCAGAGGTTGAAGAGAGCTGAGATCATACCACTGCACTCCAGCCTGGGCACCACAGCGAGACTCTGTCTCAAATAATAATAATAATAATAATAATAATAATAATAATAATAATAATTAAATGTAAGTCAAATGCATATGGAAGTCTTGAAATACATTCTTCACAAAGAAATATCCCAAAAAAAGTAGTTTAAAAACTGTTTCAGTAGAACACAGGCTAGAGAAGGAAAAATGACTTCTACCTAATGTAATAATAGTGAACACATACATAGCACTTACTGTATGCCAGGCACTGCTCTGAACACTCCCAAATGAACACATTTATTCCACAGAATAATCCTATGAGGCGGGCACTAGTATTATGATCTCCAGCTTACAGATGAGGAAATCAGCGGACAGAGGATTAAATGATTGGCCCAAGGTCACACCGCGAAAGCAGGGCTATGGCAGGTTGAGGCTGCAGTGAGCCAAGACTGTGCCACTGCACTCCAGCCTGAGTGACAGAGCCAGACCCTATCTCAAAAACAAACAAAAAACCCAAAGCCAGGGCTAAAAGCCAAATTGTCAACTTCCAGGCTACTTTCCATTTGACCATTCCAGAAAGCCCCTTACTAAGGGCGCAGTTGGTAGCTGAGGGGCTCACGTTGGACTTCCTGGTGGCTGGGCATCCCCTGTGTGGCTCTGGCAGCTGGAGAGAATCCCTGCATTTCCTGGGCTCCAGATTTTTCCATGTCATTTTATCTTCAGTCAGTGACTGAGACCTCTGCCTCAGCAAGGCTTCTCAAACTATCAGTGGTAAGGACCCAGGTTTTTATTTGCAGTGGGGTCTAATATGTGATGAGAAATGGAAATTTTTGTGTTAAAAAAACATACAAAATACAAGCTCGTTTCTTTTTTATTACTAAATTATTGCAACATAGCATTGCTCTGTTAAATGTGTGTGGATGCTCCTGAACACTTACTCTCACTTTCTGTGTTTGCCTCATTATGGAGCCAGAAGCAATATTTTGGGTCTCTATGAGTGGCACAGTTCTTTTTTTTCTTTCTTTCTTTTTCTTTTTCTTTTTCTTTCTTTCTTTTTTTTTTTTTTTTTTTTTTGTAGAGATGGGGGTCTCGCTATGTTGCTCAGGCTGGTCTCAAACTCCTGGCCTCTAGCTATCCTCCCCACTTGGCCTCCCAAAGCACTGGGATTATAGGCATAAACCACTGTGCCCTGTGAAAAGCAAGTCCCTGCCAGCCTCTGCAGTGACAGATTCTGTAATTTCCAGAGACAAAACGTCACAAGCACTAACCCGGCTACATCCTGGCTGGGCCTTTCCACATGGTTACCTTGGAGGGAGAGGAGCTCAGGGCCATCTGGTCACCTCTCTTGCATTGTGTAGCAGCAAAGCACAGGCCTTAGAAACTCAAGAGCAAATCCATTCCCCTCACTCATGAGCCGTGTGAACTCGGGGCAAGTTCCTAACCTGTCTGTGCTTCAGTTTCTCCATCTGGCAGACGGAGAGGACGATGTCTTCCACTCAGGGAGGCGGTGAAGGTGAGATGCAGTCATGCCTGGAAAGCACTTAGCACAGTGCCTCGTTACTCTCTGTTCCTCTTTGTCCACAAAAAGACTTGAGTTATGGCTGCTGGGAACAGGTGGGACTCTGGGGAGAGGGCAGCATGGCTGTGAGCCTTATAAGAACAACGTGGCCCTCTTGAACAAAATGTCAGAACAGGCGGTCTGGGTGAGCACAGCCTCCACAAGTCCACACATGAGTGAGGATTTCCCAGGAAAACCTTCCCTGGCCAGAGAATTGTCGAGAGAAAGGCAGGAGGTCAACTCAACCTCAGACCAATTGGCCAAGAAGGCTCCAATTTCACACCTTCCACTGAGATTTGCTGGGGAGGAAGCCTGGTGCTGTGCCTCCAGGGTATCTAGGACAGATGTGGGGTGTGTAAGCACCAAACAACTGGTTAGTCTGTGGTTTCTGGAGTTGGCACTGTTAGCTTCAGAGGCACCGTCTTGGTGTGTAGAGCTCAGCATCAGGACACCTTAGGCCTCTGAATCATCATCGGTAAGGCAGCTGCGATGGCCCAGGTATTAGTATGCTCAGATTGCAGTCACTTAAAGCAACAGAAATTTATTTTCTCACAGTTCTGGAGCCTGGAAATCCAGGTCAAGGTGTCCGCAGGGCTGGTCCTTCTGAGGGCTGTGGGGGAAGGGTCTGCTCTAGGCCTCTCTCCTGGGCTTGCAGATGGCTGTCTTTTCCCCATGGCTTCACAATTCTCTTCCCTCCATGTGTGTCTGTGTCAAAACCTTCCACCTGTAATTGGAACACCAGCTTTTAGAATTAAGAATAGGGCCCACTCTAATGTCTTCATTTTAACTTAATGATTTCTGCAAAAACCATATCTCCAAGCCCGCTTGCATTCTGAGGCACTGGGACTTGGGATTTCAATATATGAATTCTAGGAGATTGAGGGGGGCCCATAATTCAGTCTGTAACAGCCTCTGACCCTACTGGCTTCTGCAGAACCAAGCAAATTAGTCCTTAAGGCAGACCATCCAAAGGCTGATCAACAACAACAACAAACAAGCTTTCAGACCAACAAGAGAAGACAAGATTGCAGTGCCTTCATAATGATGTTGCTTTATTGATGCAATGTAAGGGAAACTACATTAGAATCTATTGATTCTCACTCTCTCTCTCTCTTTTTTTTTTTTTTTTGAGAGAGTCTTGTTCTGTCACCCAGGCTGGAGTGCAGTGGTACGATCTTGACTCATGCAACCTCCACCTCCTGGGTTCAAGTCATTCTTGTGCCTCAGCCTCCTGAGTAGGTGTCATGCCCAGCTGATTTTTGTATTTTTAGTAGAGATGGGGTTTCACCATGTTGGCCAGGCTGCTCTCGAACTCCTGGCCTCAAGTGATTGACCTGCCTTAGCCTTCCAAAGTGTTGGGATTACAGGTGTCAGCCACTGTGCTGGGCCTCTATTGATTGTCTTTGACATCAGCAGTAAAGTAAGAGATGAGCCTGGGATCCCCCAGATTCCTCCTGTCTTCAGTATGTTAAGGTTTAGCCTAGAACTGTGCTCAGCCTTCCCTGTGGCTGAATGTGGGACTTAGGGCAAGTCATATAATCTTTCCAAGCTGAAATGTATTGATAAAGCCCAGATAACAAAAATAACTTCTATTTATCTCCCTAGGTGTTCTGAGACTTAAGGCATGGTCGTAGCGATGACGCATTGCAGAACCAAATGAATTAGTCCTTAGGGTAGACCATCCAAAGGCCGATCAACAACAACAAAAAACAAGCTTTCAAACCAACAAGAGAAGACAAGATTGCCGTACCTTCATAACAACGTTGCTTTATTAATGCAATGCAAGAAAAACTACGTTAGAATCTAGTGATTCTCCTTGAGGTCTAATAATATGCTTTATTCAAACCTTATTCACAAACCACTTCCTCCACCGGTCTTTCACAGTAACTGAAATTGGCCAGTTACAAGCAGAATTGGACCTACTGTCCTTTGAAATCGCAGAAGCAGACATGTTTTAGAATATAAAAGACACTAATGTTTCTTTGGGAAACACGTCCTGTTTGGAAAAAAAAATCTCTCTTCTAAACAAAAATTGAAAGCATGCCTAACTTCAGATTTATGTGATTACAGAGTCTTTCTCAGGGCTAATCAGTTTTAGAACAGATTCCTATTGGCATCAGAGAGCCAATAAAAAATCCAAGAGAGAAGAAGTAACACAACAACTTAGAGAAACCAGGTTGTTCATTTGTTTAAATAGCATTGAGGCTGGACACGGTGGCTCATGTCTGTAATCTCAGCACTTTGGGAGGCTGAGGCGGGTGGATCACGAGGTCAGGAGATTGAGACCATCCTGGCTAACATGGTGAAACCCTGTCTCTACTAAAAAATACAAAAAATTAGCCGGGCGTGGTGGCGGGCACCTGTAGTCCCAGCTACTCCGGAGGCTGAGGCAGGAGAATGGCGTGAACCCGGGAGGCGGAGCTTCCAGTGAGCAGAGATTACACCACTGCACTCCAGCCTGGGCGACAGAGCAAGAATCCATCTCAAAAAAAAAAAAAAAAAAAAAATCGAATTCATATTTACACCGCTGAGTCAAATTATTTATACACACCCTGTAGGTTTTGCGTCTCCAGAATTTGTTAGCATTCAGAGGATAATAAACTGTATCTTGACATATTTGTGAAAAAATATGTAGATGACACCTGGTGGAGTTTATTGAAACTATTATTCAGGTGTAGAGCAAGATAAACTCAGCAGAAAGGAAGGAGGCCGGGTTTTTAGATGTCACAATGGATGGTTAAGAATTTCAGTTTTTGGGCAATGTTATAATACTCGAGTTATTTGCCTCTGGTCCTCATTTTCTCCATCTCTAGCATCGGTTGTGAACTCAGGGTTTTCTGTAAGTATTAAATGGAATAACACATGCTGAGAGATCTGTGTGGGCCCTCCCAGGGTTAAGAATCTAATAAATGGTAGCTCATATATCATCATTGTTACAGAGAATCTTTGCATGTTTATATTTTATCTTTGGAAAAGAATTAAATTCGTTGAAAAAAAGAGAGTAAGTCTCAGACCTCCTTAGCATGTGCTCTCTCTCAGTTCTAAGAAGGGATATTGCCTCCCTACGACCCCGCATGGAACTGGCGGGATGGAGGGGCTGGTTAGGAGGCAGGGTGAGGAAACATGCAGAGGTTTCACTTTTTGCATCTTTCCTGGGTAGCTGCAGCATTTGGCTTGATAACTTGTGAATTCCAAGATCAGAAGACCTACCTGAATTGAATTGCAAGTGCCCCAATCTTTCCAAATTCCATAATAATTTTTTTAAAAAATTAATTAATTAATTACTTTTTTTGAGACAGGGTCTCACTCTGTTGCCCAGGCTGGAGTACAGTGGCACAATGTTCACTCACTACAACTTCTGCCTCCCAGGTTCAAGGGATTCTCCTGTCTCAGCCTCCTGAGTAGTTGGGATTACAGGTGTGTGCCACCATGCCCAGCTAATTTTTGTATTTTTAGTGGAGACGGGGTTTCAACATGTTGGCCAGGCTGGTCTTGAACTCCTGACCTCAAGTCATCTGCCTGCATTGGCCTCCCAAAGTGCTGAGATTACAGGTGTGAGCTACTGCTCCTGGCTCATGGTAATAATTATAATAATATTATTATTCTTTTTTTCCCACATCACTGTGTCATATTATAGCACAGAAAACTAAAGTTGGACCAATGACCTTTGGCTAGAAGGAGCCCATTGGGATTCTGATGGTTATTGACTGCATTTGTATGTCCTCTGTAGATTCACTTGTTGAAATCCTAACCCCCAATGGGATGATATTAGAAGGTAGGGCCTTTGGGAGGTGATTAGGTCATGAGGGTAGGGCCCTTATGATGGGATTAGTGCCCTTATAAAAGAGACAGGAAAGGCTGGGTGAAGTGGCTCACACCTGTAATCCCAGCACTTTGGGAGGCCAAAGCAGTGGATCACTTGAGGTCAGGAGTTCAAGACCAGTCTGGCCAACATGATGAAACTCTGTCTCTACTAAAAATACAAAAGTTAGCCGGGCATGGTGATGCACGCCTGTCGTCCCAGCTCCTTGGAAGGCTGAGGCAGGAGAATTTCTGGAGTGTGGAAGGCAGAGGTTGCAGTAAGCCAAGATAGCGCCACTGTACTCCAGCCTGGGTGACAGAGTGAGTGAGACTCCGGGTCAAAAAAAAAAAAAAAAGGAAAGAGCTTGCTTCTCTCACTGCTCTCTACCATGTAAGGTCACAGTGAGAAGGCAGCTGTCTGCGAGCCAGGAACAGGGCCCTTGCCAGTAACCTGATCATGTTGGCACCCTGATCTCAGACTTCCAGCCTCCAGAAATATGAGAAATAAGTGTTCATTATTTAAGCCCCCCAGCCTATGGTAATTTGTTACAGCAACCTGGACTGACAAAAACAAAGATCATTCCAAAAAATAAGAGCTCTTTTTTGTTTTTTCTTCTGATTCCAGCTCTCAGGTACCACCACAGCAGATTATTTGGGCTCTCTAAACAACTAATCTGGGATCAAGAGAGATACAGATTTCCCATTTGTCTGTCTCCCTCCCTGAATGACAACTCTACATTTTATCTAATATCTGTGGGAAAAACATTCAGCAAAGGGAGAAGCCAGTCCACCAACATGCACAGGCAGCAATGGTCAGGAGAATCCACCTCACATCATGCAGCCCTCACCCTTTCTTGTCTGAAGATGATAATCATGCTGTCATTTATAGAGTGATTCTCTTAAGGGTCAGGTAGTGGTGGTAATTTGACGTATTTTATTTCTGAATCTCACAACACATTTTTAGGCAGTTATGGTTGCTCCCATTTTACAGATGAGGTAACCGAGGCCTGAGCATCACAGCTAATAAGTAGAAAAGCCAGGATTTGGGCTCCAGAGCCTGCATTTCAACAATTATTCTATTTTTACTACATGATTTTTGGGAAGGCACGTAAGCTTTTGGAGGATCAGTACCCTATTAAGCAAGACAGAGATAAAAATCCTATTTTGCAATAAGCACAGAGAAATATGTTCAGATCAGATAAATGCAAATTAAGGAATCCTTGCCAGAGTAATCAGGCAAGAGAAAGAAAGAAAGAAGGAAAGGACATCCAAATTGGAAAAGAAGTCAAACTATCTCTGTTTGCTGATGATATGATTGTATGCGTAAAAAACCCTAAAGACTCCTCCAAAAGACTTCTAGATTTGATAAATAAATTCAGTAAAGTCTTAGGTTACAAAATCAATGTATACAAATCAGTAGCACTGCTACTTATCAACGGCCAGGCTGAGAATCACATCAAGAACTCAATCTTTTTTATAATTGCTTCAACAAAACAAAACAAAACAAAAACAACCCTAGGAATATACTTAATCAAGAAGATGAAAGATCTCTACAAGGAGAACTACAAAATACTGCTGAACGAAATCGTAGATAACACAAATGGAAATACATCCCATGCTCATGGATTGGAAGAATCAATATCACGAAAATGACCATACTGCCCAGTGCCATCTACAGATTCAATGCAATTCCTATAAAAATACCAACTTTGTTTTTCACAGAATTAGAAAAAACAATCCTAAAATTCATATGGCACCAAAAAAGAGCACAAATAGTTCAAAGCAATCCTAAGTGAAATAACAAATCTGGAGGCATCATATTACTTTACAAATTATACTACAAGGATATAGTTACCAAAACAGCATAGTACTGGTATAAAAGTAGATATATAGACCAATGGAACAGAATGGATAACCCATAAATAAAGCCAAATACTTACAACTAACTGATCTTCAACAAATCATACAAAAACATAAATTAAGGAAAGGACACCCTATTCAATAAATGATGCTGGGAAAACTGGATAGCCACATATAGAAGAATAAGACCGGTTCCCTCTCTCTCACCATAATAAAAATCAACTCAAGATGGATTAAAGACTTGAATCTAAGACCTGAAACTATAAAAATTCTAGAAAAAAAAAACTAGGAAAAACTATTCTGGACATTGGCCTAGGCAAAGAATTTGTGCCTAAGACCCCAAAAGCAAATGTAATAAAAACAAAAATAAATACATGGGAACTAATTAAACTGAAAACCTTCAACACAGCAAAAGAAATAATCATCAGAGGAAACAGACGATTCACAGAATGGGGGAAAATATTTGCAAACTATATGTCTGACAGAGGACTAATATCCAGAATCTACAAGGAGCTCAAACAAATCAGCAAGAAAAAAACAAACAATGCCATCAAAAAGTAGGCAAATGACAGGAATAGACATTTCTCAAAAGAAGATATACAAATGGTCAACAATGAAAAAATGCACAACCTAACTAATCATCAGGGAGATGCAAATTAAAACCACAGTGAGAGATACCTCCTTACTCCAACCAGAATAGCAATTATTAAAGAGTCAAAAAGCAATAGATGCTGGTGTGGATACAGTTAAAAGGGAATGGTTATATCCTGCTGGCAGGAATGTAAATTAGTACAACCTCTATGGAAAACCGTATAGAGATTTCTCAAAGAACTACAAGCAGATCAACCATTTGATCCAGCAATCCCACTACTGGGTATGTACCCAAAGGAAAAGAAGTAATTCTATCAGAAGACACCTGTGCGCATATGTTTATTGCAGTACAATTCACAATTGCAAAGATATGGAATCAACATAAGTGCCCATCAAGCGATGAGTGGATAAAGAAAATGTAATATACATATGCCATAGATTACTACTCAGCCATAAAAAAGAAAGAAATAATGTCTTTTGCATCAACTTGGGTAGAGCTGAAGGCCATTATTCCAAGCGAAGGAACTTGGGATTGCAAAACCAAATGCCACATGTTGTCACTCATAAGTGGAAGCTAAGCTATGGGTATGCAAAGGCATATGCAATGGTATAATGGACATCAAAGACTCAGAAAGGAGGAGGGTGGGAGGGGGTGAGAGATTGAAAAACTACCTATTGGGTACAATGTACACTACTTGGGTGATGGGAACACTAAAATCTCAGACTTGACCACTGTACAATTCATCCATGTAACCAAAAACTACTTGTACTCCTAAAGCTACTGAAATCAGAAAGAAATGCAAATGAAAACCACAATGAGCTGTCACCTCACACCTGTTAGGATGGCTATTATCAAAAATATCAAATATAACAAGTGTAGCCAAGGATGCGGAGAAAGGGGCACCCTTGTCCACTGTTGGTGGGAATGTAAACTGGTACAGCCACTATGGAAAACAGTATGGAAGATTCCCCAAAACCTAAAAATAGAACATGATTCAGCAATTCCACTACTGGGTATACATCCAAAGGAATTGAAATCACTCTGTTGAAGAGATACCTGCACTCTCATGTTCATGGCCGCACTATTCACAGCAGCCAAGATGGGAAATCAAGTTAAGTGTCCATCAATGGATAAATTAAATGTGGCTTATATACACAATGGGGACATATTCATCTCTTAAAAAGAAGGAAATCCTATCATTTGTGACAAGACAGATGAGCCTGGAGGACACTATGCCAAGTAAAATAAGCCAGGTACAAAAAGACAAATACTGCGTTACCTCACTTCTTCTTTTTTTTTTTCTTTTTTTGAGACAGAGTTATGCTCTTGTCACCTAGGCTGGAGTGCAATGGCATGACCTCCACTCACTGCAACCTCTGCTTCCCGGGTTCAAGTGATTCTCCTGCCTCAGCCTCCTGAGTAGCTGGGATCACAGACATGTACCACCATGCCTGGCTAATTTTTGTATTTTTAGTACAGACGGGGTTTCACCATGTTGGCCAGGCTAGTCTCCAACTCCTGACCTCAGCTGATCCACCCGCCTCAGCTTCCCAAAGTGCTAGGATTACAGGCATGAGCCACCACGCCCAGCCCTGTGTGACCTCACTTCTATGGGAAACCTAAAAACATTGAACCCTTTGACCTAGAAAGTAGAATGGTGGTTACCAGGGGCTGGGAGTGGGGAGTGGTGGAGTAGGGAGGGAATCAGATATTGGTCAAAGGATACAAAGTTTCAGTTAGATAGAAAGAATAAGTTTTGGAGATCTATTGCACAACATGGTGACAGTTAAAAATAACGTATAGTATATTTCAAAATTGTTAAGAGAATGTATTTCAAATGTTCTCATCACAGAAAATGATGTGTGTGAGGTAATGAATAGGTGAATTAGCTAGATTTGATCATTCCATAATGTACACATACGTCAAAATGTCACATCATACCCCATAGTTATATACAATTATTTGTCAATTAAAGATAAAAATATGTAAAAATATATTTTTTAAAAAGATACTTAGCATTATTATCATCAGAGAGATGCAAATCACAACCACAATGAGATACCACTTCACACTCACTAGGACAGCTATAATAAAACAGACAATCACAAGTATTAGCAAGTGTGTGGAGACATCAGGTCCTTCATACGTTGCTGGTAGGAATGTAAAATGGTTCAAATTCTTTGGAAAACGGTGTTTCCTCAAAAAGTTCAACATAGGACAGGCGTGGTGGCCCACACCTGTGATCCCAGCAGTTTGGGAAGCTGAGGCAGGAGGATGGTCTGAACCCAGGGGGTTCAAGACTAGCCTGGGCAACATAGTCAGACTCAGTCTCTAAAAAAGAAAAAGTTAGCCAGGTGTGGTGGTATGTGTCTGTAGTCTCAACTACTCTGGAGGTTAAAGTGGGAGGATTGCTTGAACCCAGGAGGTCGAGGCTGCAGTGAGGTATGATTGTGCCACTGCATTCCAGCCTGGGTGACAGAGCAAGACCCTGTCTCAAAGAAAAAAAAAATTCAACATAAGAGTTACCATATGACCCAGCAATCCCACACCTAGCCATGTACTCAAGAGAACTGAACATATATGTCTGCACAAAACCTGGTACACAAGTGTTTAGAGCAGCATTATTTATAATAGCCCCAAAGTGGAAACAACTCAAAGGTCTATCGCCTGATAAATGGATAAATAAAATGCAGTCTATCCATGTAATGGAATATTATCTGGCAATAAGAAGCAATGAAGTTCTGATACCTGCTATAACATGGGTGAACCCTGAAAACATGCTGAGTGAAAGAGACCAGTCACAAAAGACCACACATTGTATGATTCCATTTATATGAAATGTCCAGAAGAGACCAATCCAAAGGGAGAGAAAGTAATTAGTGGTTGCCTCGGGCTGGGAATGGAGCAATGTTGGGGAGTGACTGCTCCTGGGTGCAGGGTTTCTTCTTGGGGTTATGAAAATGTTCTGGAATTAGAGGGTGATGATGGTTGTGCAACTTTGTGAATAAACTAAAAACCAGTGAATCGCACGCTTTAAAATAAAGTGGTGAATTTTATGATATATGAATTATATCTGAAAAAAATTTAATGAATGCTTAATGCAGAAAATAAGAAAAAAATGAAACAGAAATTGCAATTGCAGCATCCAGAGATAATCACTGCAAATGTTTTGACGTAGATTTCCAGACTCTTGTGTAAATCTATACATCTTTGGAAAATAAAGTGGGATCATATAGCCCATATGCTTTAGTGAAAGTTTTGTTTTTATATTACTAGTACTTTTCCTTTGCATTAAGAAATAGCCTCTCTAAGTATCAGTGGGTTTCACCTCTATGTCTTCTCAAATGTCTTGCCTTTCCACATTTCTCTGCCAAGCCATGCTCCTCTTCCCTACTCTCTTCTTCAGGAGAACTTTCCAAATTCATCTGATCCACCTCCCCTTGGCGCTTCTGCCTCCCCTCGGTGCCTCTGTCTCCCCTGAGCACCTGCCAGAGCTGCTAAGGAACCGAGGGGGAACTGAGGCCTTCCAGAACATCATGTTTGTGGGACTCAGGGTGGTTCTGCAGGGCAGAGTGAAGGTCAAGCCCAGCAGAGTTAGGTGGGCACGTACACTCCAGAGCATGCACACAAGGGGAGGAGAGAGCGAAGTCCAAGGAACACACAACTGGGCCCAAAAAAGATTTGGGGAAAGGTGCTGACAGGCAGATTATGTGGTCAGAGGTTCCGGTGTTGGGTCCTGGCTCTGCCTCTTCCTTGCCCTTAGTGGGCCTCAATTCCAACAGCTATAAAAGAGGGGACCGAGTATTAAACTTTTCCCAACAGCAACACCAACTGTCTGTGCTCCCAGACTTGACCTACCTCCAGAGGTTCACCTGGAGGACTGGCCCTTCCAGATGCTTCTGTCATGCCACCTAGATGCTTCCATCAGAAGGAAAGGGACAGTGAAGCCTTTACAAGGAAAACTGAATTTGCTCCAATTCACTGAGGGAGAGAGTTCCCACCTAATTATTACTACTTCCAAGTTACTCGTATCCCACTCAGGGCTCTGAGCTTGGGGCCTCACCCTGTCTTCCACATCTCCTTGGGCTGTCGTTCCCAAACTTGAATGTGCACCAGGATCACCTAGAGGGCATCATGAAACACACCAGCCCTGCTCCCAGAGCCTCTGAGCTCGTGGTCTGGGCTGGGGCTGGAGACGCTACATTTCTAGTATGTTTCCAGGTGACGCTGATGTTGCTGGTCTAGGGAATCCCATTTCGAGGAGCACCGTTCAAGAGCCTCACCTCTTTCCTGATCCCTCAGCCACCTGCAGCAAATGTCTCTCCAGTAAAGTGGGGGCTCCCAGTGATTTTGGTGGCTTTCACCATGCTGGGGATAGTTTGACTGCCATTTCAATTTCTCCTAATTCTTTTGGTGGATGGATGGATGATGGAGAGGGTAGGGGGTCGGGGGTGGGGATGAAGGAAAAAAAGGCACTAGAGCTTTATTAATAAGTGGTAGATTGAGAGGCCAAGGCAGGCGGATCACTTGAGGTCAGGAGTTTGAGAACAGCCTGGCCGACATGGTGAAACCCCATCTCTATTAAAAATACAAAAATTAGCCAGATGTGGTGGCGTGTGCCTGTAATTCCAGCTACTTGGTAGGCTGAGCCAGGAGAATCTCTTGAGCCAGAGAGGTGGAGGTTGCAGTGAGCCAAGATTGTGCCACTGCACTCCAGCCTGGGTGACAGAGAAATACCCTGTCTCAAAAAAAAAAAAAATGGTATAGCCAGTATTTATTTCCACACTGGTCATTCTGATCACAAAACTCCCTCTTGGAATCACTCTGCTAGGTTTCCTTGGAAACATTTTTTTTTCTTTTTGAGACAGAGTCTTGCTCTGTCACCAGGCTGGACTGCAGTGGCTCGATCTTGGCTCACTGCAACCTCTGCCTCCCGGGTTCCAGCAATTCTCCTGCCTTAGCCTCCTGAGTGTCTGGGACTACAGGCGTGCGCCACCACACCCAGCTAATTTTTATATTTTTAGAAGAGACGGGGCTTCACCATGTTGGCCAGGATGGTCTCGATCTCTTGACCTTGTGATCCACCTGCCTTGGCCTCCCAAAGTGCTGGGATTACAGGCGTGAGCCACTGCGCTCAGCCTGGTAACATTTTAATAGAGAACCAGCTGTTAGGTTGAAGAAACTACTTCCCAGCTGCTTTCTGGCAGTGTGTTAGGGACATTTCCAATGAGATGATCCAAATAACACACTTTAAACAAGGCTTGACATAGAACCAGTATACAACACATTTCCCTAGAAGTACATCCCACAGCATAGAGATCAGCAGTACAAGCTCTAGATCAGAAGGCCTGGGGTTGGATCCTGGCTCTGCTACTTGTTAACTATGTGACTTTGGGCAAGTTACTTAAACTCTCTGTAACTCAGTCTTCTCACCTGTGAAGTGGGGATGGGGATAATAGTACTCCTAGGCTTATAATGGATAATGCAATTGTTATCTGTAAAATACTTAAGGCAATGCCTGGCTCATAAGAACCATTTAATCAACATGTGCTATCATTCCTGGTTCAATGCTTTTGTGCAAACTGAAGTATAAACTGTAAAAGCAAATCACATGGGCTAGGTCCCCCCTGGGGTTATTCTGGTGCTTCTCTCCACTAATAAGGCTACTTGACAGGCAAAACAGATGCTAAGAATGTGAGTTGGAATCATACTCCCTAGGTTCAATCCTGGCTAAAAAACTCCTTCTTAGTTATGTGAGCTAAAAAGCTCCTTCTTAGTTATGTGAGCTAGAACAAGGTGCCTCACCTCTTTCATCTGTTAAGTGGGGACAGCAGTGGTATCTACTTCATAGGATGGTGTGATGGTTAACATTGAGTGTCAACTTGATTGGACTGAAGGATGCAAAGTATTGATCCTGAGTGTGTCTGTGAGGGTGCTGCCAAAGGAGATTAACATTTGAGTCCAGGGGCTGGGAAAGGCAGACCCACCCCTAATCTGGGTGGGCACCACCTAATCAGCTGCCAGCATAGCCAGAATATAAAGCAGGCAGAAAGATGTGAAAAGGCTAGACTGGCTTAGCCTCCCAGCCTACATCTTTCTCCCATGCTGGATGCTTCTTGCCCTTGACCATCAGACTCCAAGTTCTTCAGTTTTGAGACTCGAAATGGCCTTCCTTGCTCCTCAGCTTGCAGATGGCCTATTGTGGGACCTTGTGATCATGTGTGAGTTTATACTTAATAAACTCATATATATATATATATATACACACACACACACACACACACACACACATATATATATATCCATTCTATTAGTTCTGTCCCTCTAGAGAACCCTGACTAATACAGGTGGTTTTGAGGATGCCCTGAGTTCAACTGCAGGAATGAAACTTAAGAACAGTGCCCAGTGGCTGGGCGTGGTGGCTGACGCCTGTAGTCCCAATACTTTGGGAAGCCAAAGCGAGTGGGTCACCTGAAGTTGGGAGTTTGAGACCAACCTGACCAACATGGAGAAACCCCATCTCTACTAAAAATACAAAATTAGCCAGGTGTGGGGGTGCATGCCTGTAATCCCAGCTACTTGGGAGGCTGAGGCAGGAGAATTGCTTGAACTCGGGAGGCAGAGGTTGCGGTGAGCCAAGATCGTGCCATTGCACTATAGCCTGGGCAACAAGAGCAAAAAAAAAAAAAAAAAAAAAAAAAAACAAAACAAAACAAAACAAAAAAAACAGTGCCCAGCATGCACTGCAAGTCCAATATGTGTTTGACAGTATGCAGAGGGAATCAGCACTACACATGGCTTGAGAGTCACAAATCTGTTTCTCCAAAGCACATCACCTGCCAGGTCTGTGTAAAACTGCATAGATCAGGAAGAAGCATATGAGAGCACAATTGTGGCCTGAACTCATCAGGTTCTTGGACTTATTTGTTTACAACAACCCACCCCATATTTTATTTTTCTTAGGTAGTCTTTCTCTCCAAATTCCAAAGGCCTTGGCAGTATTGTTTTTTGAACTGATGTGTGAAATGCACTTACACCTCAGATGGGTTTCTTCTTGGTTAGCAACTAATGCATTTTTTATAAAGCTCTATCTCCAGTTTCCTTTCAAACTACAGAGAGGATATCCTTTTCCTGTTAAGTTGTAGAATGATTTTTTTTTCCTTCAAAGTAAAGCATTAACCTCCAGAGTTCTGTGAATAGGTTTCATGTACATATTATGGTAGTTAACAAGGAGCTGGAAGCTGAAGTTTTCATTGGAGTTTATGTGATACATGAGAAACCTGTTATCATATTTCAAGATATTTCAGGTTTTCATAACAGTATCCAAGCAGAAAGCATTACATATATACTGATACATATACCACTGAGTTTTTTCCTTTACCTTTTTTTTAGTAAATGATATGTGTTCATTTTAGAAAACTTAAAACATGTATTTTTTAAAAGTCACATGTAGTTCTACCAGCCAGAGATAACCACTGTTAACAACTTCCTTCTTTTTTCTGTACATGTTTGTAAATACACCTCTTAAAATGTGGTCATGCGGCTGGGCATGGCGGCTCATGCCTGAAATCCCAACAGCACTTTGGGAGGCCAAGTCAGGCAGATCACAAGGTCAGGAGTTCGAGACCAGCCTGGCCAATGTGGTGAAAACCTGTTTATACTAAAAATACACACACACACAAAAACCAAACACACACACAACACTCATATACATAGACTATTGAGAGTATAAAGCAACCACACAATGAAGTCTGCATAATAACCACCTAACAACAAAATGGCAGCATCAAATCCACACATATCAACATTAAACTTATATAAACAGGCTAAATGCCCCCCAGTTAAAAGGCAGAGTAGCAACTTGGGTAAAGAAGCAAGATCCAACTATAACTTCAAGAGACCCATCTCAAATGCAATAACATCCATAGGCTTGAAATAAAGGGATGGAGAAAAATCTACCAAGCAAAAGGAAAACTAATAAAGCAGGGGTTGCTATTCAAATTTCAGTCAGAACAGACTTCAAACCAACAAAGAACAAAAAAGTCAAGGAAATTACATAATGAAAAAAAACCTATCCTTAATATATATGCACCCAATACAGGAGAACCCAGATTTATAAAGCAAGATCTTACAGCCTTATGAAGAGACTTAGATAATCACACAAAAATAGTGGGGGACTTCAATACCCCATTGACAATATTAGATCATCCAGAAAGAAAGCTAACAAAGATATTTGGGACCTTAACACCTACCTAATGGTCCTAATAGACTTCTAGAGAGCTCCCCACCCCAAAATAACAGAATATACCTTCTTCTCATCTGCACATGGCACATAATCTAAAATTGAACAGACATTCAGTCATAAAACAATCCTTAGCAAATTTTTAGAAACCAAAAGCATACCAAACACATTTTGAAAACATAGTGCAATAAAAATAGAGATGAATACTAAGAAAATCTCTAAAAACAATACCATTACATGGAAATTAAACAACCTGCTCCTGAATGACTTTAGGGTAAAGAATAAGATTAAGGAATAAATCTAGAAAATCTTTGAAAATAATGGGAAATAATTTGAAAGAATAAATAAGATTAATAGACTGCTAGTTAGACCAATGAAAAAATCCAAAAGATTCAAAAGAGAAGATCTAAATAAACACAATAAGAAATGACAAAGGGGACATTACTACCTACCCCACAGTAATACAAAACTTCTGAGATTTAAACACACACACACACACACACACACACACACACACTCTATGCAAACACAAACTAGAAAATATAGAAGAATTGAATAAATTTCCTGCAAACTGACAACCTCCCAAGATTGAACTAGGAAGAAATTGAATTCCTTAACAGACTTACAATGAGTTGTGATATTGAATCAGTAATAAAAAGCCTACCAACTAGAAAAAGCCCAAGACCAGATGAATTCATAATCAAATTTTACCAGTTGTATAAAGAAGACCTAGTAAGATTCCTACTAAAACTATTTCAAAAAATTGACTAAGAGTGTTGGGTCCCTAGTTCTGTGGAAAATTCAAGCAGGATAGTCAAGCAGACCTGTGGAGGGGGTCCATAATACCTGATTTAAAACTCATGAGAGATCTCAAGCCATAACTCTACAGCCAAGTTGCTCTCAAATTTCTGACCCATAGAAACCATGACAGACAATAAAATTATTTAACCAAGCTATTAAATTTTAGGGAAATCTGTTATAAACTCTTATAGCTCCACCCTCACTACTTAATCACCTACCAAATACCCCACCTCCAAATGCCATCACACTGGGCGTTAGGTTTCAACATATGAATTTTGGGGGAAGGGCATAAACATTCATCCTATAGCACAATAAACTCATGTCAATATAAAAGCATTAAGAGAAAGGAGATTTTATGTATTTTGTGATTCACATATTGACTTAACAACATATGTCAAGCAAAAGTGTACAGAAATACTACAAGTTAAGATGAACATTTTATAACACTTTATAAAATAAGTATGTTGTTTAATAAGACTGTCATATTTCTCTTTAAACTGCCTTCACATATTTTTCACTTATCCCATTTTTCTTAAAAATTATATTAATTATTTAGTGTGATTGTTCTAATGGGTGTTCAGAACCAATTCATTATATTTATTATATTTCAATTTATAGAAACAAAAATCTTAGGATGATGAGTTTAGGATAAACCCTCAGCAAATAAGCTTCTACTTCCAAGTGTAAACTAAGGAGTGGTGTCCCCTCGCCCTTTTTCCAGTCTTCTTCTGGTTTCAGTTGCTTCTCACCATTGCTGTGTGTCATCATGAGTACTGGCATTATCATCATCTTCCCTAACAGATATTGTTCCGATTTTTCTGTATGAACAAACTTGCATAAAGCACAAATGATTTTATTTGTTAAAAGTACAAGTAATCTCTTTAACCTTTGATTGACTCTTTTTCTAATTAATATTATTGACAGTATGCTTCTTAAAATGAAATAATTTTCCTAATTTATCTTTCACTTTTTGATGAAGTGGAGTAATTCAAGTAAAAATTGGAACTATTTATCCACAAGGATAATGAGATGCCCAGAAATGTGTCTTTAAAGTATTTACCATAGAGCAACATGAATGTCAAAATGCCGTCTGTTAGTGAGTCATTGTTTTTTTAAAAGATTAGTGATGGCTTTGTAGTCTTTCCGGGAATACTCTGAAATACCGGTTACGGATAGCTCTTTGTAATTTGAAAAACATAAAACAGTAATAAATTAACAGCTAGAATTCTAAAATATATTACATAGAGAAAGAAGGAGAATTAAATGAAGCGATGTCTCACATATTCAGCATTTTGGGGAAACTCATACAAGTGAATTTTCCAGGATGAATACGTATATTTTTTGAAGTAATCAGATTTAAAGAATTGTAACTGTTGGTTTATTTTTCTTTGCTTCTTAAACATTATACACTAAAATCATGTCAGAAGTATACCATATTCTAATATAAAATAGTTCCATCTTTAGTGAAGGTCAATCTCCTGACAGTGTGACTATTTAATAAAGGTAGAGATATGTGATCGCTGCTTCCAATTTGCCTTGAATGAGAAATTTCCCGTATCATTGGAATTCAGCATAAACGGAGAGTCACCATGCTCTGAATGATGGTCTGAAGGCAGGGATGCTGGAGCATAAGGTAGAATTTTGCTATAATATTGGATGTATTAAAATATATATCTTTTGATTTATATTTATTACATAAACAATTCTAGCAACCTCATTTCTTATCTTCCCTTCTGTTAACTCAGAGACGTCCCCTGTTTATTTTTTTTTCTTGGTAGTTTTCTGAGCTGTTCAATCTTTCAGACAACCAGCTTGTGTCTGAACATATGTATGTGTGTGTGACGCATGCACATGTCACAGAGTGAGCTGTTGTGTGTGCATATGTGTGCGTGTAGATGGTTGAGAGGCACCAATGACAGGCTGTCTGGGTGCAAGCAGGCCAAGCCCCACTCCTCAAGATGGAGGAGGAGCTGCTGCTCCCGGTGGGGACTCCCCAGTAGGCCACTGGGGGAAGCCCCACGACCCAGACAGCAGGTGGAGAGCAGCAGCTGGCCGGAGATCGACTTCAGCGAGAAACTGTGCGGAGCTCCAGCAGCTGGACTTCCTGGAGCAGAAGAGCCGCTGAACCCCGCCCCTGCTGATCTCACTGCACACAGCCTAGGGCCCCACCCGCCGAGGACTCCAGAACCTTCTCCTACCAGCTCGCCCAGAGACCAAGCCAAGAGAGTGGTCTCTGAGGAGCCCGCTAGAAAGGCAAGGCGAGGCCCGCAGAGAAGGATGCCAAGCCTGTAGAAGCAGAGACGTCGGGGATGGGGGACCTGCCCTGGGCGCCGCCAGAGGCCCAAGCGCCCAGCACCGCAGGAGCTGGAGACGTCGCTGAGCACCAGGTGGCGCCGGCGCGGTTCCTACAGGGAGCCTGGAGGCAGGCTGCGGGGTGGCTGTGCCGGGAGACTGGAGCGGCTCCTGGCTCCGCGCAGGCAGGGCCCCCAGAGACAGCTCATGCAGCAGATCCGCAGCCCCGGGGCCCTCAGGCACCGCCGCGGCTGCCGCCCTCGCTCAGTCCCGAGCGCGTCCACCCTGGCCAGCCAGCTGCCCCCGCTGAACCTGCGCCGGGCGCTCCGGCTCTCCGTTCGGGCCCCAGCCAACCCCGCGGGCTCAGGCTCCCAGTTCCTGTCCCAGCCTGCGCCGGCTCCAGCGCCCCCGGCTCTCCAGCTGCTCTTCCCGACTCCTATCCTTGGCCGCCCCCAGCGCGGAACCGACCCGCGACCCTACCGCCAACATCGCGGGTCTCGCCTCTCGCAGCCTTTTTGGCGTCCGCGCCTCAGCGTTGAAGCCAGGGCCCCTCGTGAGCTCGGCGCCCAGCCTGTCAAGTCCTCTTCTGCCTCAGCTCTCACAGCAGTGTCTTCCCCGCCTGCTGGTCGGCATCGCGCCACAGCCAATGTCTCCTGTTGCTGTCCGCCCCCGCGAAGCGCTGCAAGGGCCAGCGCCCAACCTGTCGCTGCGGAAGACCGGGGCATAGAACCTGTCCTGGTGCTGGGCAAGCGCTTCCGCCCCAAGTCCCCGACCTGGGCAACCTGGAGGAGCCCAGGGAATAGCGCTCAGGACCCAGAGGCTGGACAGCCAGCCCGCCCGCCCGTCCCTGGCCACGAGGCGCCCCGGACCTGACCACCGCCCCCGCCACCTCCGCCGGTGGGCAAGGAGGGTCCCCTTTCAGCCTGCAGTTCCTCAGCAGAGAGGAGGGCCCTCCGCAGGCCCGCGCCCGGTCCCACACTGGGGAGAAGCCGTTCAGCGGCGCCATCTGCGGTAGGGCCTTCACCACTAAGGGCAACCTCCAGGTACACTTGGCACTCACATGTGGAATAACCACCCTCACAACCTCCCCCAAGGCGAGCTGCCGCGGTGGAACAGTCCATGGCTCTGCTAGGGGATGATGGCCTGAAGTTCTCTGAAATATTCCGGAAGGATCTGACAGCCCAAATAATGAATGGCGACCCCAATATTTGGAACCAGGAAGCTGCAGCTCACCCCCAGGAGCTTCCCATAAAGAACAATGAGATTTCCATCATTCAGAACAGAGGCTTTTCCCAGATCCCAGGAAGTTTTGGCTGCTGCACCATCCCTCTGGGTACCCTGGGGTGCAAAGAGCGCAAAATAGCCCTCCCATTGTCAGTCTGGACAACGCACCTCAGCAGCCTGCATAGCAGGCAGCGTCCATTCGCCAGGTTACCCAGGAGAACAAGGAGATGGTCTAAACTAGCTCAACACACGGGACTCGCGTCCTTCAACAGTGAGTCTGACTGTTCTTGAGAACTCTGCAACCTTTTAAGTGAAAAAAAAAGGTGATTGCAAAACGGCCTCAGGAACAGAAAGAGCCCAGGCAATCCTCACTTCTTTTCTACTAAAACCCAGTAATCCCTAGAGGGAGAAAGGGCGTCTCCTGCAGTATTCCACTGAAACTCGCTGGTTTTGCTCGAATTAGACACTTGAACTATGTTTTTAGAACTCTTCATCTTAAAAGAAGTGGTTTAGTAGTCCAAATGCTGTGTATTATGACAGTGTCTTCCTCTGACGTATTTATAATGTTAAGATTATGTGGGCAACAGACAATATAATAACCCTAACCTTAAATGAAGTTTATCTACTTCTGAATAAATCTGGCTAGGTAAATTTTTTTAAGCAAGATTTGTTTTACTATAAATAAGTGGATTATTTCAATGCAATGTGAAGTTCTATTGGGAAAGAGAGAATGCTTTGTGTGTACAAGTACCTGTCGGTAAGAAGCTTTTTTTTAAAATTTAAATGTTTGTAGCCACTATGTGGACAGTTATTTTCTAGTGTGGTCTGTAGCCCAATGACTGGGGAACAAGTTACAGACAAAATATCATAAATTATTGACAATATTATAAGCAGTTGTGAGTAAATATTTTACATTATTAAAGCTGTGCAATAATAAGATAGTGTTTCCGGGCGGGCACGGTGGCTCACATGTATAATCTCAGCACTTTGGGAGGCTGAGGCAGGCGGGTCACCTGAAGTCAGGAGTTGGAGACCAGCCTGGTCAACATGGCGAAACCCCGTCTCTACTAAAAATACAAAAAAAGCCGGGCGTGGTGGCAGGTGCCTGTAATCCCAGCTACTCTGGAAGCTGAGGCATGAGAATCTCTTGAACCTGGGAGGCAGAGGTTGCAGATCAGGCCACTGCATTCCAGCTTGGGGGATAAAGTGAGACTCTCCAAAAAAAAAAAAAAAAAAAAAGAAAAAAAAAAGATGGTGTTTCTATAATGTGATTGCAAACTTTTAATGTATGCGATTGGACTTTCTGTATTTTGTATTAGAAAGGTTTGTTTATAATTTGAACATTTAAAATTATGTAAAGTATTTCATGAATCATACTCTAAGGAAAATGAAAAAACCAATGTTTTGTTTGTCTTAAGATCAAACAATGTTAGAAATCTATGCTACTTTAACAGAAGAGCCACCAAAACTTGTTAGCTCCTCAATACAATAGGAGCTGCTGTTTCTTAAAATGATTTAACTTTTCTACAAAGCCCATTTAAAAACTGTGATCATCCCTAATGAAACTTTGATGAATTAATCTTAGGACTGTGACATCAGTAGAGCCAGGAAGGAACTAGGAAAACACTGTTAAATTTTACTGTAAGCGGGTCTGTCTCTCTCTCACATTCCCACAGACAAGATTGTGACTGTCTGGTAGCACTGGTCATTTGGACAGTTAATCTGAGAAAAATAGCCAGTATCTGGCATCATAATCACTCATGGCTTTGACTTTTTCTGGTTTCCTGATTTATTTATTATCTTTTCAGATGAAAGCAAAACACAATGTCCTCTGATTATTCGGAACACAGTCTGATGCTGATGGCCTGTCCATTGTATCCAGTGAGAAAAGAGGCCAGGACACTGAGGCAGGCTGAATCAAAACTTGAACAGAAGTGTTGTGTGTATCACCTCATTTTCACGCATTTCAAGTGTGCTGGCACCTGACATTATAAACTTCCAACAACAGAATTGTTCAAGAGATGTTCAAGAGATGTTCTGAGTAGCTGAGTGACAGTGCAAGGAGGTGCATGGTTCCTGAAGAAAGAATCAGACAGTGAAGTCTTCTCAGTTGAGACAAATAGAAAATCTCTTTCTCACATAACTACAGCGATAACAGAAAATATTGTAAGAGGATGAGCTATTTTTGCCAGTGCATCATTGAACAAAAAAGTTTCAAAGACTCATTAGCTGTTTACTTCTGTTGGAAATTAACGTTGAGCTCTAAAAGTTTTCCATAGTGTTGAGATGTAACTCCCCCATGTCATACCACATGTTGTTCCCCATCATAAGATGTTGTTCCCTCATCATAAGATGAGGGATTGAGGGTGTTGCAAGCATTGGGAAAAGAAAACTGAGGTGGCTTAATGTTGCTGTGTTTTAGCAGTTGAATGCTTTATTATTTATCTGGTTTTTTTTTGTATGATTTTTTTGGTTAGTATTTGGTACCATGTAGTGCTGTGTCTTCTCCCAAAAAGATGTGTATTTAGCTTAGGAAAGAAATGCAAAGTGTGGTTGATAAAATGGCTCATGAAAGTGCAGTGAGACTGACCCCATCCTGTATTCAGGGATAGGCCATCCCTCTCTGCCAGTGAAGAGAGACACTATCTTTATACCGTAATACCACGTAGAGCTAGGGCTTCCCTGATCCAGCTGGGGATTGTTACCTACACCCAATATTGTTTATTGTTAAATCTTGTGGCTTGAAATGTCTACTGATTGAAATGGATGTCTTGGTCTAGGTTACTATTTTTGACATATGTAACTGAAAAAAAAAGCAGGATGTATATTTTAATTTTTTAAAATTTACCATTTTATTTCACGTTATTGTACCAAGCTCATGAAATGTTTTACTATTTGTCAGAAAAGTGACATTATGGCACATGCATTCTAAGATTTAATACATTGTTTTTAGGGAGGTTGAAATACAGTATCCTGAATCTTAAATATTATAGAACTCTTAAACAATTTGGCTTAGCTGGAGAAGGCTGGGGTATATTTAAGAATGTTATGTGTTCTGCATTACTCCTTAAGAAACAGATTTTCAGGCTGGCTGTGGTGGCTCACACCCATAATCCCAACACTTTGGGAGGCCGAGGCAGGAGGATTGCTTGAGGCCAGGAGTTCGAGACCAGCTTAGGCAACAGAGCAAGACCTGATCTCTATAAAAAAATAAAATAAAAAAAGAAACACGCTTTTGAGATAATAGTGATAACACCTGACTCTGTTACATATCACACTAAGACTAATTGAAGATAAGGAAAATTGGTTCTTGAGATAACAGAGACAAAGTAGACAGAACACATTGATTTCTGATGTAACACATAGTCAGTGTTTGAGGAAACTGTTTATAGAAAGTGAAGCCAAAGTACTTTATTTTACCAAGGTAACTTTTAATAACCCAACTGTTGGATGAATAAAGCTTTTTGAAAAATTCGAAGCAAATGTTACTCATCATTTGGAGTCTGGATGTCCCAGTTCACAGGGTTACTTCTGAAATGTAGAACACATGCAGCCTTCTGATCAAAGGAGAGTGAGGGGACTGCTCCTGCCAGGGCCCAGTTCAGCCGCAGGACCCCATGGCGGCCCATGGTCTTGGTCCATGCTGTGGGAGCAGTACAGGATTTATTCACTCAATAAACATTCACTAGGGGCTTACCATGCCGTGGATCCTAGGAGTCTGCAGAACACATCCAGCTGAAACCCTCTTCTGCGGTAGACCTTCAGTTATTCAAATACTACTCTCATTTTTTCACTGAAATGTTGTCAGTCATTCTCAGGATAAACATCACTTGTTTCTTTAACCAGTCCTCACTTATTGTGGTTTTCAGTTCCTTCATAATCCAGCAGTCATGGAAGGAAATGGGAGAAGGTGGGAGAGGGCTTTCCAGTTACTGAATGGAAGTTGGGCTTCCAGTACCAAGGACTTTGGGAAGCAGGCCATACCCTTTCAAGGAGTGCGTTATGAATGCAGTAATTCACACAAGTATTAGACATTACAACATATATGGACTGTAAGTTTTTGTGGCTAGAGGATTCACTGGTATATTCACGGGGAAGTGAATGCTTTTGTGAGTGAGTTTCTTATCCTGCAGAAACGCTTTGGGACCACATCAGGCTGCATCACATTGACTGTCTCATGTTGTTTCTCAAAATAGTCATAGATTCCATGTGGTTAAATCACCCATTTTAAAAGCAAAGCCAAATTTATTTCCTACGACCATATTTGACCATATGGTCATAATTCCTATGACCAATATGACTATATTATTTCCACATTTCCTGTGACCACAGGAACACCTCAGGGCATCACTAGACAAGTAAATTATGGTTTTGACAAGTATCCACTGATACAGAATCATTGAATGGTAGAGCTGGTCAGGGCTTTAAAAAGTCATCTATTCCAATGCTGGTTATTTGCAAAGAAAGGGCTGAGAATCACAGTGATTATATAACCTGCCCACAGTCACAACAGTAGTTAAGTAACCACACTGGGACTCGTAACTCCATATCTTGAATTCTAGACCAGAGCTCTCTATCCTAAAGCAATGTTAGAGGTACTCTTTTTAATTATACTAATAAAAAGTAATTTTTTATGCAGACTGGCTCTCACTGTGTTGGCCAGCCTGGACTCGAATTCCTGGCCCTAAGTGATTCACTCACTTTGGCCTTCCAAATTGCTAGGATTACAGGAAAGAACCACCCCACACCTGACCTTTGGAGGGACTCTGGCTTTGTGTGTTTGGGCTAGCCTTCCTGTGTAGTCAGTAAGATGTTCCTGCAGTGTACTTTGGGATCTTTCTGCACAAATTCAGTAGACAGTGTGATTTTTTTTCATATAATAAATGTATTGCAAATAAATTTGCAATAAATAAACTAGACAATTAATTCACAGTTAGTAACCTACGGCCTAGAAAATTTCATTTCTTTATCCACACATGTTTGTAAGGAGATGATTGAAGAAGTAGTCTAAATATGCAGATTCCTAATCATCCCCAGGAAGAATGGAACCACTGAAAGGCAACCTGGGAGGGTGTGTGGGGTTGTTCTGAGGTTGTGAAAGCCACTGAAATTCACACATAAGGGGATAGTAAAAGGGAATCCACATCTTTTGAGTACCTTCATGTGCTGGGTATAACTTGGTCTTCGTTAAGATGATGCACCACCTTTGGAGTCAGACAGAACTGGATTGAATCCCAGTTCCATCGCTTATTACTACATGATCGTGAATGTGTTTTTAGCTCATCTGAGTCTCAGTTTTCTCACCTTTAAAAATGGGCTTGTTATGAGGCTTACGTATGGTACATATGTAAAAATCTAGACACAATGCCTGTAATTTTGTAAGCATTCAATATATGGAAGGAGCAGTATTATATTTCCCTCATTTAATCTTTAGAGCAAGTTTATAAAATTTGTGTTATTATTCATATTTTTTAGATAAACCGAGGATGAGAAAGATTACATAAATCACTCCAGCCTGGGCGAGAGTGAGGCCCTATCATATATATATATCCTATATATAGCTATATATAGATAGTTTTAAGATAACAGATAAAATAAAAATGTCTCCAAAATTTAGAAATTTGTTTCGAATTAATCAGTGCCCCTGGCAGATCATTTAAGTTAAAATTTTTCTTCTGATACTTGCTTTAGTTGTCTACAAATTCATGCCCTTATACTTGATCCTTCTACATAAGCAGAAGTCTAATTCTAGGCATTGTTCTTTGTCTGGAGCTATGCACCTAGTACATAATTAATTAAAAGTGCTTACCTGTCCGACTGCAGTGGGTCACGCCTGTAATCCCAGCACTTTGAGAGGCCAAGGCGGGTGGAGCACCTGAGGTCGGGAGTTCCAGACCAGCCTGACCAACACGGAGAAACTCCGTCTGTACTAAAAGTACAAAATGAGCTGGGCGTGGTGGCGCATGCCTGTAGTCCCAGCTACTCAGGAGGCTGAGGCAGGAGAATCGCTTGAACCCAGGAGGTGGAGGTTATGGTGAGCTGAGATCGCGCTATTGCACTCCAGCCTGGGCAACAAGAGCGACACTCCGTCCCCCCACCCCCCACCAAAAAAAAGCAATTATGATCACATTTAAAATCTTATTATGTGGTGGTTTTCTCTCCTCTCCTCTCCTCCCTTTCCCTCCTCTCCCCTCCCCTCCCCTCTCTTCTCTTCTTTTCTTTTCTTCTTTTTTTGAGACGTAGTCTTGCTCTGTCGCCCAGGCTGGAGTGCAATGGTGCGATCTCGGCTCACTGCAACCTCCGCCTCCCAGGTTCGGGCGATTCTCCTGCCTCAGCTCCAGAGTAGCTGGAACTACATGCGCGTGCCACCACACCCGGCTATTTTTTTGTATTTTTAGTAGGGACGGGGTTTCACCATGTTAGCCAGGATAGTCTCGATCTTCTGGCCTCATGACCCGCCCGCCTTGGCCTCCCAAAGTGTTAGGATTACAGATGTGAACCACCGCGCCCGGCCCAGTTTTCTTTTACATAAGCCTCTTCTTTTGTTGAAAACATAAGATCTTCCTCACAGTGGAGAAACCTGAAAGCTCCCAGCAGCCAGTAATGAATGAAAGGTGGGGGCGGGGCTGCCGGCATGGCAGGGCCTAGTGAGCCTTGTGCCTAGGCTCCTACATCACAATGGGGGCGGGGGCACGTGGAGGGGTCTCTGGGCCTGATTGGTTCCTGGGAACCGGGAGGGAGCTCTGGCGGTTGGCAGGGCAACCTCCTTCAGTTGGTGGGAAGCGGTGGGAGGAGGAGGAGCTCCATCTGTGCTCTCTTCTCCGCAGTCACAACTCTCAGGCTTGTTGCATCTAGACCCATTCTAAATAAACCAAGCAGATTCCCAAGGGACCCTTGCAGACAAGTCAGCTCAGGGGAGGCGGCTGAGGCGGGGTGCGGGCTGCTAGTGGGGTGCAGCCCCATAGCCGGGGCTGGCCCTGCCAGCGTGCCTTTCCTGGGAAGAGGTGGAAGTGCTGAGCTCTGCAGACTTGGAAGCAAGGGAAGGCCCAAGCTGCTGGAGAGGAGCCGGGCTACCCCATGGGGATAGCCCACGCTGAGCTATTGCTTGGGCACCAACGCCAGCCTCAAGCGGGGCCAGCGCAGGAGGTCTGGGGAGCTGTCCTGCAGCGCTGACATCTATGAGGCAGCGTCAAGCAAAGGTGTAGGCCAAGGCAGAGAGGAGCGGAGGCGCCGCAGATGGAACATGCTGCTCCCTGATGCCAGCCCCAAGCAAAGCCAGCGCAGGGTGCTGTGGGCGGAACCGCCCTGCAGCTATAACCTCACGGAGGCAGAGGTGGCAGTAAAAAAAAAAAAAAATCCCCACACCCCACTGCTGTGGAGCCTGCCCAGTCGGATTTCGGAGCCCGCGAGGGCCATGACCTGCAACACATCAGTGACCAGGAGATGCCCAAAAGTAAGGAGGCGACTGATAGTGTTTGCCCTCAGGTGAGCCTCTGGCAGCCGCTGTCCCAAGGTCCCCCCAGAGGCATCCACAGCCTCGGACTCCTCCCTCCTGCCCCTAGCCAGGTTTCCTAGGCCCAGGCACCAGGCAGGAGGACTGGCCTTGCCTCGTGCCTACGTCCCCCACCTCCCCCCTGCAACCAATTTTTTTTCCCTGTAGCATCTGGTGGTTTCTCTCCTCCTCCCTACCCCAGTGCCCAGTTCTGGCCCCTTTCTCATCCCCCAAGGCTAGGCAGAAACTAAGTTTTCAAAATAGAAAATGTATGCTACAGATTTCATTGCTATAGAGGAAGTGTCTTACAGCTCTTCTGTTTAAACATTGGTTGACCTCTTAATTTATTTAAACGTTTGAATAATTAAGCTTCATGATGAATGTGGCTTTGTTGCTGGAAAGTACTGTACTCTCGGAATATTAAAAAATCGTGAAAGAATGAACAAAGATAGTATGTGAATGAATTGTACCTTTATACACAAAGCATGCAAGTACTTGTGAAAGTTTTTCCTCGTTTGGTGGTGTAAGGTAGGCCTCGGAGTGGTTTTACACACTAGGTAGTAGATGGGTAGTGTTGGATGAGAGCCCAAAATAGACTCTTTATATCATTCTTTAGGATTTACAACACATTTTCATGTACGTCTCATGTATCACCCTGTCTCTACAAAAAAAAAGGGTTAAAAATTAGCCAGGTATGGTGGCTTGCACCCATAGTCTCAGCTGCAAGAGGATATTTTGAGCCCAGGAGTTTGAAGCTTCAGTGAGCTATGCTGGCTCCATCGCACCATTGCATCACTCCAGCCTGGGCAACAGAGTGAGACCCTGTCTCTTTAAAAAATTGTTTTTTTGCCCAAAACAGCTCTTTATTTTAACATATTTGCTATATTGAGCCGGTGTCTGACAGTAATTGACCACAGCATCACTTGCTGCTTGAGACTTTCCCTGAAATGCGCTGGTAATAGCAGCATAGAGGAGGGTGGGTATATTTGATAAGTAGAAGGAGGAGGGCGTGTGTATGATTCATCTAAAAGTGGCATCAGTTTATTTAGGTGCAAGTTCTAAAATGAAGTCCCAGACACAGCCTGGTTTTATTCCACATACGTGGAGAACTTCTGTGATTTTTGCATTCTCCAGTAGAATTGGGACATTGTGGCCTTTATTTTCTTTACATTTATCACTAAAAACTTTTCTCAAGACTCTTAAAAGTGATTAAAATGGATGTGTAGCTTTAAAAAGAATCTTTTCTACTCACTTAAATTATCACATTTTTCCTTCTTCCTCTACAGATTTTGCTTCTGACTGTCCAGGGGAAAGCACACTCTTCCTGAGAAAATATCAAATGAGTGGTAAGACAATATTGTTTCTTCCTCCAAGCAAAAAACTACAAACTTTCTGTTTCATGTATTACAGAAAGTATTTAGAGGAACTCAGATATTAGTTAAAAAAATTTCAACTTTTTATATATTTACTTGTCTTATTTTAATATGTGACATAATTTCCTTTAGTTGACACTGTTCATGGAAACATGCAGGCTTTATGTCTCCACGTTTGATGACATTTTTATCAATGCAATTAATTGGCCACATGATTTGGTGTAGTAGTCATGGATGTATGCCTTTTTCTTCATACATCTTTCCCATTTTTCCCTTGCTCCAAAGAGTACATGTTAATGATGAGTGATAAGATTTAGGCTACAGCTTGGAGTTCACTTGAACAAATCAAAAGAATCTGTTGTTCTAGATTGGATCCGTGATTTTGGCCTCCTTTTTACACAGTGCTCTAACCGCATGAGCCTGTCACATCCATGTTCATGCTACTCAGAACTTTTTCATTCGAATGTAATGGAAATGTAAACATGGCCTGTGCTGTTTTCCAGGTTAGCCTTAGTGTGTGAAACTAGTGTAAAGTTTCCACATCCTGCTTGTTTTAGGATGAGAATTAGAACTGTAGGAGTTTTCTGTACTCCTGCTTATTTTTTTGTAACATTCTGCTAAATCTTACTGTTTTTTCAAAAAAGCCATACACCATGTTTTTCAGTTGTTTTCAACAGCAAGAATACAAGAAGTGGGGTTTCTATAATAACATCTGAAGTAATGCAGCACAATAAAAAATGGGTTTCTCCCCTGCATTTTCATAGTTTGTATGGACTTTGCCTGTCTCAAGCTGGTAACTTCTGGTTAGGATTGTTGTATTTCTCAGTTTCTTCCAGAGCCATGGGCTTCTCACACATAGAGTGTATGGAAGTGGAAGAAAACCTACCCCATGCCCCTGTCTCTTCAGCAGTGAGAAATGTGTGTCAGTGAGACCAGCTCAACTTCAAAGAAGGAGGCATTGTAGGGAACAAAGTGTGGCCCAAGTCCCCCTTGTAGCTTTTATTCTTTGGACCTGTATTAGAATGAAATGATTTTGTGTCCTGAGGATACCAAGTTCATTTAGGTTGGCACACTCATGTTAACATTTGAGTTAAGCTAGGCTACTTTTCAGTTGTGTAAAGACCTGTTTATTTTTTCAGTAACATATTAGTAGACGACCGATCAGTCATTGGATGCTTGCAGGGATTCTAGTGCATCTAAAGACTGGCTCCTGGCCAGAAACTGGTTCTTAGAGCTGTCAGCTATTAGATCTTGGTAATGAAAGTAAGCTATGTGTAAATGTAGAATCAGAAAACACTACTGCTTAGGGGTTCAGATATACAATAGGTAAATTTTTTATTAGCTAAATTTCTCATCTGTCCTGTATTTTGGCATTTCTATGAAGGAATACCTGAGACTGGATAATTTATAAAAAAAGAGGCTTTATTGGCTCACGGTTCTACAGGCTGTACAGGAAGTGTGGTGCTAGCATCTGCTTCTGGCAAGGGCTTCAAGAAACTAATAATCATGGTGGAAGGTGAAGTCATCTCTCACATGGTGAGAGGAGGAGCAAGAGAGAGTGGGAGGTGCCGCCTTCTTTTAAACAAGCAGATCAGGCCAGGTGTGGTGGCTCATGCCTGTAACCCCAGCACTTTGGGAGGCTGAGGCAGGCAGATCACTTGAGGCTGGAGTCTGAGACCAGCCTTGGCCAACATAGTGAGACCCTGTCTCTACAAAAAATTTAAAAATTAGCCAGGTGTGGTGGTTCGTGCTTGCAGCCCCAGCTACTCCGCAGGCTAAGGTGGGAGGATCACTTGAGCCCAGGAGGTCAAGGTTGCAGTGAACCATAATCATGGCACTGTGCTCCAGCCTGGGCATCAGAGTGAGACCCCATCTCAGAACAACCACCACAACAACAACAAAAACCCAAGAAGATCATGTATGAACTCAGAGCAGGAACTCCCTCATCACCAAGGGGATGGCGCTAAGCCATTCATGAGGGATCTGCCCCCGTGATCCAAACACTTCCCCACCTCCAACACTGGGGACTACATTTCAACATGAGATTTGGAGGGCATACACGTTGCCTAATTTGTTTTGCCTTTCCTTGTGTACATGGGGATTCTTTCATTTTTGTGTAATAGAACATCTGTTAGGTCAAAAATAAAACTATATTTTTAGATTTTACTTTATGCCGGATTATTTAAATGATAACTTTTGTTGGTAAGAATTTTTTAAAATGGAATTTTATCTCATTTTATATAGTGATAATCAGATGATTAGCAACTACTTTTATTCTATGGTATTTATACCAGAATTGATTAGTTATTTTTTCATTCTTAGTGCAAGAAAAGAGGAGCAGCTCTCACCTATATTATGTAAGTAAACTTTTGAAAAGTTAAGAAATTGATTGTTTGAATTAAAAGTCTGTCATGATTCCTTAAAAATTTAACAGGGAGCCGGTGCTGTTAGTGTGATCCTTTTCTGATGGACTTTCTAAATCTCTTCTATTTTCCTAAGTATCAGATTTATACAGGAAAGTCTGTAGCTTACTGTGCCCATTTTTAAGGGTGATTGTGATATTATATCACAATTTGGTTGTGATATAAATATCTGCCTTAAATATTTAATCTTTTGTATTCAAATAAAATTAAAAATAGCTGAGTCTACTTTCTCCAACACTTTCTCCTGACTTCCTGTCATAGCAGGTGAAAGCGTAGCTTCCTCACTCCACTGTGACCTTATTTCCCTCCCCGTTTCTTCCACCTGTAACCCATTTTTTATTAAATCACTAATTGATATTTACATGATTATGACTATGCACATATTATTCACTGCTGAGTCATGTAGTGTTCTGACTGTGCCTCCTCCTTGTGCATCCTTCATTGTTTCTCTTAAATATTTCTGAAATCTGAACACTTCTGCACTTCTCCCAGATAATCCCCCTTTTCCTAGCCCATGATAGCTCATAAAGCCAAATACGACCATTAGCCCCCAGCTGGCCTCTTTGTTTTCACCTCCTTCATTATTTTGTGTGTGGAATTAATTTTCTGACTATGTTCCTTTGCCTCTTTTTTAACAGCTATTCTTCCCCAAGTGGTGTAACATTTGTCACATGCCTATCAAAAATAATGTTTTATTTACTAAAACATATGTTCTGTGTTTTTTCTTGAAGGAACTTTCCTTGGCCTTTGGTTATCCTCCTCCAGGATAGACTGTGTTTCCCTAGGCTGCCCTGGGCCTGTTTCCCTGGGAGCCCTCTCTGAACTCTTATGCGCCCACTCATGTTGGATCCCTGAGTCCTAGACTGTGCATTGCCCTCTGCCTTGTGTTACTCCCCAGTGGTGCTGGAGCACAGTTTCTGAGGAAAGGCTCATGGACACACATGTATAGAGATCTAGCCTCTCTCCAAACCCTTCTTTTGTTATAGAGTATAAAATTCTAGAGTGAAAACTAAGTTTCATGGCTCTGAAGACATTTCCCTATTGTGTTTTCATTATACTGTACTTGAAACTATTGCCATTGTGTGATACATCATATGTAACCAATTTTTACATTTTTGAGCTTTTTAAGACCTTCTGTATTCCTGGGATTCGGAAATTGTATAATACAGCTTTGTGGGGACCTTTTATTTTATTGCAGCCATTAAGTCTGCAGACTATCTCTTTTAGAGAATTGTCCTATATTCTCTGTTTTATTATTATTTTAGTATTCTTATGATTCAAATGTTCGGCCTCTTATAGCAGTATTTCTGCATTGATCTTTAATTTCTTCCCCTCCTATTTTCCAATTTGTCTTTTGTTCTGCTTCTTAGAGATTCTTTGACTTTCTGCGCTAACCCTTCTATTGAATTTTTAAAATCTCCTTAAGGGTATTTTAAGATTTTTTAAAAAGTTTTGCTCCTTAATTTTTACTGGTCCCAGAATTCCTTTTTCCTGTTGTTTTGATCTCTCATTGGAGGCTTCCCTGAGATGTGTGGTAGTCTTTGCCTTTCTCTATTTGGAAGCAGGACCTTTGTTCACTGAGGGGTCTCATTGTGGGGATTTGGAGGTCAAGCCAGCTTTTCTTTTGGGGAAACTCAGTGTATTATATGTGGGTATTTTCTTTGCAATGGTTTAGTTTTCTTCCAAGGAGGATCTCCCAGTTTTCTGCCTGGGCAGTGCAAGCACGGCTGCTGGCTTTCTAGAAGCAGGGTTGGGAAGGAAGGTGCAGTTTCACTTTGTGTGTGCAATTTATTCCCATTTCCCAGGTTTTAGCCCTAGTAGTTCTGAGCCCAGAAACCCTCAGGTATAAAATATCCAGAGAATACACATCCAAATTCCTTCTAAGATGGGAAGAGAGGTGGACTTGGGGCTCTAAGCACAGATTTACAGTTGACCTTGCTGGCTTCAGTTGTATATTTCACCCTACCTTCCCAGGTACCATGTGCCTCTGATTTTGGAGCCTGAGTTGGGTTCTTCAAAACAAAGAAGATCACTTGTTTCTGTTCAAGTCACTCCCTGTCAGCTCCAAAGTTGTGCTTCCATGTCAGTTGCAACTCCTCTATCAGCTTTTCACCTTGCATCATTGACTCAGAATGATCTGCCATCAATCTTGTCTCCTGGTCCTGTGTATAATGTTTATTTTATGAATAATACTAATGAGATTTCAGAAGGAAGAGAAAATAAATTTCTGGTCAATCCATCATATTTAATGATTTAACCCATATATAAGTGTAAATCTAAGTTTAAATTCAACATAATTATGACATTAATTCAGACAATTTCTATTTATACTTACAATAAGCACATAACACTTTTCCACTCAGGCCTTGTGTAAGAATTCTATTCAAACTCCATACATGCCATGTGGTCCCATTGCTGTGCAACATAGATGGAGCTGTTTTTGTTAGTACACAAAATGTTATAAATTTTTAAGTTAGCTAAAAGTCATTAATTATTTTAAAAATATCTGAAAGATGTCTCTTAAAAAAATGGGGAGAAAAAAGTGATCTTGAGAGCTGAGCATGGTGGCTCACACCTGTATCCCAGCACTTTGAGAGGCTGAGGCAGGCAGATCACTTGAGGCCAGGAGTTTGAGACCAGCATGGCCGACATGGTGAAACCCCATCTCTACTAAAAATACAAAAATTAGCCCGGCATGATGGCACATGCCTGTATTTCCAGCTACACAGGAGGCCAAGGCAGGAGAATTGGTTGAACTTGGGAGGCGGCGGTTGCAGTAAGCTGAGTTCAGGCCACTGCACTCCAGGGTGGGAAACACAGCAAGACTTCCTCAAAGCGCGCACACACACACACACACACACACACACACACACACACCCCAATATATGTTCATTATATGAGATTTTAAATAGAACAAAATGGGGACAGGTATCACCTAAAGCTGTACCAGCTAGTCTGCGTTTTGGTGCGTTTTTTTTTCTGTTCTTTTTATTCTCATATATGGATTTTTTCTCAGAATTGACTTTTGTTACCGCGTAGTATTATGCTGTATTACCCCTAATAGTGGTGACCTTAAGGGATACTTTCTTTCACTTTGAATGAAAGTATCTGAGTGAGTCCATTTTTATTTTTCATGCTATTTTTGTTTTTTCAGGCAATAAAAGTATGTACATTGACATACATACACTGTTAATGTAAAGTATATACATTAATAGAATAGCTTAAGAGACATAAGAGTTTAGCTAGAGTTAAAACATTTCTACCTTGAAGGAGAATTTGGTCCTTCAAATAGTAATATTGTTCAAAAACATCTGGGATTTTTGTTAAGAAGTAAGTGAATTTACAGTGAAAAGCATCTGAAACAAGCAAAATGGTGTTAGACTGTATGGATATTTCTGATTATTGGCTACAGGCAATTTTTAAATACTGTGTACTTTTAGAAACAACTGCTAGATCTCCTCCCTACCCTGTCTTTCATGTACTTGTGGGAGACCCTGATGGAAGAGTGTGATAACATGATGCAGACAAGCATATCCCAATAGGAAGAAGGAAGGCTCATGTGAGTTATTTTTTTAAAAGCTAAAATAATTGGTATTTTGTGGTTTTAAATAATGCTGTTGATCTCTTCAACCATTTGGTGACTAGGATTTGGTTACTGCCATTATTTTTAAGAAAGAGCATTTTTTTTTAAGACAGAGTCTTGCTCTGTCACACAGGCTGGAATGCAGTGGCATGATCTCGGCTCACTGCAACCTCTGTTTCCCAGGTTCAAGCAATTCTCTGTCTCAGCTTCCTGAGTAGCTGAGATTACACGCACCCACCACCACACCTGGCTAATTTTTGTATTTTTAGTAGACACGGGGTTTCACCATCTTGGCCAGGCTGGTCTTGAACTCCGGGCCTCATGATCCACCTGCCTCAGCCTCCCAAAGGGCTGGGATTACCGGAGTGAGCCACTGTGCCCGGCCAGGAAGAGCATTTTTTTAAACATAGATGAGGCAGTTTCCATATTGACTGTTGCACCCTCGACAAATGAATAGATACTTTTAAAGTGTTTTATAAATAGTTTATTTTCTAGAGGGCTCAAAAGGTTCACTGTCACCTCTCTGATAGCACTGCAGATAAATTTCACCAATTTGTAACTGTAGGAAGATTTACCTTCCAAATTGTAACTGATTTAAATAACTTGTCAAGCACTTATTGAACTCCTTAATTTCTCCCACATTCTGTGCTCAGCAGCTGCAGGTAGGAGAGGAAGGACCCTCCCTCCCCTGGAGAGGCTTTCTTTTTCACCAGGGGGATGCTTTGCAGGCAATTGCTATCATGTAACACACGGTGAATTAGACTGACGAGTACACAAAACCGGAAATGTTTTGTGGTGTGGCTGCTGGCAGAGGCATCCCGGAAGGCAGAGGAGGTGAAGCTTGCTGGGATAAGGAGGAAAGAAATAGGTATTCTGGGCAGAGAGCAGCATGACTGAGGCAGGACAGTGCCATGATGTGTGTCAAATTACTTACAGAATAAAATCAATCAACTTTTGAAATGAATGCAAAGTATTCTCGGAAGTTCTCATTTGAGTAATGTAATAGCAGTCTTATGTAAACACGAAGTGAAAGTTAAATTCCTGAAGTGGTTTTCCTCATCTGATTTTCAAATGTGAGAGTCTTAAAGTAGTACTTTTTCTATCTTCCCCCAAGGAAACAGGCCCAGAGAAACCCATGGCCCCTCAATTGTTTGGTCACTGAGCAGCCCTGGCACACAGAATCTCTGACTCTAAAATTCTGATTCCATCACACTGTCTCTTGAATGAGTATATTTAGGATTAGTAATTTAGTGAATGTAGTATTAGGTCTTTATTTACTGCAATAAAAATGCTGTTGTGCCAATATTATTTAATGTATGACATTTTGTTGTAGTTAATGAATAATAGAAATAGAAAATCTCAGCTGCTTTTTACTGCATAATAAAAAACCATGAAATCTTACTTTAAACTTTTCCCATTATTTATAAAGGGAATTCATAATAGAGGCTTCCTGGGTTTGACGATTGGTATCATAGCAAGGGCAGCATTTTATAACCCATTCCTCGAACATCATCTGCAGAAGTTAAGCACCTCCAATGAGTTTCCCATAGAGCTGCTCACAATACCACACTCAGGCAGGTCATGGGGTATAAAAAATACCTTAATGCTTTATTATTTGACATTTTGACTAAGGAAAAAAGCCCACACTTTTGTAGGTTCAGCCTACTGTGACATTTTTCTCTATCTTCCTTCTCCTTCAGATACCTCCATGGCATCTTGATAGAAAATACGGCTCATGTTCCACCATATTGCTAGATAACAGCACAGCCAGCCAGCCTGACCTTAGACATACATTAGAAAGGTGAGTAAAACGAGGCTGCCAAGGGCTGAGTGACAGACCCCCATATGCTAAAAGCATCACAGCCATCCTCTGTCATTTCAGCCATTTGGTTGCCCTTTTCAGCAAGCAGTTTAAGAAGTTGATGTCAATGATATATGGATTTCTGGGACCTAAATATGAATTTTCTGTTTCTCTTTTAACCTTAGATGCTGTGTGGTAGAAGGGAAAGCCAGATAGCAAATAAGCAATCCCAGAAAAAGAGTAGCTATTTATTTGATGCATTTATGTTATGACAGTGTTGAACCTAATGGGAAGGAGAGGTGCTTTTTATTGAAAGTTTCTGGGAAAAATTATTAGTTCTTTACAGGCCAAAGACGATGGGTAATACTTTGGAAACTACTCTTGAAAGAAGGAACAGCTTGTCCTCCAGTGGTGCCATAGTATATCTGCATTTACATTTTGCCATCATGCATGAGCACTTCATAGGCCACAATCAGAAATGCCTTTTCAAAACACCCTTGGACGATGGGTTCAAGTTTATTTAAAAAGTCACAACAAAGCCCAGTTCCATTGAGGCATCCAGGGAACATTATTAACATCTCCTTAGATTACGAGCATTGATTTTTGGGAAAACAGTTTGAGAACTACTACCTTAGCATGTTAATGTCCTTATCCCTAACTTAACTTTCCAGTCTATAAACATGACTAGCTTACAAGCTTAATTTTGTTTCTAATGTACTAGCTTTTTAAGCTAATTTGTCAGTAACTTCTACTTTAATTAAAAATGATAAACTTACACTCATAATAATGTCACTTTCCTCTCTCCTGTGTAACAATTATTGAGATCAAATTGTGTTTCATCAGGAACTGGACTCCACCTGTGTCTAAAGCCCTGAGTTTTGGCCTCTATGGAGTCATCACCTAATGTTTGTATTCAGCCCTAAGTAAAAAGGCACTCTGTTTTGGCTAGAGTCCCTGGTTTCTTATGATTTCAAAAGATTCTGATGTTTCAGTATGCAATTCAAAAGTAGTTTTTAAGCTTCACCTTGCTCAAACAAGTAGAGGTTCTGCTTTTTCTTCCAGCATAGTCTAATTCTTACAAGTTGTTTTAAAATAGATTATTTTTTTCTTTTTTAGAGATGGGGTTTTGCTGTGTTGGCCAGGCTGGTCTCAAACTCCTGGTCTCAAGCAATCCACCCAACTCAGCCTCCCAAAGTGCTATGATTACAGGCATGAGCTACCACGCCTGGCCTGGAAGTCTATTTTTGAAATACAGTTAGTTTTAATTTGCTCTCAAATTTTAGAAGGGATCATTTGGTATATTTACTTTTATGAAATAAAGATTTACTGAGCAAATTAATAGAGCAAATTGGCTTTCAGAAAGATTTTCAAAAATGTTTTCCATGGTTAGTAGTCCATTGTACTCAAAGGCATGAGTGAGCCATATTAGAATCACTTATACCTGTTTCTTCAAAATATATCTCTGCAAACACATGCATCTTCCCAGCTCCACATTCCCTCCATCTCTGGCACTCACAAGCCTTTTAGAAAAATGGTTAAGTATGTGAGGCATCATTATATGGATAAAAGCATCCCAGATGATTCTGACCTTAACCCTAACTCAGTCATTCTCAAACTTTGCAGCACATTGGATTCACCTGGGGATCTTTACCAACAACCCTGATGCCCAAATCATACACAATGCCAATTAAATCAGAATGTCTCCAGCTGGTGGTGAGGCTGTTTTTAAAGCTCCTTAGGTGGTCCAGTGTGCAGCAAACGTGGGGGCCACTGCTTCCTTTGCACGGAGGAGTGATGGTTCTAACGTATAAATTACATGTTTCCCTGTCATTTGCTCTTCTTTCTACTCATAGAGCCTTTCATCTGTGCAAGTCATTTCTATGTATGTGTGCATATGCTTAAATTTAAACCATACCACAGTGTTTTGTGAACTCCTGCAGTTCACAAAAGCACTATGTGGGGATCTTGGGCAAGTCAGTTTGAAGCCTTGGTTCTCTTATTTGTAAAATGGGTGGTTCATGGAGTGTCATGTAAGGTTCAGTGGCCTTTTCAGCATGTAACTTCAAATTCTGTGATTTTGAAATCAATTTGGAGATGGAACTGTTTGAGGCACTATAGAAATATCGATCTTAGATGCTAATAATGTTGTAAGGTCTACTTTTTACAACTCAAATTTGCCTTCTCAAATTATTCTGAGCCTCATTTTAAATGCTGAGGGCAAATGGAAGCACAGAACTTATCCAAGAGAAGCCCCTGTTTGCTGACACACACCATCTGAGGATGACTGAGGACCACAGTAACATACATCTGAAGAGTTGTATTTGTTCACTAATATTTTGTTTAAACGAATGTGGAAATACCTGTCATGAATATTGTATGATGCTGTGTTATGCTCTTTAGTGCTGCTTATTTCAGGATAGTTACAAGTGTCATCAATTTTTGTGTGCATTATATTTACTAATAAATTTTCTGTTAATAATTATGCAGAGGTGATTTTAAATTACTTTATTTGGTATAAAGCACAATCATTGTGTGCTTTTAGGGAACTAATGATAAATGGGTGAGTAGGCGATGGAGAACTAAATCAGCTGAAATGCAGGGCCTAGCCACTTAACAAGCAAAACACTACTATATGGCCTAAATGTAAGCTTATGTACACATAGATGTAAGTGACTTGCACAGGATGAAAGGTTCTATGGGTAGAATAGCAAATGACAGGGAAAATATGTAATTATTTATATATAATAACCATCAGCAGAAACATCTTCTAACAGCATATTGCCTAGCATTTTGGTTCTCCTATTTTCACTATAAAGCCAGAGAGCTAAAACAAAAGAAAAGTGCTCATATGGTACTGTTTTGAACAAGAGGATTTCAGGGCCACTGAGAGAATTCCTCCTCCCCCTTTTAAAAACATGTATTCAGGCCTAACCAATGATAAAATCAGTTCTTACAAATATATTTTTTCCCTCCACAGTGTGGCTTTGGCAATATATTACAACATAAAGCACAGGTGAGCTCTTTGAAAACCTGCCTTGTTATTCCAGCTCATCACTTTGTATAATATGAAACATGCTGTTAGGTCATAACTATAGACATAAGCTGTAGAGTGCTTACTTTACAGTATTAAAGTGAATCATTTGTGGGTTTTTTGGTCTGTAAGACTCTTTTAACTCTTAAATTATTGAGGGTCCCAAAGTGTATTTGTTTATGTCTTGTTTGCAATTTATTGTAAAGAAGAAATAAAAAGATGAACTAGCCTCATGCAAATGTGTAGTAGGAAAAATGTGTATTTTTAAAGCTTTCAGGTAATCGTGGGTATTCTTTAACCACACCAAAACTTCACAAGTGCTGACTTATTAAAATAGTTATAATGGGATTGTACATATCAATGAATTCATTCCACTAATACTCACTGATCTTTCTCATACCATAAATGGATCTCTCCACTTACTGTCTTTTATAATATTATGCATTGGCTATTTGGAAAATATTAATTCATGTTCATTGATAGTGTCAAAAACTCACTTTCATTAGTATCACCATGATTATAAAAATGTCTTCAAATATTGAGATGCCGTCAAGCTCACAGTAGTAGGTATGAGTTTTCCAAGTCCTGATTTTAGCTTGAAAGCTTTAGCTTTATTATAGACAACAAATACTTGTTATTTTCCTTGAAATGACAGACTCATTTGACTTCTTTTTGAGAATGACAGTCAGTCAAACTTTCAGATAGAAATGGTGTTCTGTTAAAAATTTGCTTGTTCAGCTCACAATTAAATCACAAGTGCTTTTCTTTAACATACCCATACTTCAGTATGCAGAAGTGGTTTATGTGAACTTCCTACTTTATTGGGGAAACCAGCCCCCAATATTTCAACGTAGGTTCTTTTCTATTTTCTTTAAGTGTCGGCCAGTCTGAGAAATAAAGAAAAAGAGTACAAAGAGAGGAATTTTACAGCTGGGCCTCCAGGGGTGTCATCACATATTGGTAGGACCGTGATGACGACCCTGAGCCGCAAAATCAGCAAGTTTTTATTAGGGATTTTAAAAGGGGAGGGGGTGTATGAACAGGGAGTAGCTCACAAGGATCACATGCTTCAAAAGGCAATAAAAGATCACAAGGTGAAGGCAAAATTAGAATTACTGATGAGGGTCTATGTCCTGCTGTGCATGCATTGTCTTGATAAACATCTTAACAGGAAACAGGGTTCAAGAACAGAGAAATGGTCTGACTAGAATTTACCAGGCTGGAATTTCCCAATCCTAGTAAGCTTGAGGGCGCTGCAGGAGACCAGCACGTATTTCAGTCCTTATCTCAACCGCATCAGACAGACACTCCCAGAGCGGCCATCCATAGACCTCCCCCCAGGAATGCATTTCTTCCCCAGGGTTATTCCTTGCTGGGAAAAGAATTCAGCAATATTTCTCCTACTCGCACATCCATTCATAGGCTTTCTGCAAGAAGAAAAATATGGCTGTATTCTGCCCAACCCCACAGGCAGTCAGACCTTATGGTTATCTTCCCTTGTTCCCTTAAATCGTTGTTATTCTGTTCTTTTTCAAGGTGCACTGATTTCATACTGTTCAAACACACGTTTACAGTCAATTTGTACAATAGTGGTCCTGAGGTGATGTACATTGTCAGCTTATGGAGATAATGGGATTAAGAGATTAAAGTAAAGACAGGCATAAGAAATTATAAGAGTATTACTAGAGAAGTGATAAATGTCCATGAAATCTTTACAATTTATGTTCAGAGATTGCAGAAAAGACAGGCATAAGAAATTATAAAAGTATTAATTTTGGGAACTGATAAATGTCCATGAAATCTTCACAGTTTATGTTCTTCTGCCTTGGCTCCAGCTGGTCCCTCTGTTCGGGGTCCCTGACTTCCTGCACCACTACTTAGAATACTTAAAAGAGAGTTCAGGACTTAATAACACCATTAATTTTTACTGTTTCATCAAGGATATTCTTAAGTGAAGCAGGATATTTTAATAAAAACTGCAAGGGGGAGTGAAGAGTGTAATGAATACTAGTATAATTTGGTACCACAGCCCTTATTCTTACTGAGAAACAAGAAGTTTTACCCACTTTTGCTTTTATGCAATCATTACAAGTGTTGAACAGTGAAAAAGCAAGCAATGTCTTAATACTTTTAGAAAGTAATAAATTATGTTTTATTTTCAATCAGCTTCTCAGGTTGAATTAGTATTCTTATAAGAACATTTTGGGCCATAGGTGGTGGTTGACACCTGTAATTCCTGCACTTTGGGAGGCCAAGGTGGGAGAATTATTTGGGACCAGGAGTTTGAGACTAGCCTGAGTAATGTGGCAAGACCCCATCTATACCAAAAAAGAATTAAAAATTAGCTGGGCATGGTGGTGTGCACATTTCATCCCAGCTCCATGGGAGGCTGAGGCAGGAGGATCGCTTGAGCCCAGGGAGTCAAGCCTGCAGTGAGCCATGTTTGTACCACTGTGCTCCATCCTGGGTGAAAGAGCAAAACCCTGTCTCAAAAAAAAGAACTTTTGACATCATGGGCCTCCTAGGGAATCTCAGGGATCCTCAAACCACATTTGGAGAACCACTGGTTTCCTAAATGAGCATACAATGTGTTAGTTTTTTAAAGTTCATTAAGACTGGCCTCTTTTAAAATAAAAAGACAATTAAGTTTGTAACTCAAACTACTTAAACAAATATGATAAACATGTAATAAAGGAAGATTTGGTAAATCTGAATCTCATTCACATTTATTACAAGTTATAAGTTTATTGCCAACCACTACTGCTTTATAAAATGCTCTTGCGTTCCAGCATGTGGTTAGAGGAGTGAAAATAGATATAGTTTATTACCATTGCCTGTTAGCGGGGGTCAATATTTAAAGGCAAGTCTGGCTCATCAATGTAGAAAAGACTTCACAGTTCACGACATAGTGTGCTGAAGAAAAACAGGTCAAGAAACCCTCTGAAGGCCAGGATCCAGGAGAAAAATTTGCAAAAACTCTTTTGATGAACAAATTTTACCAAAGCAAACAAGAGGTATCTCTCTCCACCCTCCATGCCCTACTCCCAAGCAGATATTTTACTAAGATATTAACAATTCCCGAATTAATTTCTTGAATGCACGTTCTTATTTTATAGATATGCAAATAGATCTCTGGCTATTTTTGAAGAGCCAGTACATCCACTTCCAGTAAGTGTTGCTTTATTTGAGGTTCTATTTTTGTCTCATAGAGTTATATTTAGTTCATGCTGAAGTCAGACTCACCCACCTTTAAGTCTTCCCTCTGTTGTGTCTAATCATCTTATATAAGGAGTGTTGTAAAGTGGGCACACTGGAGTAAGAGCTGACTTGCAGCTTTGCTTAATTAGTGTGCTAAGGGGAGTAAATATACCATCCAAATAACAAAATGTGTCATTTAAAAAATAATTTTCTATAGCAGCAAACAATATAAATATTTGTAAATAGTCCTAACAAATATGCACAACTTCTGTAAATAGAATTAGAAAACAATTTAAATCAGTTTAAATGCTACAAAAATTTAAAAACTTCCTTCTTCAGATATATGATAGCCACAGGTCCACCTTAGGGCCTATGTTTACAGAAAACCAAAAATATTTTAATATCCTTCTGTTTATATTTTTAAAATAAAAAGACATTTTATCTCATCAAAATTGTTGTAAGGGACACATGGGCACAAATGTGAACACTGCCATCTTAAGAGTTCTTAAAAAGTTTCCTTGAGTGGATATTTATATTGCCTTTTTTCTTCTTTCAGCAAGAGAAGCTTCCAGGGAAATCCTTCAAGCATGATCCCAAACGCAACTGTATTTTCAGACATTTCTGTACTCTTTTTCAAGTCATAAAACTAACAGCTCCATGTGCAATTGTAGCTTTGGTAAGATATTTCTTATTTATAAAGCATCTTTAACAACTGGTCTCCTACACAGCGTATGGCCATGTTTCTAACTAAAAGTAGATTCCTGAAATTATCATCAGATCTTTTAAGAGAAACCTGTGCAAGCCATTAAATACACATATTTGAGTTGAATCATCATTATGGTTTAAAATGATGCCATTGCTTTTCTTATCACAGAATAATTGCTATTAAAGGCAGCAGGAGAGATTTCTGGTTTCTTCCTCAACAGATTCCAATGTAGATCTAAGCTGAGTCCCAGGCCATATTCCCCGGGCACTTCTGATGCATGCTGTGACTGGGAGCTGCTGCTCTGAATGCTTTGTTGTTCCTGCTGACCTCTTGTGCCTGCTCCAGAAATTGCCCAGGAACGTGGTACCAGGAAGACTTGGACACAGGCTTTGCTAGGTAGCCTGCTAAGCCATAGCTGTGTCCTTACATCTACATCATTCTCACAGAATTCCTGTGGTGAGACTCATTCTGAATATGAAGCCCTTTTCAGATGGCTGGGATTGATTTACCCCTCCCCACACTAACCTGTAGAGGAGTGTCAACCATGCAGCCAGGAGAGAAAAGATACTTAGAACAGTAGTACCCTCTCCTTTAGCATCTGGCTAGAGCTTAGAAGAGATGGCTTCTGCTAGGCACCTGCATAGAAATCCCTCCATGGGCATTGGATCAGGTGCAGTCCTCTTCATGGAGCTGCAGGCCATTTGGAATGCTCAGCACATGCTGGCAGGAAGCAGAAGTGGAACTTCCAGCTAGAGAGAGAGAGCTGACACAGGAGGGAAAGCTGGATTGGAAGAAGGGGGAGTTCACTGTAGACAGGCTAAATTTGGTGTGCCTGTAAGATAGCAGAGTGGCCGTGTACAGTCAATATTTGTATCTATGGGACTGGACCATGAATCTGAACTGGAAATAAGGAATAAGGAGTAAGAGTACCTGCTCAAGGCTGGGCACAGTGGCTCACACCTGTAATCCCAGCACTTTGGGAGGCTGAAGCAGGCGGATCACCTAAGATCAGGAGTTTGAGAGCAGCCTGACCAACATGGTGAAACCCTGTCTCTACTAAAAAATACAAAAAATTCGCTGGGTGTCATGGTTGGCGCCTGTAATCCCAGCTATTCGGGAGGCTGAGGCAAGAGAATCACTTGAACCCAGGAGGTGGAGGTTGCAGTAAGCCAAGATCACACCACTGCACTTCAGCCTGGTCAACGAGAGTGAAACTCTGTCTAAAAAAAAAGAGAGTAGCTGCTCAAATGCAGAGAAAGTGTTTAGAATGAAAGTGGAGAAGCCGGGCATGGTGGGGACACACCTATAGTCCCATCTGCTTGGGAGGCTGAGGCAGGAGAATCAGTTGAAATCAGGAGTTTGTGTCCAGCCTGGGCAACATAGCAAGTCCCCATCTCTAAAAAGGAAAAGAAAAGAAGGTGGACAGAAGATAGCTGTGTAAGGACTACCAGCATGTAAGGGACAAGCCCCCAGTAAAGTGGCTAGAGTGGGAGGAGGAAGAGCAGGAGAGGATAATAAAAGAAGAGCAAAGGGGTCAAGATAGGAAAGGCTGTGGTCACAGGGCTAAATGCTGCCAAGAAGTTGTCCGTTCCATAAACACCCCCTGCATGCCGACCCTGTCCCATTCTTCTAAGTGCTGGGGTAGAGAAGAGGACAGGTTGAACACAGTCCTTGTCTTTATGTGCTCATGTTGCAATGAGGAAAGCATTTTTTTAGGTTATGGAAAATAGCAAAACGATAAAGCAGGATAAAGACAGAGTGATGAGAGGGGCTCATTATTTCAAATAGAATGATCAGGAAGAGCATCTCTAGAGAGGTCACATTTGAACAGTGACCTGACTATAAAGCGAGGACGATAAGAAGTGCTGGCATGACAGGAAGTAGGATGAGTGCTGAGACTGAGACAGAAACACATTTCATGTGTGTTCAAGGAACAAACACCAGGGGGCCCACGTGGTGAGAGGAATGAAGGAAAGAATGGAAGAGATGAGGCTGCACAGGCAGTGCGACAGCTCACAGAGCCCTTTGGCTTGCAGGCCATGGGAAGAAGCTCAGGTTTTATTCCAGTTTGATGGGGGCGCTCATGGTAGATCTTGAGGAGGGGAGTGCAGTGTTCTTAATTTAAGAGGTTATGGTGACGGCTTTGGGGAGAGTAGACCACAGTTGGGAGGAAGGTTGGGGCAGAGAAGATTACCAAGAAGCAAATAGGGTGATATAGGTGAGCCGTGACACATGGCGGCTCAGAATCTGAAGCAGGCAGCCTACCAGTGAAGGTAGGCATAGAGGGAGTGCACACAGATTGAAACAGGGTAACTCACATTTAAGTGTTAGTCCCCAGGAGCTAGGCCAATGGCAATTCCCTGGACAAGATTAGGGCCAGCTTGGAGAGTGGAGCCTTGGGGTGAAGGGCTCTGGTTTGTAAGTGTCAAGACTCTGAGGACCTTTGCAAGAGGAGTCTGAGGCGAGTGATGGGGGTGGGTGAGGTGGGTTAAGGAGAGATGGGAGGTGAGGAGCTGGCAACAGGGCCTGATGCTGTGAGCAAATTGAGAGGATGCCTCTGGGAAGCTGTGGGGAGCAGGATGGGAACAGGAAACACGTTCATATTGGGGGAAATCTCTGGCAGAGAGGGAGAAAGGCTTCAAGAAGAGGTGATTTGGGGAACAGTGTTCTGCAAAAGTGGGATGGGATCCACTGTGCTGATAGAAGAGTTGGTGTTAAAAAAGGAGCTTTCTCACTGACCCAGGAGGGCAAGTGGTTTCGGTGAGTGTCAGCAGGTCCAGCTTACCAGTAAAGGTGACAGGAAGTTGAGGGCTTGCCAATGCTGTTTAAGTGCTCTCTAATGAGTGCTGTGGAGTTGAACCCTGGGAGGGAGGGTCATTCCTGGGATACTCAATAGTGCAGAGTTAGGGGGAAAGGGAGCAGAATCTCTCATAAGAACATATCATGTTCAAGAGCCATTTGATTTTGAAAACACAGTTGAGTTTGGAGAACATTGCCATATCTGAGCCGCCAATCTGATAACCTTCAGACAATAAATGAACTCTCTTAAAATGAACTGTTTTCCTTTGATCTTGATACAAAGATGTCAAGTAGCATAGAGACATACTCTTCTGCAGAGCACCCTCTGGGATAGCAACGCCTCACCGCTCACCTCTGTAACCTCCACTCAGCTGGTCCCTCACCAAGTTCTTTATAGGATAGAGATTGGATAGATAGAAAATACTTTCTGAGATTGTCTCACAAACTGCTTGGCATGTTGAGAGGAACCCCAGGGATACAGAGGCCGACAGCTGTCTCTGCCTAAAACCCAACTGAATTGACTGAATGCAGATACTATAGAACAAGAAATGAGTTTTCTTGAAGAGATTGTGGAGACGTGGAACATAGGGGCTGTGAGCAGGACCCTCCTTTCATACTCATGTGTTCCTTATCAAGCACTGAATACGGAGATTATTTCTCAGCCACAGAGACCTGTGCTTGTCATGCTGTCTGCATGGCAGGCATTGGGAAGTGACCTTGATCTGCAGTTCCTCAGCTGGTGTCCCAAGAGCGGGTTAGTTATTGTGAAAAGGAGAAGACAGCAGTGTTCTCAGTATCACTTGAGTGTTACATATTCAAGCATGGTATACCTGTAAAATTCCTATCTACCTGCCAGCCAGGCATGATGCTGCACACAGACAGCACTGGAGTGTTTCCTGAACAACCTTAATCTGCACTGGGCCTGAATTTGTGCTGCCTTTAATGAGTGTGAAGGTGCTGATGGTGCCTCTCTTCATGCCCGCAGAGATGTCCAGTCCTCCCTGTGACCAAAATTGGGCTGGAAATGTCTATAGGCAGAGTAGGCTGCAGAGGTATCTGACTATGACTGTGATTTGGCCTCTTGCTTTGTCTGAGCAAAGTCTCTGCAGAACATAAGAATAAAAGGCACTTACTTTCTGGTCAAAACCGGAAGAAATCTTTCATTTTTAAATGTTCGTATCACCACACTTAAGCTGAACTGAAATCAAAGAGCAGTGCTCTATTTTGCAGGTATACATCAAACGACTTCTAACTAGTGCTAACATCGATCTTTGTCCTACTAATTGGAAGAAGATTGTCCTTGGAACCATGCTTCTTGCCTCCAAGGTTTGGAGAAATCATGGTCTGTGGAGTGTGGATGACAGCCAGAATTCCAAGGACACTGCAGTTGAGAACATGTGAGTTTGTAAGGTTTTGGTGAACTGTGTAACCAATTTCCATACCTCATTTGCTCTCCAAGTTAACCCTGTAAACAATATCTTTATAGGTTTCATCGTGCAGATAAAGGAAATAGGCATAAGACCACAGACTTCTCTCTATCCAGCTTTAGTATAACAGTTTATATTTTTTGGCATTCATGGGTAGGTCTTGATGTGTTATTGTTGTAATAACCTCCTGGATAAACTGAAAAGCATTTTTCTGATTGTTTTTTGGCAAACCTCTTACAAGTGTACTATTAGAATGACACAGTACAATAAATATCTTTATAGCTTTTTAGAAGCTATCTGCCAGTTTCAGTCCCTTTTTAAGGGACAAACATTTGGCCTTTGAAATAATTGGCCACTGTTAAGGTCTTAAGGACTCTGGACTATGGAGAAGTTATAGCTTCAACCTAAGTCACCCTTTGTATAGTTGCCTTTGCTGGTCCTTTCCTCCCCATTTTATCTGAAGATCTGTTTTTATAGGAACCTTGAGATATGAAGTTAAATAGCCACAGATTCCTGTGCCCTGGCCCCTCCCCATTGGGAGTGTTGCATGTGTTTGGAAATTAACCTGATGAGTTAGAAGCTCCAACGTTCGCCTCCTGCAGTGTGAGAAGCATTTCTGGGGCATCTCCCCATGCCCACCACACTCACAAAGCTCCATGGGTACTCAGACATCCGCAGCAGCATGCTGGGGTCTGGAGTTGCCCATGAGAGTGCAAGGAGTCTTGTGGAGTCATGGGGTTCCTCCCAGATGCACCAACATGACACTGAAACGCAGCTTCACCAGGGCTCCCTTCCAATCTGACCTCATGACTGCTGTGAAGGGAAGGGACCTGCAGCTGGCAGGCAGGGAGAGCAGGGAGGCATTTCCAGCAGAGCCTTCCTGGGTGCCTGCTCGACAGTGAGGACAGCTGTGCAGGCTGCATCTGTGCAAGACAAGGGAGCAGCCCTTGTTCACACTGAGCAGCAGCAGCAGATCAAGATCATGCCAGGCATGGGACAAGTTAGTTTTGTGACCTTTGTCCATGACTCCAGATAATACTGTCATTCTGAATCACCTCAGTGTATGTCTGCAATTGAAGATATAGTGTCTGTTGTAGGTATACCTCAGTGTATATCTACATTTAAAAATGAGCCCTTTGCGGCTGAGCTCAGTGGCTCATGCCTGTTATCCCAGCACTTCAGGAGGCTGAGGTGAGTGGATCACTTGAGCTCAGGAGTTGAAGACCTGCTGGGTAACACAGTGAACCCTGTCTGTACAGTTTTTTTAAAAAAATTAGCCGGGCATGGTGGCAGGCAGCTGTAGTAGTCCTAGCTACCTGGGAGTTTGAGGTGGGAGAATTGCCTGAGCCTGGGAAGTTGAGGCTGTAGTGAACTGTGATCACATCACTGCACACCAGCCCTGGGTGATGGAGCCAGACCTTGTCTCAAAAAGAAAAACAAAAATCTACTTTTGCCACCACTTTGCCAATAGTGTAAACCAAGTGATCATGGTGATATTTCTGGTAGCCATTTTAGCAAAGAGTGTGACCGCAAATGAATTTGAAACTAACGGAAATACTTTGGATGTTGCAAACACTAAGGTGGCCTTGATCATAGTCATCCATTTGTAAACTGGTTCCTCAAAGGAAGCAAGATTTGTGACTGCCCAACTTCTCCTTGCCTGCTGCCTAGTCAGCGCTGATTTATTAAGACAGGCAAATTGCAATAGAGAAAGAGTTTAGTTCATGCAGAGGCAGCTGTACGGGAGACCAGAGTTTTACTATTACTCAAATTAGTCTCTCTGAAAACTCTGGGATGGTTTTTTAAAGAATAATTTGGTGGGTAGGGGGTCAGAAAGTGGTGAGTGCTGATTGATCAGATCAGAGATGGAATCACAGAGAGTTGAAGCTGTCCTCCTGCACTGAGATGGCTCCTGGGTGGGGGCCACAAAACCAGATGAGCCAAGTTTATTGCTTGGAGTGGTGCCACCTTTGCCCAGCACAGGGCCTGCAAAATATCTCAAGCACTGATCTTAGGTTTTACAATAGTGATATTATTCCCAGGAGAAATATGGGGAGGTTCAGACTCTTGCAGCCTTCAGCCGCATGACTCCTAAACCATAATTTCTAATCTTGTGGCTAATTTGTTAGTCCTGGAAAGGCAGGCTAGTCCCCAGGCAGGAAGCGGGTTTGTTTTGGGAAAGGGCTGCTACTGTCTTTGTTTCAAAATTAAACTATAAACTAAGTTCATCCTAAAGTTAGTTTGGCCTCTGCCTAGGAATGAACAAGGACACCTTGGAGGTTAGAAGCAAGATGAAGTCAGATCAGCTCTCTTTCACTGTCACGATTTTCTTAGTTACAATTTTTGCAAAGGCGGCTTCAAATTTGTAATCATGAACACTTAGTTCTACCATCATGGCAGCTGAATTGTTCTCAAAACCTGCAGCTCAGCTGGCTGGGGCTCTGAGTTCTAGTCACAAGATCAGAGAGCATGCAGGGATATGTGCAGGTTTCCACAGAAGTGAGCTCCAGGAGCAGTGGGGCAGAGCCTAGCTCCAAGAAGACCGGTTCCAAACAGTGCTGTTGGTGTGTGAATGGTGAAACACCAGGAGCTATGCTCCAAGAAGGCTGCTTCTGTTTATGATCTTGGGAATTTGAAAAGCATTACATCAAAGTGTTTATAGACATTTGTTTCAGCCCCCTGCTGTTGACTCTTTGCAATGGTCCCGTTTTGAGTGTAAATGTAACAGTTAAAAAATTGGTGTTGATCAGATTTTTCTTAAAACTTTCCAATATCCCCACATGGCACATGTATACATATGTAACAAACCTGCACGTTGTGCACATGTACCCTAAAACTTAAAGTATAATAATAATAAAATAAAAAAACTTTCCAATATCTATGTGTCTCCCTAGAATATTTCCTTTCTAAAGAGTAAGTTAAACTAAGTAGCTGCTATTTGGAAAATTTGCTGTGTCTGTAAAGGGTATGCTATTCAATCATCTAGCCATTTAAAAGAAACCACAAAGCCCAGAAGATGCATATTCTATACACAGAATGATTTTCTTCAGGATTAAATTTCTATTAATATGTTAATTCTGTGAAGTACTGTATTTCTACACGGTTACAACGTACTAATGGAGAAAATAAAAAGGGATAGTGAAGTGCCTTTAATTCCTGTCATAAGTCTAGTCCTGATTAGCTATCTATTCATATATTATTTGAATTATATATATAATTTGAATTATATATATAATTGAATTATATATATATTTGAATTATATATAATTAAATTATATATATAATTTAATTATATATAATTGAATTATATATATAATTTTATATATATTATATATAATTCAAATATATAAATATATGAAATAATATTCATATTTATTTGAATTATATATATATAATTCGAATTATATATATATAATTCAAATATATATATTTACATTTCTATGGACTTATGGACATTTGAACAGAAAATTAATTTTGGAAGTAGGTTCAGCTGGGTTTTAAGTTCAGCAAATGAGATCACCTCATTTTGGCTCGTGGTCTAACTGCCCCCCTTACAGGAGAACATCAAGCATTTGTTGACTTAGCCAGTGGGTAAAATATTAAAACTTTCAAACCAAGAAACCAAATATATTGTTTAGATAGTGATCATTTTTAAGCAATTAACTCATTACAGGGGTTACTCTGAAAGCAGCCAGATTTACTCTAACTGTGTACCTATTAATTTAGCCTTGGTGAGGGCGGCTGGATGACCGTGTGGCAGAGGACGGCTCCCAGCCCTTTAGTCTCCCACTGCATTCAACTCCCCCACATCCCGTTCTGGCCAGGGGTGACAGATGCTGAGCGCTTCACGGTTGCATTCCCAACTCAGGAGCAACACCGCATGTGTAAGGCCAGGGCCCTTCTAGAAATCACATCGTAAAATGGGTTTAGTCTAGCCAAAATGTCTCTCCTTGATTTTTCTGCCTTTCAAACTTTAAAGAATATCCTTGTCCTGTCACAGTGGCAGTTTCAACTCTTCATAATACTAAGGTGAGCAGAAACTTGTGTTATGCCCCTTTGACATAGCCTTGTGGGCTGGAGCAGAGGGAAGGGGATTCTTTTTGCCATGGAATGTAGCTTGCTTACGTAATTATTTGGGATGAATCCTTCTTGTAGCCTTAGAGTTTTTCCTCCTCTGAGATAATAGGGTGGCTCTCCATGGGTCCATTTGTTGCTGTGGTGATGCACCCAGTCCTCTTGTTGGTGCTTCTCTACTTCAGTAAGCCCCTTCCTGTTATCGTCCTGGTAAAAATGCCTGGAGGTACTAAAGAGCTAATAAATGACACCCATCATTCCTGTCATGTGATTGCTATTGCGTGTCTTGTGAGTGAGCATGGAGTTTGAGTTGTGCAGCTGCCCTAAGGGAACTCTGAAGAATGAGCCCCGATTCAGCAGCAGGAGTGCAGAAGAGGCTTCCACCTTTCCCTTATCCCAAACTTGGGGTGCTGGGATGCAGAAGAGCCCCAAGCAGCTGTGTCTTATTTGGACATTAGTGTAGGGACCTGATCATGCAGCCTTTATGTGTTTCAAAATAGAATTTAGAGCATCCTAGTAGCTCAGAATGATATTTTTAAAGATAACCCACTTGACTAGAATTGTCCTATGTTGGTTTTATTGTGTTTCTCCTCCCCCAGGAGCAAGATGGAGAAGTGTTTCTTGGAGCTACTTGAGTTTAATATTCATGTGTCTGCCAGTGTTTATGCAAAATATTACTTTGACCTGTGTGCCTTGGCAAATGACCATGACCTGTATTTTCTATTTAGCTTTCTTCACAAAGATAAAGCCCAGAAACTGGAGGTAAGGATGTGAAGTCACTTAGTGGAGTTTTCCATAGGCCACAAAAGCCAAAATCTGTTACAAAATCATATTAAGTAGTGATTTGGAAAATGAAAGCCTTAAAATTAACAGAGCAAAGAGCTTATTTCTTTGGCATCATATTTCTTATCTTTTATGGTCTATAGAAGGATCCATATTCTTAATTAATTAATTAATTAGTTTTTTTTGTTTTTTGAGACGGAGTTTCACTCTTTTTACCCAGGCTGGAGTGCAATCTCGGCCCACCACAACCTCTGCCTCCTGGGTTCAAGCAATTCTTCTGCCTCAGCCTCCCGAGTAGCTGGGATTACAGGCATATGCCACCACGACCAGCTAATTTTGTATTTTTAGTAGAGACTGGGTTTCACCATGTTGGTCAGGCTGGTCTCGAACTCCCGACCTCAGGTGATCTGCCCACCTTGGCCTCCCAAAGTGCTGGGATTACAGGCGTGAGCCACTGCGCCAGGCCAATGATCCATATTCTTAAAAATGTATTGATATTCTCTCTGCTATGACCATAATTCAGAATATTTTTAATTAAATTTAATCTGATTTTAATGGGCTTTGTTTTTAACCTCTATCCGTTCATACAACAATGCTTGAATAAATGCAATTGTATTCTTAATTATACCTATATACACAATGCAGTTACCACTCTTGACTGTCTTTTACTTACACAGTTTGCAAATTTATGTCATTGTCTACCGTATATATCACGGTGCAGTCCCATGAGTTTATTAGACAAAGCAGTAGTGGCTGAGAGACTTGTACTTAGACTGTATAAGGTGCCAGTGTTTCAAGTACTGGCTGTAGGAAGGACATGGGTTTTTAATGAAAATGGTAACTTTCATGGGGTAATGTAAGATTTATGGCTTCTGACCCTTGGTGAGTATACAGGAAAATTACAACTGAAATAGACATATATAAAATTGGCACTTTCTCTGGTATCTTGGTGATACTTTAGAATAATACATTTTTCTACCACAATGTGCATGTAAAGTAGCACCTTATGGTGCTTCAGTCATTAGACTTCTTGGATGTTCCAAATAGCCCAGAACAAACCTGTCTCATTAAAATTTGCTTTGAGTATATAGTAACTAACAAGAATTTGGTAGAATTTGAATCACTGAGTAAATCGATTTTTTGGCACAAGTGCATGTTTATTACATTGAAGGAACAAGTGCACAGGTAACAGATATTGTTGTTAGGAGCTTGTCACAATACTCTTGAAATCTTTGGGAGTCCTATTTTATTTTTTATGTGACTATCATCAAGCGATGAGCCCAATTTTAAAATAACTTAATAAAGTAAGTTCCTCTTGGCTCTGGCAATCTATTCATAGCCCTGGCAATCTATTCATAGCCCTTAAAGGAGATCACCTTAGTGAATGGGCAGGGAGTAGCATCCTCAGAACCTGGCAGTGTAAACCTCAGCCAAAGCAGTTGCAAAGGGACCATCTAAAGGAATCTGCATGTGTGGCTTCTCATCAGTGATGCCTTTTAAAAAATGCTGGAGCCCGGCCGGGCACGGTGGCTCAGGCCTATAATCCCAGAACTTTGGGAGGCCGAGGAGGGAGGATCACGAGGTCAGGAGATCGAGACCATCCTGGCTAACATGGTGAAACCTCATCTCTATTAAAAATACAAAAAATTAGCTGGGCATGGTGGCGGGCGCCTATAGTCACAGCTACTCAGGAGGCTGAGGCAGGAGAATGGTGTGAACCTGGGAGGCGGAGCTTGCAGTGAGCCGAGATCGTGCCACTGCACTCAAGCCTGGGCAACAGAGCAAGACTCCATCTCGAAAAAAAAAAAGTTGGAGCCCTTTTTAAAATTGTACCTGTTTTCTCTTTGACTTACTTTCCTAGGCTATGTCACGGCTGTGTGAATACAAAGACTTGCATCAAGATGCCGCTGCTTTGAAAAGGGTTATCAGCATGAATTTCATTGGTATTGGGTGCTCTAATGCCATCTTATCTTAAAGAGAAAAATTGGCCTTATAAGACCCTGAACTTCTCAACTGTAAAGACTAGAAAATATCACTTCTGCTGAAAGAAACAACAATATTAGGATTTTCTTTTTTTCTTCTTTGTTTTATTTGTTATTTTTTTGTTTGTTTGTTTGTTTAGGATTTTCATCAAGAGGAAGTATCTTCAAGTTAGCCACATTGTGGAACTGGGTGATGGTGGGATGAACAGTGGGTGCCAGGTGCTTCCTGCCCTTCCTCTTTCACTGGGTCCAGATGGCATTCCTAGGGCACCACCTTCTTGAACAACTCTTGGAGAGAAGGAGTGTCACATGGACACAGCACATCCCAGCTCAGAGTCCAGTCACCCAGTCTCAAGCAGGTGCCAGTGGTGTCCACAGTCACCCACAGTCCCTAGCAGGTGACAGTGGTCTGAGCTGAGCTGGAGCTAAAAAAACTTTAGAATTGGCTCCAGATTTGTGAGAGCACCTGGGTTTGGTTCTCTGTCCACTGAGGCACTGAATGCATGATGGCCCAAAACTCAACAATGTTGGGAAGAGAGAGTGGCATTGGGGCAAGACTGTCGTTACTCCAAGCACCAGGGTGGCTCAGGTCTGCTCATCTAGTCTTCGGAGGGAATCTGTGCATGTGAAATGAGGCCCCCACGTCATGGTTATAAAGGAAGAGATGAAATCAGCTCATCTTCTCCCAGGCTGATAATGGTCACTCCACCTAGGGAAGCAGTAAAAGACCTGGCCTTGGGATTGTTAGGGGAGCTACAGAAGTGAAAACTGAATTTACCCAGTTCCGGGAAAACAACAAAGGAGGAGCATCTGGGTTCAAAACCTTATCAGAAGATCATTTTCCCAGCTAATCTTGCCCCGATGCATTGTATGGTCTCAGCGCTTATCAACAAAACAAAAGCCTGTCTATAATTCTAACACTGGGACACACCGCACCTCACATTTTCCAGTGCACTGCAGTGGTTCAAGAGATTGCTGGTGCTGCCTGCATCTGTCTGTTTGCATATGGAGAGGAGCTGAGGTTCTCACGGGAGCGGCTTCTGCATCCTGAGGAAGTTTACTCACGCAGTTCTGGTTGTAATAACTGGTGGCAGCTACTGACATGCAGTCAACAATGGGACTCCTATGGTGCACAGGACTGCCCCCCTTGTCAATCAAGAAATAATTTTCTGGCTTCCAAAATAGAAGGTGCTGAGGAGCAACTGCCTCAGAGTCTACAAGGGAACCACTTTCTGAGACTTTCTTTTCTCTTACAAGAACACCAGATCCCCACCAATGTGAGATGTTAGATCAAGTTTTTGTGCAAGGGTGGATGTAGGGGGCAGAATCCTAAGATGCCCCATGATCTCTGCTGTCTTTTGTTACACCTGAATCCTCATCTTTTCTTGGGTATGGCCAGACCTGTGCCTTGTTCTAGACATTTGAATATGGCAAAGTGAGGGAGTGGCTCTCTGCGAGTTACCTTTCCTTTCCTTTTATCGGGAACTATAGGAATCCCTATTTTCTTTCTTGCGTTTACTTTCACAGTGCAGTGGTTTGGAATATCCCACCGTCAATTTGCGATTTCCTCCTCCAACCATAATCTATGGCCCTTTATATGTAATTGAATGTTTTCATGTATTGATATTTTGTCTGAAGATAAAATATTAGACTAAACATGTTAAAACATTTCATGCAAAACCTTCAGTGGTTGTAAAGTCTACTCTGGTGAATACACAAATTTATCTATTTTATATATTAAAAATTATATTAGTTGTGATAATATTTTCTTTTTTATCTTCACTTGTTAGATATAGTTACTTAAGTTTTTCCAAAATTAATGATATTGTATCTTATATTTGATTTAAAATACTACTAGGATATTTGGATTGATCGTTGAAAATAAATGGCAAAATAAGAATTGCTGAAACCTAGTGATAATGTACTTAGGATGGGTTTATTATCTATTATCTGTATCTTTGTTAAATGTTTACATTTCCATGAAAACCTATACCTAACAACTTAAAATTTTGTGTAAAATCCTTCGTGCCCTGCACTTAGGCTCCACTGCATAATGAATAAAAGGAAAATGGATTCTCCTGCGGGAAGTTCTGCTGGGCTCTCCCTTTCTTTTCCCTGCAACATACGGAGAGCATTTTGAGGTCTCCATGGGGTGAGGTGGCCGTGAGTGCCGGGAGGAGTGCATGTGTGGAGATGTGTTTCGTGCCCACGATTCTCCCTTGGGTCTTTCTGACTGTGGTGGTGGCTTTGAGGATGGTTTCTGAGGATCCTCTCCAGGGGAGCTCTCCGCTTGTGAGATCTCCATCTGGGGAGGGGGGAAGATGTCTGGGGAGGGATTTATGGGGTCGCCCCTGTGTGACAGAGGCGCCCTGTGCGGGGTCTCCGGGAAAGCATATTTTTAGGGGTGGCTGGGGGAAGCCATCGTCTGGGTGGAGGGTGGGGCCTAGTCTCCCCTGTAGGGGGGGCGGGATGTCTGAGGGAGTGCTGGAGGGTCCTCCTGTGAGTCGGGGTCGCTGTGCAGGGTCTCAGTACAGCCCTCGACCTGGGGAACTCATTGTGGAGACCCCGAGGTGGTTGGGGCGGGGAAGGGGGCAGCCTGGGCAGTTGCCGCAGTGTGTCAGTGTCGCTGATGCCAGGAGACAGGTTTGGGAGGAGTCTTTGGAGGGGAATAATTGTGGAGTCCCATGTTCCGGGCGGGGAACACTCGAGGGTGCTCCAAGGCCAGAGGTCAATGCGGGGTGCGCGTGAATAACCTAGGGGGACACTCAGGGGAATGATGGCTCCCCCGAGAGGTAAAGGGTGGAAAGAAGGGGCCTCAGCAGGTTAGGTCTTGCAGGGTCCTTCTGTAGGGCGTCTGGGAGATAGATCCGTGGGGCTCCTAGGGTCGCCCCTACCCGGCGCGGGGTATTTTCCCGTCTTCAGACCTTTCTGGGTCCCGGAGGAAGGAAGTGAAACTGGCATCGCTCTCTGCATCGCCCGGTGGACGCGGCCAGGAGGCCTGGGCTCCCGCCTGCCACACTTGGCGCTTGGCAAACTTAGTTCGGGGGAGTCGCGGGGCTCCTGGGCGGGGAAGCTCCTTGAGCCTTGGAGACAGTGGGGCCACCCCTTAAGGGCAGGCAGCAGGAAGGAACGGAGCTAGTTGCGCACCTCTGCATCCTTTTATTACGGAATTGGAATTGGGTTTACTTGGCCGACCGTGCGGAGCGGAGGGTGGGGTCGGCGCTCCCCCTCCTCCTTCTCTGCTGGGCTCAATTTCCAGCCCAGATCAGAACCCTTGGGGCGCCTGCTGAGGGGAGCGCGGCCTGGTGCGGGGGGCGGCCGCGGGCTCCCGGGGCTGTCAGGGGACATCTGCGCCCTGTGAGCTCCAAGCCCGCCCCACAGCTCCTGAACCAGCCAACACGGGCGCCCGGCGCAGTACGCGGACCCGCAGCCCCAGCTCCCGAGGTGGACAATTTTGCTCCAGAGCGAGCGGCGACAGGTAGGGCTACAAACAGAGGGAATGCGGAGGGCTGGCCAAAAAATGAAAAAAATAAAAGGCAATTTATTGAACGTGGTAGTCATGAAATGTGGAGTTTCGTATTAGATTTGAGTGCTACATTGGGTTTAGAATGAGTGACTACAATGCAGTTTTAGGGCTGGCGATAGACAACTGTAAAACTCCAGGAAACTGCGGATAGGAGAGTCGTTGATAACCTTTCTGTGAGATGGCTCTTTTGAGCTGTGTTTGATAAGAAATATGCCCAAACCTACGAGTACAGCTTTCACATTCCTAACAATCTGAGTCACTCTGAGTCAGAGTGGTCTTCAATAAATTACGATCATTTCCTTTGCTTTTCTGACCTGGTTAAACGAATCACATGGTTCCTGCCCATTAATACACCTGCATCACTAACCAAACCTTTGCGTGTTAGCTTGCTGCCTCCATTTTCTTTATTATGCTTTGAAATGGACAAGAAATAGATTTCATTTTTACAATCTGTGCCCTGGGTTTCTCAAAATCTTAAACAACCTTAGTGTATGTTGACCTGTTAATTTTTTAAAATGCTTTACTGGGGTATATTTTATATAATATAATCACATATTTTAAGTACAACTCCAGGCTATTTGGTATATTTATAGAGCCATGCGAGCTTAATTACCATCTAAGTTTAGAATATTTGTATCCCTTAAGAGGAAAATGCATCCTACTTGCATTCACCTTTGCCATGTCAGATCTAGACAACAATCAATTTTATGTCTCTATAGATGAGCCTATTATCAGAGTTTCTAATAGCCAGGATCATGAATTATGTGGTCTTTTGGGTCTGGTTCCTTTCGCTTAGCCTAATGTTTTTGGGTTTCATTTCTGTTGTAGTTTGCATCATTGCATCATTACATTATTCCTCTTGGATGGCAAGTGGAGTTCTATTGCATGGACATGACCACATGTTATGTGCATTCATATGAGCGTCTTTGTATGATTATAGGAATTTCCTTTGCATACTAACTTTGGGTTAGAATTTCTGTGTCCTATAGTGATTTTATGTGCAACATTTTGAGGGATAGCCACATTTTTATTTCGTATTGTTTTATTTTCAAGGTGGCAGAATATTTTACATTCCTATTTGCAGCATATGTGAGTTCCATATTCTCCACTTCTTTTCTAACATTTGTCATTGTATCTTTGGTATAGCCATTCTAGTGGGTGTCAACTAGTACTAATTGTGGTTTGATTTGTATTTTCTTAACAACTGATGAAATTGAGCAAATTGGCAAATTGTGTATCTTCTATGGAAAACATCTATTCAAATCTTTTGTCCATTTTTAATTGGTCAATTGTTGTTTTATTATTGACCGATAAGAGTTTTTTATATATTCTAGATACTAGCTTCTCTGAGTTTGGTTTTTAAGATTCCATATATAAATGAGATTTTATATAAAATATATATGATATATATATAAAATATATATGTGTGTGTGTTCTTTATAAACCCTAATATACCCAAATAATGTATACAATTTAAAATATTTTTCCCATTAAGCAGCATATGTTTTCATATTCTTTTTGATGTTCTAAAAACAAAAGTTTCCAATTCAATAAAGTATAATTTATTTTTTTAATAAAATTGTGCCTTTGGTGTAATATCTTAGACATATTTATGTAACCCAAGAATACAAATATTAACTATAAGATTTCTCCAAAGAATTTTGTCTTTAACCTCTTACATTTTGATATATTACCCTTTCTGAGTATTTTTGGGGGTCTGTGGTTTGAGTTAGGAGTCCACTTTTTCCTTTTGCAAAGTGTATATTTAATTTTCCCAGCAAAATTTTTTGAAAAGACATTTATTTTCCTTTTACAATTTCTTGGCATCTTTGACACAATCAATTTACCATAAATTAATGTGTTTATTAGTGGCCCTTCTATTCTATTCTGTTGGCCTACATGAATCTATACTTATGCTAGTACCAGACTATAACATTGCAGTAAAAATTGATACTGGATGGGTGAGCAAGGTGGCTAACACTTGTAATCCAAGCATTTTGGGAGGCCAAGGCAGGAGAATTGCTTGAGCCCAGGGGTCTGAGACTATCGTGGGCAACACACCAAGATCCCATCTCTACAAGAAAAAACAAATGTTAGCGGGATGAGTGGCATGCACTTGTAGTCCCAGCTACTCATGAGGCTGAGGTGGGAAGATCACTTGAGCCCAGAAGTTCCAGGTTGCAGTGAGCTGTAATCCTGCCACTGAACTCCAGCCAAGGTGACAGAGCAAGACCCTGTCTCTGAAAAAAAAAAAAAAAAGATATTGGCAGTGTAAGTAACTAAATTTTGTTATTCTTTTCAAAAAATGCATATATTTTATTTCCTTTGCGTATCCACATGCATTTTAGGAAGAGGTTTAAAATTTTTGTTGAAAAAACCTAGAGAATTTGCATTAAATCTATAGATCCAGCTTTTAGTATTTTGATATTAATATTAAGCATTGTTATTCTTGAATATTGATGTCTCTCAACATATTCAGTTCTTTGATTACTTTTAGCATTTTAAAATAATTTTTCACTATGATGTCATTGCTCTTATTTTCTTAAAGTTATTTCTGACTATTTCTTCCTTTAAGAGGCTTTTACCAATGGTATTTTTGTCTTCATTTAATTTTTAGATTGACTAATTTTATACAGTAGTACAATTTAAGTTTGTATGTTGATCTTGTATCTGATTGTATCTAATTAATTTATTAATTCATATAGGTTTTTAGTAAATTTCTTACAAATATTTATACAAAATCATGACATGTGAAATGACCTATTTCTTTTTCAATCTGGGGAGTGGGTAAGAGACGGGTTCTGCCTAGGCCTGGCCCTTCTTCCCATCTGGTCATTGTGTGAGGCCCAGAACCCATGGTGGGAGCTATGGAGAGGCACAGCCTCTGCCTGGGTCCCTGGGCCTGGAGGGGCAGGGCTGTAGGGAGATCCTGGCTCCCACTTAAGCTGGTTAGGATGGATGCCAGAGCTGTCCTGACGGGGCCCTGGGAGCACAGCAGAGGCCCTGGGGGGTGCCCTGGCGAGGTGGGCATGCTCCCTCTCCCCAGCTGAGCTGCCCTTGGCCTCTTGCTGCCAGCTCTGTTCCCCCTGGGAGAGACTTGGTTCCCTCCTGGCAGGGAAGGGGCTGTGAGGATGGGAAGGTGGAGCCACCAGCTTCTCAGTTGGAGCTCAGAGGCCTGGGGTACCAGTGCAGTTGTCCTCTGGGAGACAGTGATGGGGGGTTCCATCCACCTCCCTCTCACCATCACCAGTGACTCTCAGGAAGGAGGTGACTGTCAGGGCACCTGCAGGGGGCAGCAGGAACCAGAGGCCCCAGCTGGCCTCTAGGCCCAGAAGGCAGAGGAGATGCTCAGTGCCTGTGATTGGCAGACTGGGGCAGCCCCTCAGGGCCTGGGCCCAGCTCTACATCAGCTGTTGCCAAAGCAGTTCTGCCCAACCCTCTGGGGTGGAAGCTGAGCAGAGGACCCCCATTCAGGGCGCTTATGCTGTCAGCCAGTCTCCTAGGCCCTCAATCTTCAGGGGTGCAAGTACCCCAAATGCCGGGTTCTCCTGTCACCCAGTGGCCTTGCCAGGAGTGGCCCCTTTCTGGGGGTATAGGGAGATAGGCCCGAGTGCAGATAGCTGTGTTTTCTGGTATCCTGGAGCCACTGGGGCCTCCTGGCCCATAGCCGTCCTTCTGGCCAACCTTCAGCCAGATGCAAGGCAAGGGGAGTGCACCCTTCCTGGGGCAGCCCTGGTAAGTGTGGCCCATTGAAGCCCAAAGCCAGCTCGAGCTCCAGCCTGGGACCCACCAGCTGCATTAGAGCAAGGGTAGCGGCAGAGACTGGAGTGAGGAACACAGATGGCACCAGGGAACTGGCTACTTTGCTAACATGGCAGTCCTGAGACCCCAGGGCCCAGGAGAGGGTGGCACCAGGGAGCAGTGGAGTCCTCATGAACAAGTTGGCTACTCTCTCACTGGGGAGGTCCCCAGGGCTTCACCCAGAGATGATGAGACCTTCAGGGTTCTCCAGAGGAAGGAGGAGGGGCAGGACAGACCCTCATGGGTAAAAGGAGGCCTCTGGGGAACCAGCCACGTTGTTTTGAAATCTGATCAGGGGATAGATGCCCTCTGCAGGTGGTGGGCTCCCAGAGCTGGGGAGGGAGGATGGGGCCTGTGGCCACCTGGCCTTGTCTTCCCTCTCCTTATCCATGCCTCCCATTCTAGACACGCCAAGGAGCACAGGTTTCTCATCTAGGTCCAGGTCTCTGCCTCCCCACTTCTGGGATCTCAGAGCTCAAAACTGCTGCTTCACAGTGGGTGGGGGCCCTTCCTCCTTCTCCCCTCATTCCAGGGGCATACCAGTCAACACAGCCTTTCTCTGGGACCTTGTAGGGTAAGTTCCTCCTCCTATCTGCCCTTCCTCTTGCTGCTTCTTGAAAACCAATCGATCTCTGCCCCTCCTACTCCTGTCTGCTCAGTCATTAGTGTCAGGCAGTTTTTCACTGTGGGGCATGGCTGCTCACTTACCAAGAGCTTGGGGTTACCCTGCCTGGGAGCTGTTGGGTCGCCGGAAGGGAGAGGAAGTCCTTGTGCATCCTTGTGCTTCTTGGCAGTTTCATGGAGGGGTGACAGCAGATGCAGTTATTGAAGACTCTCAGTGGCTAGGGTTTTGGGCAGTGCAGCAGCCGTGGGGGTGTGGCTGTGGAAGGGAATCTGGTTTCCTTCTGACCGGTGTCCTTAGGTCAGACTCTGGACCTTTCTGAGCCTCATACACCCTTATTTGGGGTGAGAAGGAGGGGACCATATCTGAGCTCCCGGAGGTCCTATTTCTATGTCGTGGGATACAGGGGAGGGATAGTAGCTTCTCTCCATGTCCCTGGTATGCCTTTCTGTGCTGGCAAAACCTCTGTCTGAGGCTCCTGCTCCATGCTTCCAGTGGGTCATGTTTGGGCCCACACATTTCTGGGAAATGCACCCTAATCCCACTGCTGAGAGCTGGGTAGGGAAGAAAAGATGGGGCTGGCTGGGATGGGTGGATCTGGGTGCGCTGTTCTATCTGGAAGCTGACCCAGACTCTGCTCAGGGCTGAGACTTTTGAGCTCTCAGCCAAGCCAAGCCAAGCAGGCCTGCCTGGCTGATGGGCACACCCTGGGGTCCCAGGTCCCCATTTGCTCAATGGGCATCCAGGCAGGCCTGTGTTTGCTGGAGGGTTTCTGAGAGGAGGCCTCAGCTCCCAAAGGCAGGGAGGGGCTCTCCTTTGTTCCCCTGGTGCCTAGGTAGGAATGGAAAATTATGCCACCTACTCCCCACTCTCCTCACAGCCTGTAAGTTGGGGGATGGGGTGTAATTCTGCCATCAGTGGTCATTCTGGCATTTGAGAAGAGGGCTTATTTCACCTAGGCCTAGAAAGATGAGTGTGCATGCCTGAAAGAATGGAATATCAGGGGCAGCCTGGACAAAAGCACAGAGGTGGGAGGGCAGGGGCATGGTCTTCAGCCTTCTGTGTTTTGGCCCTTCTAGACCTGAGTGGGAGGCAGGAAGAAACTGAGGCTGGCTTTAGGTTGGTGCCTGAGAGTGCTGGCTTAGGAAGCTTGACTTAGAGAGCAGTGGGCTTATTAGAGGGGTTCCAAGTGGCAGTCTTGAAACAGGAGAAATGCCCATCCCAGGGCTTGGCCACAGAGGTAGGGGACCATGGGCCAGTTGGGAGATTAGGATTAGTGATTCAACAGGGAAGGGGGACCTACACAGAGCAGCGGCCAGTTTGTGGAGGAAGCTAAATTCCATTCCCACAAGACAAGTCTTCAGTGACGCTTAAGGGTCAGCCACATGTGATGCCTGGGAGGCAGCTGTCCCCTCCATCTGTAAAGCCTGATCAGGGCCAGGATTAGGATTTGCCATGGGAACTTCATGGTGGAAGGAGGATATTTGAAGCCATGGAGAGGATGAGGTGAGAAAGAGAAGAGGCTGGGCCCAGGCACATCCCCAGCTCAGGACTGGTGGAAGGGGATGGAGCCAGAGAGGGAGGGACAGGGGGATCATGTTGGTCAGGGAAGAGGAGGAGGGAGTGTGCAGTGGTGGGGGGTGCTGCTGAGAAGTCACACACATCAGGGCTGGAGAAGATCCTTGGGCTGGGCCCTAACAGTGGCATTGGTGACCCTGGGGAGAGTGCTTTGGGCAGTGTGCTCAGGTGGAAGCCATGCCATGGTGGGCTGAGGAGCAGCAGATGGGAAGGGAGGGCTCAGGATGTGGGAGGGAAGAGGCGGTGGACTGCAGGGGTGCTGAGGATGAGGTGGGACTGTGGGTTGGAGGCTCAGGAAGGTATGCAGACACTGTTCTATAAGGCACATGCCCCCCCAGGTGAAGTGAGGCAGACAGCCCTCCCTCACCAGCTAGGCCCATCTGATTCAGCTCCATCCTTGTCACCCCCAGAGCCACAAGGACTCCCCAGAGAACTCAAAGAAGGATGTTGGTGCAGCCAAGTCACCCAGAAAAGGTGGGCTGGATGAGGTCGATTTGGGAGATAATATCCCAGGATAGGAAGTCATTGTTATTCAGAACATGGTTTTGCTGTGAAGATCCTGGCCTCCAGGATAGAGTCCTTCTCTCACAGGTAAGGGGGAGGAAGGGATGCTGGAGACCAGGCCTGAGTCTGCTGGGAAGGATGAGGCTAAAGTACCAAGTCTTACCCATGCTCCTTCTGACCCCATGTCATAGGCAGGAAACGGAGAGTCCTGTGCCTTGCACAGGTGCCAAGACTAGCTCGGTCATGGAGACCCTAACCCAGTGGCACTAGAGGAATTAAAGGCCCACAGAAATACAGAGTGTGGAGTGGGAAATCAGGGGTCCCACAGCCTTCAGAGCTGAGAGCCCTGAACAGAGATTTACCCACATATTTACTGACAGCAAGTCAGTGATAAGCATTGTTTCTATAGATTATATATTAACTAAAAGTATTTCTTATGGGAAATAAAAGGATGGGCCAAAGTAAAGGGATGGGTCTGGCTAGTTATCTGCAGCAGGAGCATGTCCTTAAGGCACAGATAGCTCATGCTATTGTTTGTGGTTTAAGAACGCCTTTAAGGGGTTTTCCGCCCTTGGTGGGCCAGGTGTTCCTTGCCATCATTCCAGTAAACCCACAACCTTCAGCGTGGGTGTCATGGCCATCAAGAGCATGTCACAGTGCTGCAGAGATTTTGCTTAGGGCCAGTTTTGGGGCAGTTTATGGCCAGATCCAGGGGCCTGTTCCCAACATGTCCCCCTTCTTTATTTTGCAAAGAGATAAAAACAAAGGCAGCTTTGTCACAGTGAGCTACTTCTCACAGGAGTCAGGATCTGCATCTGCATACTACACAAAGACAAACAACACAGATTAAAAGCACAATCATCATTGAAATCATAGAGCTTCCAAGTGTTTTTGTCCATTTTAATGGATTACTAGCTGCTAACCCAACTGCAGCTCCTTCAAGTACTGCAGTTCCTGGCATTAAGGTCAGGTGTGCCTGGAATGCTTTAAATATTTGTTCTTTTAATTTTACAATATCCAAAGACAAATTTTTAGAGTGTGCTTCTAGATGCTTTTTATTCTTTCCTAAATTTTGTTCTTATTAAGAGTCATTAATAGTTTCCACAAATCCTTATGTTTAGGTCCTATAACAGGCCATATCATTTGAGGTTGAGGGGCCACTATACCACCATGGTGCCAGATAATAGGAACTCTTGCCATATTTCTTATCGTTTCTACCATCTGACCATTTTATTCAGACCAGCTGAACATAGTATGGCCATGGCATGCAGAGGGGTGCAATTCAATCTAAACAGCCCATTAGGGACAAATCAATAATGATTCCATAGGAATCGTTGCACCAGCACCTTTGCCTGTTCTGCAATGCAATCTTCCTAAACAAGTACATTCATTTTTTCTGCCCAGGTTCAATTCTGTTTACAAATAGGTTTTTGAGGCCAGTATGCCTCAATTGTAGGACCAGATTTATTATGACAAATACTGAGATCAGAAAGCATGCATAACTGTGTCATAGAGTGATTACATCCAGGCATTATTGCCAGCCAAGATTGATAAATATGCCCAATAAGTATAATTGTTCTCTGTGTCAGCCCTTGTTGAAGGAATACTCATGGCAATGGTGATCACCACTATCATAGCTACCGTTAAATTACTCATTGTGACTGGTTGTCCCTCTTTCCTCAGGTTTTCTTCCACCATCTGTGACAGCTTCTTGATCTGTCCCCAGGTGGGTGGCTGTGTTCAATGGGTGCTGCTCATGACAGTTGGGGTCCTCCTCAGTGTCAGTCTCGACATGACTGCAACCAGGGGTTCCTTGGGTTCTTCCTGGAATCTCTTCCTCAGCATCTGACTCATGATAAGGTTTCAGGTTTCTTGATGATATCCAAATCAGCTGTTGACTCAGTCCTGGAAAAACACAAGCATAACCTCTACCCTGTTATTATTTTACCTATTTCCCAACTTTTTGTTATCAGATCTCTCCATCAAACCAGTTGTTTTGCTTCTGTCTTTGCAGCTGGTTTCTATAGATGCTGTTCAGCTGCTAACATTTGGCCTTTAGGCACACTCAAAAAATTTAAAGTTAATAATGCTAGATTCAATTGTGTATGGGCTGTCCCATAATCCCTGTTCCCCCTTTCTGTTTTTGCAACTGCTCTTACAGGGAGAGATTCATTCTTTCTACTATGACTTGTCCTTGAGAATTATATGGGATACCAGTAATGTGTTTAATATCCATATAGAGAAAAATGTACTAGAGCTTGGCTAGTATAGCCTGGGGGAATTGTCTGTTTTAATAGAAGCTGGAATGCCCATCACTGCAAAACACTGCAAAAGGTGATGTTTAACACAGGCGGAAGACTCTCCTGGTTGGCATGTAGCCCAGACAAAGTGAAAAAAGGTGTACACACATACATGTACATAAGCCAGTTTCCCAAATGAAGAAACATGTGTGACATCCATTTGCCAAAGAGAACTAGATTCCAATCCTTGAGGATTAACTCCTCCTGTAAAAGATGAGGAATACACCATTTGGCAATTTGGGCATCATGGATAATAGCTTTAGCTTCTTTCCAGGTAATGCTGTATCTGCATTTGAGACCAGAGGCATTAACATGGGTTAAATTGTGAAAGTGTTTAGCATTAGATATTGCAATAGCAACTAGGCAATCAGCCATTTGTTTCCCTGCAGTCAAAGGTCCTGGAAGAGGTGTATGAGCCCTAATGTGAGTGTTGTAAAAAGGGTACATTTTACTCCTAACTGCTATTTGCAGTTGGGTAAATAAAGTTATCAGTTGTTCATCTGTATGAAATCATAACTGAGCATTTTCAAATAATTGTGTGGAATGAACCATGTATGAAGAATAAAAAATCACATTAATAGGCATATCAAAAGTGGTCAATACCTCAATTACAGCTACAAGCTCTGCTTTTTGAGCTGTAGTATAGGGCATCTGAAAAACTTTACCTTTTGAGCCAGAATAAGAAGCTTTACCATTACTAGACCCATCTGTTAAGACATTCTCAGCACCTTCAATTGGTTTAAATTTAATTATTCTAGAGAGGATCCAGTTAGTTAATTTCAAAAATTGAAACAGTTTTGTTTCAGGAAAATTATCAAGAATACCCACAAAGTTAGCTAAATGAGTTTGCCAAGTAAGACCATTTATAAAAGCTTGCTGTATGTTTGCCTTCATGAGGAGGACAATAATTTTTCTAGGATCATATCCATGTAATTTAACAATCTGAGTTCTCTCATTTCCTATCATAGTAGCGTTTTGATCCAAATAAGGAGTTAGAGTCCATGAATTAGTATGTGGAAGAAAAAGCCATTCTACTAAGTCCTGTTCTTGGACAATAACACCAGTAGGTGAATGCTGAGTTGGAGAAATTAGCAAATCTGGAGTCTTCTCTGGATCTATTCTATTTATTTGGGCTTTATGGACTTGCTTTTTGATCAACTGCAGCTCTGCCTCAGCTTCTTTTGTTAATTGCCAAGGGCTAGTGATACTAGGATCTCCTCTAAGAACAGAAAATAGATTACTCATGGCATAGGTAGGAATGTCTAGAGCAGGTCATATCCAATTAATGTCGCCTAGTAATTTTTGAAAGTTACTTAATGTTTTCAATCGATCCCTACATATAGTTACTTTCTGTGGCACAATGGTAGTGTCATTTACTAAGGTCCCCAAGTAGGAGTAAGGAGGAGTAGTCTGAATTTTGTCAGGAGCTATAATTAAACCAGTGTCAGAAATTGAATTTTGCAAGTGATCATAACACTGGAGTAATATTTCTCGAGTGGGGGCAGCACAAGATATATCATCCATATAATGAATAATGTAACACTGTGAAAATGTTTTATGAGTAGGTTTAATTGCTTGCCCTACATAAGTCTGGCAAATTGTTGGAATGTTTAACATGCCTTGTGGCAACACTTTCCAGTGAAAATGCTTAGCAGGCTGCAGGTTGTTTACTGCAGGAATTGTAAATGCAAACCATTCACAGTCTTGTTCAGCTAAGGGGATAGTAAAGAAACAGTCTTTTAAATCTATGACTTCTAATGGCCAATTTTTCAGAATCATAGCAGGAGAAGGCAATCCTGGCTGTAATGTCCTCATAGGTTGTATAACTAAATTAATATCTCTTAAATCAGTTAACATTCTCCATTTACCTGATTTTTTCTTAATTACAAAAACTGGAGAATTCCAAGGGGAAAATGTTGGAGCTATGTGTCCGTTTTCTAATTGTTCAGTAACTAATTCCTCTAAAGCCTCCAGTTTCTCTTTATTTAGCGGTCATTGTTCTATACAAATTGGCTTATCTGTTAACCATTTTAAAGGTATAGGTTCTGGAGGCTTAACAATGGCTGCCATCAAAAATGATATCCTAAACCTTGGCGGGAACTTTGTCTTTCCACTTGAAGCAGTTCCTTCAAACCTTGCAAATTTTTTTCCTAGTCCCATACCAAGGACATACTCCATTTCATGCATCATATTGTGACTCTGAGGGCTGTATAATTGCTCTGGAATTAGAATTGTCCTCCCCATTGTTGTAATAAACCTCTCCCCCATAAATTTATAGGTACAGAAGTTACAATTGGTTGAATAGTCCCAGGTTGTCCATTGGGCCCTTCACAATGCAAAATATAACTACTTTGATACACTTCAGGGGCTTTACCAACTCCAACTATGTTAAATTGAGTGGGTTGAATTGACCACACAGATGGCCAGTGCTGTAGAGAAATGCTTGAAATGTCTGCTCCTGTATCTACCAGACCTTTAAATTTCTTTCCCCGAATAGTTATTTCATAGGTAGGACACTTATCAGTAATTTGATTCACCCAATAAGCTGCTTTGCCTTGTTTATTTGTGCTTCCAAATCCTCCTTTTCATTTAATTTCACTTTTCCTCATTTCCACATACAGCACAATCAGGAGCTGTGCTATACGCTCTCCTGGCTCTGCTTTCCAGGGAACAGAAGTAGATAAAACAATTTGAATTTCCCCATTGTAATCTGAATCAATGACTCCTGTATGTACTTGTACCCCTTTTAAATTTAACCTAGACCTTCCTAGAAGTAATCCTATAATCCCCGCTGGCAAGGGTCCATAGATCCCTGTTGGAACTTTTTGTGGGGGTTCCCCAGGCAGAAGCCTTACAGCTTTTGTGCAGTGTAAATCTACTGCAGCACTACTGGCTGTGGTGGGGGACAGACATTGTACAGGGGTGAGGGAATGGCCTGAGCTGGAAATGTCCCAGTTTGGAACAGGGCCTGGGATGGGCCCCTCATGGCATTTCCCAAAATCGGGTTCCCATCTTTATCAAACTTAGAGTGACACTCATTAGCCCAATGTTTTCCTTTTTTGCATTTTGGACATATTTCAGGCTCAGCAGTTTTCTTTTTTCCCCTATCTGGTGGCCTGACTCGCTGATTTTTTCTACATTATTTTTTAGTATGACCATGCTTCCCACAGTTAAAACAAGCTCCAGGAAATGGAGTATTTCCTTTACTCAGTTTCAGTCCTGCCATTGCCTGGGCTAGCAGAGCAGCCTTATGCAGATTACCTCTGATACCATCACAGGCCTTGATATAATCAACTGAATGTGTTTTCTGTCTAACAGATTGCAGAGCAGTCTGGCAATCGGGATTAGCATTGTTGAAAGCTGATAACTATAACACTATATCCTGCAATCACCTTTGTAAGAGACTCCTGTAACCAAGCTATAAAGTCTGCTTACAGTTCTTTTGGTCCCTATTTTACAGCACTAAAGGAAGGGAATTGCTCTGCTCCTGAAGTAATTTTTTCCCAATCTCTAATGCACACTCCTCTAAGCTGCTCTATGGCATTATCCTGCATGACCACTTGTGCATCTAAACCAGCCCAGCTGCCAACCCCCAAAAGTTGGTCTGCAGTTATATTAATTTGAGGTTAGGCCTGGGTGTTGTGAGCAGCCTGAATGGAAGCTTCATCTGCCCACCAAGTTTTAAATTGTAAGAATTGAGCGGGAGTTAAACAAGCTCGAGTAAGAGCATCCCAGTCAGTAGGAATCATCCAAATGGAAACAGCAACATTCTTTAACAGTCCCATTACAAAAAGAGAACCTGGTCCATATTGATAAATAGCTTGTTTAAATTATTTGAGTAATTTAAAAGGAAAAGGCTTAAATGTAGCTACAATATTTCCCTGTTGATCTGGGGGGTATATTCTAACAGGGAATTGCCAAGCCTCTAAATCACCCTCTCTTCTAGCTTGCTGAATTCCTGTCTGAATAAAACTGAGAGCAGTCACTGGAGGCACTGCTTGAAAAGTCACTAGAGCTAATACTTTTCATCCAGTGTCCTCCAGAAAAGAAAGATCTGGAGGGTCAGGCCACTCTTTTTCTTCAAAATAATGAGGTGGTGCAGAAGGGTAGGGATGAACCTCTTCCTCCTTTGCTGCTTTAGCTTTAGCTGGCAAACAAACCTGCTCTGTTTCTTCATTATACTGTCCTTCCTCCTCATCATCAGTGTGAAAAGGTTCCAAGGTGGAATGAACCAGAGCCCACACTTGCCCCATTGTTACCCTGATGCTTCCAAGCTCCCCTTCTCATTCACCATGAGGATTGCTTAAGAGTACTTGGGTGAAGATGGCCGAATAGGAACAGCTCCGGTCTACAGCTCCCAGCCTGAGTGACGCAGAAGATGGGTGATTTCTGCATTTCCATCTGAGGTACTGGGTTCATCTCACTAGGGAGTGCCAGACAGTGGGCGCAGGTCAGTGGGTGCATGCACTGTGCGTGAGCCAAAGCAGGGTGAGGCATTGCCTCACTCGGGAAGCACAGGGGGTCAGGGAGTTCCCTTTCCTAGCAAAGAAAGAGGTGACAGAGGGCACCTGGAAGACTGGGTCACTCCCACCCAAATACTGCGCTTTTCTGATGGGCTTAAAAAATGGCGCACCAGGAGATTGTGTCCGGCACCTGGCTCGGAGGGTCCTATGCCCATGGAGTCTTGCTGATTGCTAGCACAGCAGTCTGAGATCAAACTGCAAGGCCGCAGCAAGGCTGGGGGAGGGGCGCCCGCCATTGCCCAGGCTTGCTTAGGTAAACAAAACAGCCTGGAAGCTGGAACTGGGTGGAGCCCACCACAGCTCAAGGAGGCCGGCCTGCCTCTGTAGGCTCCACCTCTGGGGGCAGGGCACAGACAAACCAAAAGACAGCAGTAATCTCTGCAGACTTAAGTGTCCCTGTCTGACAGCTTTGAAGAGAGCAGTGGTTCTCCCAGCACACAGCTGGAGATCTGAGAACAGGCAGACTACCTCCACAAGTGGGTCCCTGACCCCTGACCCCTGACCCCTGAGCAGCCTAACTGGGAGGCACCCCCGAGCATGGGCAGACTGACACCTCATATGGCCAGGTACTGCAACAGACATGCAGCTGAGGGTCCTGTCTGTTAGAAGGAAAATTAACAAACAGAAAGGACATCCACACCAAAAACCCATCTGTACATTATCATCATCAAAGACCAAAAGCAGATAAAGCCACAAAGATGGGGGAAAAACAGAGCAGAAAAACTGGAAACTCTGAAAAGCAGAATGCCTCTCCTGTTCCAAAGGAACACAGTTCCTCACCAGCAACAGAACAAAGCTGGATGGAGAATGACTTTGACAAGCTGAGAGAAGAAGACTTCAGATGATCAAATTACTCTGAGCTATGGGAGGACATTCAAACCAAAGGCAAAGAAGTTGAAAACTTTGAAAAAAATTTAGAAGAATATATAACTAGAATAACCAATACACAGAAGTGCTTAAAGGAGCTGATGGAGCTGAAAACCAAGGCTCGAGAACTACGTGAAGAATGCAGAAGCCTCAGAAGCCAATGCGATCAACTGGAAGAAAGGGTTCAGCGATGGAAGATGAAATGAATGAAATGAAGCAAGAAGGGAAGTTTAGAGAAAAAAGAATAAAAAGAAATGAGCAAAGTCTCCAAGAAATATGGGACTACGTGAAAAGACCAAATCTACGTCTGATTGGTGTACCTGAAAGTGACGGGGAAAATGGAACCAAGTTGGAAAACACTCTGCAAGATATTATCCAGGAGAACTTCCCCAGTCTAGCAAGGCAGGCCAACATTCAGATTCAGGAAATACAGAGAATGCCACAAAGATACTCCTCGAGAACAGAAACTCCAAGACACGTAATTGTCAGATTCACCAAAGATGAAATGAAGGAAAAAATGTTAAGGGCAGCCAGAGAGAAAGGCTGGGTTACCCTCAAAGGGAAGCCCATCAGACTAACAGCGGATCTCTTGGCAGAAACTCTACAAGCCAGAAGAGAGTGGGGGCCAATATTCAACATTCTTAAAGAAAAGAATTTTCAACCCAGAATTTCATATCCAGCCAAACTAAGCTTCATAAGTGAAGGAGAAATAAAATACTTTACAGACAAGCAAATGCTGAGAGATTTTGTCACCACCAGGCCCACCCTAAAAGAGCTCCTGAAGGAAGCACTAAACATGGAAATGAACAACCGGTACCAGCCGCTGCAAAATCATGCCAAATTGTAAAGACCATCGAGCCTAGGAAGAAACTGCATCAACTAACGAGCAAAATAACCAGCTAACATGATAATGACAGAATCAAATTCACACATAACCATATTAACTTTAAATGTAAATGGACTAAATGCTCCAATTAAAAGACACAGACTGGCAACTTGGATAAAGAGTCAAGACCCATCAGTGTGCTTTATTGAGGAAACCCATCTCACGTGCAGAGACACATATAGGCTCAAAATAAAGGGATGGAGGAAGATCTCCCAAGCAAATGGAAAACAAAAGAAGACAGGGGTTGCAATCCTAGTCTCTGATAAAACAGACTTTAAACCAACAAAGATCAAAAGAGACAAAGAAGGCCATTACATAATGGTAAAGAGATCAATTCATCAAGAAGAACTAACTATCCTAAATATATATGCACCCAATACAGGAGCATCCAGATTCATAAAGCAAGTCCTGAGTGACCTACAAAGAGTCTTAGACTCCCACACATTAATAATGGGAGACTTTAACTCCCCACTGTCAACATTAAACAGATCCACGAGACAAGAAAGTCAACAAGGATACCCAGGAATTGAACTCAGCTCTGCACCAAGCAGACCTAATAGACATCTACATAACTCTCCACCCCAAATCAAAAGAATATACATTTTTTTCAGCACCACACCACACCTATTCAAAAATCCACCACATACGTGGAAGTAAAGCTCTCCTCAGTAAATGTAAAAGAACAGAAATTATAACAAACTATCTCTCAGACCACAGTGCAATCAAACTAGACTCAGGATTAAGAATCTCACTCAAAACCGCTCAACTACATGGAAACTGAACAACCTGCTCCTGAATGACTACTGGGTACATAACGAAATGAAGGCAGAAATAAAGATGCTCTTTGAAACCAATGAGAACAAAGACACAACATACCAGAATCTCTGGGACACATTCAAAGCAGTGTGTAGAGGGAAATTTATAGCACTAAATGCCCACAAGAGAAAGCAGGAAAGATTCAAAATTGACACCCTAACATCACAATTAAAAGGACTAGAAAAGCAACAGCAAACACATTCAAAAGCTAGCAGAAGGCAAGAAATAACTAAGCAGAAGTGAAGGAAATAGAGACACAAAAAATCCTTCAAAAAATTAATGAATCCAGGAGCTGGTTTTTTGAAAGCATCAACAAAATAGATAGACCACTAGCAAGACTAATAAAGAAAAAAAGAGAGAAGAATCAAATAGATGCAATAAAAAATGATAAAGGGGATATCACCACCAATCCCACAGAAATACAAACTACCATCAGAGAATACTACAAACACCTCTATGCAAATAAACTAGAAAATCTAGAAGAAATGGATAAATTCCTCAACACATACCCTCTCCCAAGACTAAACCAGGAAGAAATTGAATCGCTGAATAGACCAATAACAGGATCTGAAATTGTGGCAATAATCAATAGCTTACCAACCAAAAAGAGTCCAGGACCAGATGGATTCACAGCCGAATTCTACCAGATGTACAAGGAGGAACTGGTACCATTCCTTCTGAAACTATTCCAATCAATAGAAAAAGAAGGAATCCTCCCTAACTCATTTTATGAAGCCAGCATCATCCTGATACCAAAGCCCGGCAGAGACACAACCAAAAAAAGAATTTTAGACCAATATCCTTGATGAACATTGATGCAAAAATCCTCAATAAAATACTGGCAAACAGAATCCAGCAGCACATCAAAAAGCTTATCCACCATGATCAAGTGGGCTTCATCCCTGGGATGCAAGGCTGGTTCAATACACGCAAATCAATAAATGTAATCTAGCATATAAGCAAAACCAAAGACAAAAATCACGTGATTATGTCAATAGATGCAGAAAAGGCCTTTGACAAAATTCAACAACCTTCATGCTAAAAACTCTCAATAAATTAGGTATTGATGGGACGTATCTCAAAATAATAAGAGCTATCTATGACAAACCCACAGCCAATATCATACTGAATGGGCAAAAACTGGAAGCATTCCCCTTGAAAACTGGCACAAGACAGGGATGCCCTCTCTCACCACTCCTATTCAATATAGTGTTGGAAGTTCAGGCCAGGGCAATTAGGCAGGAAATGGAAATAAAGGGTATTCGATTAGGAAAAGAGGAAGTCAAATTGTCCCTCTTTGCAGATGACATGATTGTATATCTAGAAAACCCCATTGTCTCAGCCCAAAATCTCCTTAAGCTGATAAGCAACTTCAGCAAAGTCTCGGGATACAAAATCAATGTACAAAAATCACAAGCATTCTTATACACCAACAACAGACAAACAGCCAAAACATGATTGAATTCCCATTCACAATTGCTTCAAAGAGAATAAAATACCTAGGAATCTAACTTACAAGGGATGTGAAGGACCTCTTCAAGGAGAACTACAAACCACTGCTCAAGGAAATAAAAGAGGATACAAACAAATGGAAGAACATTCCATGCTCATGGGTAGGAAGAATCAATATCGTCAAAATGGCCATACTGCCCAAGGTAATTTACAGATTAAATGCCATCCCCATCAAGCTACCAATGCCTTTCTTCACAGAATAGGAAAAAACTACTTTAAAATTCATACGGAACCAAAAAAGAGCCCGCATCACCAAGTCAATCCTAAGCCAAAAGAACAACGCTGGAGGCATCACACTACCTGACTTCAAACTATACTACAAGGCTACAGTAACCAAAACAGCATGGTGCTGGTACCAAAACAGAGATATAGATCAATGGAACAGAGCCCTCAGAAATAACGCCACATATCTACAACTATCTGATCTTTGACAAACCTGAGAAAAACAAGCAATGGGGAAAGGATTCCCTATTTAATAAATGGTACTGGGAAAACTGGCTATCCATATGTAGAAGGCTGAAACTGGATCCCTTCCTTACACCTTATACAAAAATCAATTCAAGATGGATTAAAGACTTAAATGTTAGACCTAAAACCATAAAAACCCTAGAAGAAAACCTAGGCATTACCATTCAGGAGATAGGCATGGGCAAGGACTTCATGTTTAAAACACCAAAAGCAACGGCAAGAAAAGACAAAATTGACAAATGGGATCTAATTAAACTAAAGAGCTTCTGCACAGCAAAAGAAACTACCATCAGAGTGAACAGGCAACCTACAAAATGGCAGAAAATTTTCGCAACCTACTCATCTGACAAAGGGCTAATATCCAGAATCTACAATGAACTCAAACAAATTTACAAGAAAAAAAAAAACAACCCCATCAAAAAGTGGGCAAAGGACATGAACAGACACTTCTCAAAAGAAGACATTTATGCAGCCAAAAAACACATGAAAAAATGCTCACCATCACTGGCCATCAGAGAAATGCAAATCAAAACCACAATGAGATACCATCTCACACCATTTAGAATGGCAATCATTAAAAAGTCAGGAAACAACAGGTGCTGGAGAGGATGTGGAGAAATAGGAACACTTTTACACTGTTGGTGGGACTGTAAACTAGTTCAACCACTGTGGAAGTCAGTGTGGCGATTCCTCAGGGATCTAGAACTAGAAATACCATTTGACCCAGCCATCCCATTACTGGGTATATACCCAAAGGACTATAAATCATGCTGCTATAAAGACACATGCACACATATGTTTATTGTGGCATTATTCACAATAGCAAAGACTTGGAACCAACCCAAATGTCCAACAATGATAGACTGGATTAAGAAAATGTGGCACATATACACCATGGAATACTATGCAGCCATGAAAAATGATGAGTTCATGTCCTTTGTAGAGACATGGATGAAATTGGAAATCATCATTCTCAGTAAACTATCACAAGAACAAAAAACCAAACACCGCATATTCTCACTCATAGGTGGGAATTGAACAATGAGAACACTTGGACACAGGAAGGGGAACATCACACTCTGGGGACTGTTGTGGGTTGGGGGGATGGGGGAGGGATAGCATTGGGAGATATACCTAATGCTAGATGATGAGTTAGTGGGTGCAGCGCACCGGCATGGCACATGTATAAATATGTGACTAACCTGCACATTGTGCACATGTACCCTAAAACTTAAAGTATAATAATAATAAGTAAATAAATAAATATATTTTAAAAAAAAGAGTACTTGGGTGTCCTCCAGCTTAGTTCCAAGTTCTTCAACTGTCGCTCTGGTGACCCTTTGACCTGGGTTCGAGCTTCGATGTTGGGTGCTGCTTGCCGAGACCAGCTCGGTCATGGAGACCCTAACTCAGCAGCACTAGAGGAATTAAAGACACACACACAGAAATATAGAGTGTGGAGTGGGAAATCAGGGGTCCCACAGCCTTCAGAGCTGAAAGGCCTAAACAGAGATTTACCCAAATATTTATTGACAGCAAGCCAGTGATCAGCATTGATTCTATAGATTATAGATTAACTAAAAGTATTTCTTATGGGAAATAAAGGGATGGGCCCAAGTAAAGGGATGGGTTGGGCTAGTTAATCGCAGCAGGAGCATGTCCTTAAGGCACAGATAGCTCATGCTATTGTTTGTGGTTTGAGAATGCCTTTAAGGGGTTTTCCACCCTGGGTGGGCCAGGTTTTCCTTGCCCTCATTCTGGTAAACCCACAACCTTCAGCGTGGGTGTCATGGCCATCATGAGCATGTCACAGTTCTGCAGAGATTTTGCTTAGGGCCAGTTTTGGGGCCAGTTTATGGCCAGATTTGGGGGCCTGTTCCCAACACCCAGGGACATTCAGCTGGTGTGCTGGACGTGGGAATGGAGTCCAGACTCAGGTCACTGCCCCACTGCTAGAAGACAGCTACCAGCTGGACCTGCCAGGCCTGTTTGGGGAGAGGAGTGGGAGTGACTGGCTGGTGGGAGAGGGGTCCCAGGACTCCCAGCCTCTTGCTCTGTGCCCTGAGGCAAGTCACCTCTCTCTGGGCCATGACTTCACCATCTGCCAGAGGGGAGGTGGTGTTGGGTGATCTCCAAGGGCAGAGCCAGCCCAGAGGTGTTGCATGCTTTTAACTCAATGGGGAACCAGGCAAAGCCCTCTCATGTCCTCTGTGTCCCCAGGGTTGGGCCTTGGAGTGCCCCTAATGGAAGGTGAAAGCCATTTTTCCTGGGGCCATTAGTACCGGTTTAGGGAGGAGACAAGGCTGTTCTTTTCCCTCCCCTTGTTCTTCCATCTCCCCCTACTCTGCTCAGGTGTTACTCTTGGGCTCAGGAATAGCCAGCAGGGCCGGGCTCCATCCAGCACACACATATGAGTAGGTGGACTTGGTGTGTACAGCCAGAACCTGGAACGTAAGCCAAAAAGTGGGAAACTGAGCATGTTGGGTATTTATTCTTGGGACCTGGGTATTTTGGGCTGGGGACAAGGGAGCATGTCCTTTCTCCCTGCCATATGTCCTCTTCCCCAAGGTACTGGGGGCCTTATCACTGGCAGAAGTCTTACCCCAGGAGATCAAGCAGGAGATCCACCAGGTGCTCATGGACCATGGAGTCCCATGTCATTACACCTGCTTCTTGCTGCACCCAGAAGACAGCACACTGGAGCGCTTCTTAGTTCTGCACAGCATCCAGGGGCTGCAAGAGGACTCAGTGCTGTGCAAGGTGGAGGTTTGTCTGGAAGTTGGGTGGCCTGATCAGGGGAGGGCTCCTGGAGGTCCCTGCCCTTTTGGGGTCTCTGTGTCACAGATTAGCACATCAGGGCAGGATTGGAGCACAGCTCTGCCTCTCAGGCCATCACACCTGCACCCTCCAAATTCATGGCCCATGGGTTAAAAAACAGTCATGAGGCTAAAAATATCGGGGAGTACCAAGCCAGGCTGGAAATCAGCCCGATGGAATTCTGTAAGTATAAATGACATTCATTTAAGAAAACCAAAAAGCCTCACAGCTCCTGAGTGCAGAAGTCGGCCTGATCCAGCACAATAAGCAGGTGTGGTGAGACTGGCTTGGTTGTAAACTCTGCTCTCGTGGACTCAGAGCTTCTTTGGGAAGAAGCCGCTCAGGATCCCAGGGTCTCTCTGCTTGTTAAGAGCAATTGTGGAAAAGGTCTATAGTTCAACGGCACACAGAGTTGATCATAGAACCTCTCTCCTCCCCCTAAATAACTGCAATTCCAAATCCCAAGAAACACATGGAGGGGCAGTGTTCAAACTGGGGACCCTGGGAAGTCCCCAGGCCACCCCTGCATGGGGGCTGCCCCATGACAGCAGTGCGAGGTTGTGGAGACCCTGAAGCTCTGACGGCCCTGCCCACCTGAGACACAGGTCCACACAGAGGAGGTGGCCTTGTGGGCTCCCCAAGCCCTGGGTGTCCTCTAGAGGCATTTGGGAGAAAGTTCTTTGCCAACAAGGATCCCTGCTTGCCAGCAGGCAGATGGTGTGTGTGTGTGTGTGTGTGTGTGTGTGTGTGTAAACCAGAATTCCAGTGTTCATAGTGAAATTTGAAAATGAAAGCCTAAAGCTGAAAATTAAACCATGCATGATAACACACCCGCAAACTCTGCTGTGTGCTAGGCGGGCTGTTCCAGAGTGCAGGTGCCTGGGAACCCCCCCACCACGCCACTTCCTGACAGAGCCCTATACCATGTGTGAGGCCCACATCCAAGTGGACCAGGGTGGAAACCTATGCAAGAGCATGGACCCCGACCCATCTGATGCCTCCAACAGGGCTGAGGGTAGCTTTTTGTTCTTCCTGAGCATTTTCACTGGGGGTGACCTGGGAGTTGCACGAGGCACTGGGGTTGGGAATTGGGCAGAAGAGCAAGGAGCATGGGGGCCAGGGACTGACGAAGGGGCTGAGGACCAGGGCTTCCCACTGGAGTCGTCTGGGGAGGCACCAAGACCAGGACCACATTTAGGAAGACAGAAAGCTGGCCCTGGATGTCCTTACCTTGTGCTGACCAGTGACCATGGGGCCCTCAGAAGGGCTTGAAGATGGAGCCCCTCGGTGGCACACCACCTGAGTACATCCATCCAGGGAGCCAGGAGTAGCCATGGTGTCTTGTGCAGTCCCAGAACTGTGACTGGAATGGAAAATTTCCGGGGGTAGCAAGAAAGAGGCTCTTCACTGGGATGGAGGGCCACACTCCAGGAGGCCTGGTGCATTCACACTTGGCCATGCCTGCATCCTGCGCAGTGCCTGAAAGTGCTCACCAAAAGCAGCCTGAACCCACCTTCTGGGGACCTCATGTGCTTGTTGGTGATCATGGCTGAGGACCTACAAGGCTGCATGACCGCATACACATGAGGCTTTCACCTCAATCAGTGAGTCCCTGCCAGCCAGCCATAACCCCCTGACATGTCACTGGTTCTGGGTCTGTGGGTAGATACCCAGCCATCTGCTCAGTGACCACCCTCTCCTTGTAGATCCATGGCCTCTCACCACAACCCCAAACCTACCAGAGCCACTTCCGAAGCCCTTCCCTAGCAGAGCTGCTTAACCGTATCAGCGGGACCTGCAGAAACCACTTTGCAGGAATGCAGAAGTAAAGGTGGTGCCTGTGTCATTTCTGCCCTGCCTTGTCTCATGCACATGGAGGAATGGGATGAACCAGCCAGCCTGAACTCCAGGGCATCCACCCGAAGAAACAGTCCCCAGCCCCTGGTGACTGATTCCCCCTCTAGGAAGTCATCAGCCAGCATGGGAGAGGGCAGTCTTGGGAGAGGAGCTCATTTGCTTCTGTCTGACTTCAGGGCAGTGTCTCAGGGTGTGAAGAACCCACAGCAGGGAGGTCTCGGAGCAGAAGGGGTCCATGGCAGGGCACTGAGCTTTGTGGGCTGCCCCATCTCCCCATCCCCTACCTGCCACAGTGTCCAGAGGAATGGCCACCTTGTTCTAGATGTGCAGCTGGATGACCCCAAGGGAGAACACAACATGGACTGCGTGTGCACACAGGAAACCTCCACCTCGAGGCTGGGCTGCAAGGAGCACATTTCTGGACTGGGGCCTGGGGCCTCACCCTGTGCTCACCAAGCACCCCCCTCCCTCCTGGGTGCCAGACGGTTCTGTTCACTCTCCTGTAGTCTCCATGCTGGGCTGTTCATTAGGGCATCTGGGCCTGTCCATGGGGAGGTGGAAGAAAGGACATCGCAGAGGAGGTCTCAGCCATGGGTGAGCCCGCATCTCCCTCCCTGGCTCCCGTGCAGACCCGGGCCTGGAGTGAGAAGTTCCAGACGATGAGGAAGCTGCTCCCCAAGGATCTGCTTGAGCTGCTGTTTCAAAAAGGGCCATATTGAAGGTACCCACAGCGTCTGGTGAGTGCTTGGCAGCCTCAGACCCACCTGCCACCTGCGGCCAGGTTCTTCTGTGGAGAGGTGGAAAGTGAGGGAAGCTGGCACAGGCCCAGCCCTGTCAGGTGCCCTGAAGGCTAGTCAGGGTCCCCTGCAAGGCCTTCTAGCCTTCTGCTTCCTGGAGAGGCCTTTTTCTGGCCTCTCTGAGTCTCTGGGTGGAGAGGGCCCAATTTCTCTCTTGCCCTCCACTAACCACCATGGGGCCCACACCTGGGCCCATGCTGCCCAGCCATGGTCCTTTAAGGGCAGGATTTCATTTGCATAGGACGTTTGGCTTGCTGGTGTTTAAAAGTTACTAGTGCTGTTGCTAAGAGAAATGAGGAAAAATTGCTGCTCAGTAAAACTCTCATAATCTTACTTCCTAGAGATGATGATGGAAGAAGTAGGAGCTGCAATTTCTTGGGTTCTGACTTTACCAGGGATGGCGCAGCTTCTTTCTACACACAATATTCTATAATCTTTTGGACATCTTGTAAATGTCAATACTTTTATTGTTACTGTTTTTGTTGTTACTCAGGGATGAGGAAACTGAGTCTGAGAGGTTCCTGCCCAAGCCCACCTGGCACACAGCTGCTGGATGCCAAACCTGCTTCAGCTCTCACACTCCTCATTCATCACTAAGCGCTGCCGTCTCCTTGTGTTCAGTTTTTTCAAAAAACGGTTTTCTTGCCCTTTTCTAAATATGAAGAGACTGAGGCTAAGGTCCCTGGGCTCCCAAGGCAGGCCTAATTGCCTCCACCATCTAGGTGAGCTTGGCCAGGTAGATACAGCCTGAGGTTCCTGTGAGTGGGATCCCAACAAAAGTTCCAAAGGGCCAGTTATCTTTACATAGGACGCCAGCAGAGAATTTTGTTACACTGGAGGAAAGAAAAGGAGACCTTGAGGAATATGGTCATGATCTTCTCCATACTGTCTTCAAGAATGGCACGGTGACAAAAAGCTCTTCATTTGATGAAATAAGAAAAAAATGCACAGGTGAATATTGAACTGGAAGCAGCACCTCATTAGGCTTTGTTTTATGACTGGGTGTGTGTTGCGTGTATGTGTGTGTGTGTATGTGCATGCACACACACATACACCTGTGTGTGAGTATCTAATACATGTTTATTGTACAGATGTGTGGGGTTTCTTTGTGTCTTATGATACATTACAGCCAAATTATTTGTTGGTTTATGGACATACTGCCCTTTCATTTTTTTTCCAGTGTTTAGGTGATCTCAAATTAGGAAATGCCCTTAACCATGTAAAAGATTAGTGCTAAAGTAAGCTTTTTAGGGCCCTTTGTCAATAGATAGTCATTCAATCTGGTATTGATCTTTTCATAAATAACAGAATTGAGAAACTTTTATATATAACTGATGATCACATAAAACAGATTTGCATAACATTTTCATGATTGCTTTATGTTTATATTTAACTTGTATTTTTGTACAAACAAGATTGTGTAAGATATATTTAAAGTTTCAGTGATTTAACAGTCTTTCCAACTTTTCATGATTTTTATGAGCACAGACTTTCAAGGAAATACTTGAAAATAAATTACATTGCCTTGTGTCCATTAATCAGCAAATAAAACATGGCCTTAACAAAGTTGTTTATGTTATTGTACAATTTGAAAATTATGTCAGGACATACCCTATAGAATTACTAATCTCAGTGCCCCTTGTAGAATATATATTAATCATTCTACATTAAAGAAAATAATGGTTCTTACTGGAATGTCTAGGCACTTTACATATTATATTGTATGATATATATTGTATAATGTGTAGGCACTTTACTTATTACATATTATTATATATCTTGGTCGTTGTATTGTACCAGTGAAATGCCAAATTTGAAAGGCCTGTGCTGCAATTTTATATGTCAGAGATTGACTGTGGCTCTAATAGGCACCTCAAGATTTTAAGGAGATAATGTATTTGGAGAGAATTTCTGCTTCCACTGTAGAATAGATACATAAATGTAAAATACTGACAAAAGTGGAAGTAGTATATTTTAAAGTAATTACACTTCTGAATTGATTTTTCATATTCTATAGTTGGTATGACTTAAATGAATTACTGGAGTGGATAGAGAGTGTACTTACATGTTTTGATTCCATTATATTTTTTATTAAGTTTTTTAAAAATTAAATTGGATATTAAATTGTATGGACACCATTTATTAATTTTAAACTGAATCCCCTCAATAAATAATACTGAAGCACATTCTTAAATGAAGAGAAATTATCTCCAGTGAAAAGCATAACATGTGTTTCAATAGAAGAATCTTAACTAAAAGCAGAAAGTTGGCTAAATTCAAAGTGCTTGACTTCAAAATATTCTAGAGTGATTAGCTACTAGATTCTGAATCAGACATCACATCTGACTAGAGACCAGTTTCTTTCGAATGATTCTTTTACATATACAGATCTATTCTTCTGAGGCAGCGGTTGGCCAACTATGGCCCGAAGGCCAAATTTGGACTTGTTCTTATAAATGCAGATTGTCTATGGCTGCTTTCCCACTACACCAGCCAAAGGTAAACAGCTGCAATAGAAACCAAATGAGATTCACAAAGCCCAAAATGTTTATTATCTGGCCCTTTACACAAAATCACACAAAAAGTTTCCTGATCTCTGTTCTAAGAAAAGGAATGTGCCTTGCATTTAAAGGAAAATGTTGGTTTCTAGGGAAGGGAGGAGGCTAAATAATTGATAAGGAATTTTCCTCTTTTGTCCTTTTTTTTCTTTCTCATTGAAGAATCTGATACTGGAAGACTGATTTAGAAAAGTTTTAACATGACATTAAATGTGAAATTCTAAAAATTGAAAAGCCATAAATCATCTGTTTTAAATAGTTACATGAGAAAGTGTTTTATCACTAGAATAATATAATTAGAAGTGAGTTACCTTCATTAAATGTTTTTTGTAAGTAGTATTAGAAAGAATATATTTTTCAGATGATTCTCTAAACACTTAGAACAATAAGCATTATTCACTTTTAGTAAGAGTCTTCTGTAATCCATGGTAGAAAATAATTTTAAAATGATTTTTTACCGTATTTGAGTAAAGATGAGTAGTATTAAAAAGAACACTCATTTCTTCACAAAATGTGCTAAGGGGCATGTACGGAATCAAAAGAAACTATTACCAATAATAGTTTTGATAATCACCCATAATTTTGTATTTAAACCGTTTAAACATTGAAATTACACTATAGACAGTATTCTCTGTGTTCTGTGAATTTCAGCAGCTTCAGAATAGAGTTTAATTTTGAAACTTGCGGTGAAAAAAGCTATCCATTTGTTCACAACCATAAATCAGGAGATGGAGATTAATTCTATTGGCTCTTAGTCACTTGGAACAGATTAATTCTGACTTTCTGTCACTAAGTACTTGGTATTTGGCCATCTCCATTCTGAGCACCAAACAGTTAACATGAATGTCAAATAGGACTCTGCTGTGTGTCACCGTTAAATCAGCCTAACTCTTCCAGACAAAAGCAAATGGCATTTATGGATTTAAGTCATTAGATTTTCAACTGACATTAATTAATCCCCCTTGATTCATTATATCATCAAGAATTTATATTTTAAATAGGAGGTAGGATTTCTGTGTTAAGACTCTTATTTGTACCCTATAATTAAAGTAAAACAGTTTTTATGAGTATCCCTTACTTTCCCTTCTTAAATTGTTATCAAACAATTTTTATAATGAAATCTATCTTGGAAAATTAGAAAGAAAAATGACAAGGTATTTATTGTTCTGTTTGCCATAATTTAGAACTCACACTTAAGTATTTTGTAGTTTTACATTCCTTTTTAACCCATTCAGTGGAGAATGTCAGCTTTTCTCCCAAGTTGTATGTTAAGTCTATACTAATACATGCTCAACATCAAGTTATAAACATGTAATAAACATGTAAATAAAGTTTTAAAAAAAATCTTGGCTGGAATACCATATGCAGTGAGTTTTATCTCAACACCAGTAGAAAAGTAAGCAGATACAGCGTAGGCAGGAAAAAAGAGAGACAGAGAACCTAGAGGACTCCATGTGTTAACTCTATAGTTGTGAATTTTTAAAATAACGACCATTTGAGACCTATATTTTTTCTGATGTAATTTTGCCTATTAATTTTAAAATGTGCCAAAGAATGCAACATAATATGTAATCATCAGGAGTTCAGGAAAACCTAGCATGCCTTAATGATTGAGAATCACATTCTGTTTCTTATTAATAGCTAGAGAGCAAAGAAAATCCTATAAATCTTGTAAGAAAATGCCAGGAGTTTAGACTAGTGTTTTCGATAGTGGCAACTACTTTACTAGTGCCACTTTTTTGAAACAAGCAAGGGGAAAAAGTCAAACCAATTCAAAGGAAACCAGGATTAAAATGTTCACAAAAATATGTAAATCAAACAAAATATTAAACTAGGTGCGCAAACCAGAAAATAAATGCCTCACAGACAGAAGGTAAGTTCGGTACAAAACAAGAGTGCTCAATCCAGAAAGATATTTGTCTTGAGAGCGGAAAGGACTTACCAGAATAGACAAAAGGCCTTTTATTATGCTAGGAGGGATAGATGGTCTTTTATTAAAGTAGCCTTATTCAAACTGGATCCCAACAATGTCAAAAATCCTGTATCAAAGTAACAGATTCTTAACGTGAGGGAAGACTCACCAGCGCAGAAAAGGTGACATACGAGCAGAGCGCTCAGTGGTATAAGGTGAGAACTGCATACGTGCTCCGAGAATCACCAATTCCTTCCATAGCAAACTTTTCAGGTTCCATTTATGGCACCATATGTGTAAACCTAAACAACAAACATACAAGACTCTCTAAAGTAAAAGACACTTACTTGGGAATAAATTGTAGTAATGAGAATGTAAATGTCATAGTAAATCGTGCATATTAATGGTCAGTGATCTCATAAATTAGTTCCTTAGTCTGTCTAAGAATAGACTGAAATGCAGATGATAAGCAGTCTACAGGAAAAGAGAGGCTTTAGAGATTGGTTTTGGCTATACCTGTCACAAGATTTTGATTGGCCGGATGGCTATGTCTGGGTTGTATTCAGAGTGTGTTAGCAGAACACAGCCATGAACTACCACTGCAAGTTTCTTTGATGCCAGCCTACTACAAGAATGTTGAGTCAGTTTCTGAGAGAGAGGCAATTCTTTGTACACATACTGTTCTCCTTTGTCAGTCTTATTCTGTTAATTTCAATGATGAGGCATGGCTCTGTGTGCAGCAGCAGTTAATAATTGGTAAATGAGTTTGAGGTATAGAGCTGGATTGATCCTTTTGTGACAGTCTTGGAGAAGGACTATGGCTAAAACTATGAAAATAACATATTTGCTAGAAGAATGTGCTTGAGACATCAGTGGAATTTTTTATTTTTCAGCCTACAACACAGCAGTCCCCTCAGGATGAGCAGGAAAAGCTCTTGGATGAAGCCATACAGGCTGTGAAGGTCCAGTCATTCCAAATGAAGAGATTCCTGGTAAGAATGGAGATGTGGGAGGCACAGTTGCAGTTCGTATGTTCCTAAGGAAGCATGTGCAGTGTCTTCTAGAGTCAGGTGGCACCACCATTTCTGGTAAATCTAATCTTCACTGTCTACCAGCATCTATCTTCAATCTCATCTCCTCCAAGCACTGCGTGGAGCAGTTTCAACAAAGAGCCCTGTTTACTCACATGTATATTTATGGTTTGGGATTGTCTGTCTTCCCTACTAGAATACAAGCTCATAAGAACAAGAGACCCTTCCTTTTATTTACACATTACTGTATTATTACCACACCAGTGTCTGACCAGAATTACTAGCCTCCTTGGTTCTATACCTCAGACCTGAGGAGTACTTAACATATAATAGGTACTCAGTAAATATTTGTTGAATGAATGGATTTAAATGCTTTGCATTTGAATTATTCGGCTTTTTTTCTAAATATCTTGAAAACTTTAATTTCTTTCCTGAATAGATATATTTATTGTAGCTAGCTTAAAAATTATACTTAACACTTATTTATATATTTTCTTATTCTAAAAGATAAAGTAAGAGATAATCTGTGTAGATACTGTTGATTCTCTGGATTAAAATGTAAGGAATTAAGCCAAATTGGTTGGTACTTTAAGCTATAAATTACTGTGATGAAGATGATTCTGTCTTACCTTTGTAAAATGTCTTACTATGCTTTCTAAAGCATAGTAATATGCTCTTGTATCTTTTATTGGTTTCATTCCTAACAAATTGGGAATGAAAAATAAATGTCTTGGAATGGAGAAGAAGGGTTTGCTATTGCTTGCTTCCTTCTCTTCCTGTGTATGGATAGTGTTTCCTCTATCTCAAGGAATTGCTTGCATTTCTGAGTTAAGTGGAACATATGGGCATTGCGAGGATTTGAAGAATGCAAGAGGAAAGCAAACTTACATGGATAGTCATTTCAGACAGCTCTGAAGAGTCTTTAACCCATGACAAAGCCATGTCAGGATAGTATCTTGCTTCACCTGAATCAGTATGCCAGTTCTCTTGATTGCAGTTAAAATGTGATGAATGGAGCTAGTTTCCTAGTCTCTATAGATTGAAAAGATTAGCGCTCTATCAAGAAGCTTGCAGTCCTAGTTATGTAAGTCAACTAAGAGTCATGCATCTTTTTCTTTTTAGTAGAGACGGCAAGGTGAAATGATCTAAGTTGATTTTTTATGTGGTTAAAATCATTTAAGTGCTGTATACTGTTAAAACTATGTAACAAGTCCTTGATGTAAAGAGTTTGTACAACCAAGATAAATGTTTATTTAAATTAAGCATTCTCATCTATTCTTTTGGTATTTCTGTAGGATAAAAACAAGCTTATGGATGCTCTAAAACATGCTTCTAATATGCTTGGTGAACTCCGGACTTCTATGTTATCACCAAAGAGCTACTATGAACTTTGTATCTTTTGAATGTTGAAGACTAAACATTTGGACCATACCTTTTTCTTGATAAAGCCAATCTCATTTGTTCTTTATGAAGTTTTTCTGGAGTTATCTTATTCTTCGTTATCTGAGTCACATGGCACTCCTTCTCCATGCAGATGTGCTAAGTGAGAAAAACACTTTGAGAGTACTCCTTTCCTATGCTTAAACATCTTTAAATGTGTTGTCGGTGCATCTCAATTTTCAGACCCTTCATGAGGATATTTAGGCTATGACACAGTTGGTTCTTTAATACTTAGATTTTGTTATGCAGCAGTCTCAAATGGACAGGAACTTAATCATTTGCTATTTCAAAACCCATTAGCAGTCTGACACGTAACCATTGTATTTACTGCTTTGCTTGACCACACATGCTTTAAAACCCTTATTTTGAAGTAAGAAAAGTCCAGCTAAAATTCTGTCTTCACTTGAACACTCTCTTAAAGGACTAAAACTTAAGATATCCGCCCAGTAATTAATAATGACTCCAACAAGTTTCAAAGTTTTGCTTAGGTTGGCTTATCTTTATTTTTAGTCCTTAATCATAATTAAAAGATATGTCCATTTCTGATAACTGCACTACTTGGAGGTCTACCTGACAGATGAGTTTGCTAAAGGAAGGAAAGTGGCAGATCTCTATGAACTTGTACAGTATGCTGGAAACATTATCCCAAGGCTGTAAGTAATTACAAATTGGAGGATTTTGTGTCTGTATTTCCCACTTTATGTTCTTTATGATTATCAGCTTAAAAAAGTTTTAAGGGTAATTTCTTAACAAATTGAGATGAACATTTTGGTAGATACTCTCTTATTTGTTTTAGAGTAACTAGACTGACGTTTTATGTAGATATTTGAGGAATTTTAGAAAGAGAAAAAAATGGACATGCTTGCTATTTTGTTTAATGTCTTGACTGTTAGAAAAATTAATATGACAATTATTCTCTTCCTAATATGTTTAAAAGTAATATCTATCTTTTATATATACAGTATATGTCTATGTGTGTGTGTGTGTGTGTGTGTGTGTATACATAGTTTTTCAGAGGTCAGTCAGTGGTTATATTTTAAATCAGATATTTTCCTTTTCATGCAGGAGAAAACAACATGGTTCCTGTCTTGTTTATTTAATGTTTTGTTCAGTGTGTTTGGAAATAAATTCTTGATTTGAATATTTTATTTCTAATCAGCATTTCTTCATAATCCTCCTAGTTACCTTTTGATCACAGTTGGAGTTGTATATGCCAAGTCATTTCCTCAATCCAGGAAGGACATTTTGAAAGATTTGGTAGAAATGTGCCGTGGTGTGCAGCATCCCTTGAGGGGTCTGTTTCTTCGAAATTACCTTCTTCAGTGTACCAGAAATATCTTACTTGATGAAGGAGAGCCAACAGAGTGAGTGATTTTCTTTCTTGATTTTGTTGCAATATTTCTTTCATTGTAGAATGTATGAAAGTGTGGAAACATGTACAGAAACAAAGTAAGTATGAATAATTCTTCCACTTAGCCATTTAGGTAGCATTTGTATACAGATTTCCTTTGTAATATAGAACTCCTCAGTATATGTGGTATGATCTAAAATGTACTCTTATGCAAATTTTATCTTTGGATTATTAGGACCTGCTTTTTTCATTTAATGTAATTGAGCATTTTTCCACTACTTTAAACATTCTTTGAAAATACAACTTTTTTAAGGGGGTTATATTTGGAGATTGAATTTGTAATGAAATAATAAAGTGTGAGCCAGCTGGATTTCATAATTGTTCCTTTAATGTCTATCAGTTTTTATAATTTATAGACTGCTAGTTACCTTGGAATGTAAGTGATTTAAATTAGCTGTTACAAGTTAGCTATTAACTCCACAGAAGAAAAAATAAAAGCCATTTAGAGACACTCCTGTCTCTTGTGTTATCAGTATTCTAGCATCAACGTCTACTGTACTTTTATCCCACAGCAGGGGCAGATGGTCAGCCAACTGTGGTCTTCAGTGGGGTGAGCTGTTCACATGACAGGTCTCCAGATTAAAGAACTTCATTCCTTTTATTTTAAAAAGTTTATTCATTTATTCTCTTTCTTTAATTTTTAATCTTTTTTCAGTTTGCCCCAACAGAGTTTTTTTTTTTTTAATATTTCCATTTATTTCTAAGGTGTACAATTCAATGGTTTTTAATACAACTGCATCAATTTCTTCTTAAACAGTAAAGAAAAGACAAAAAATTTAACAATATAGAGAAATTGATGAAGTTATTTGCTTCATTACGTTTTGACTGTCCATTTTGAGCATTTAACTAGGCGATCAATAAAAATTTTTGAAAGCTACTGAGGTCTCCATCCTAGGAGATGCAGAAAAATAAAGCAGGAAATCCATGGTCTCTTCCCTCACAAAGCTTACATTCCAATCAAAAACAAAATATTCAACAGAAAAATGATATAGTTAGCAGTACACCATAAGTGTTACGTTTTTTAGCCTTTCGTATTTTTTTTGGTTGTTTGTTTGTAGGGATGGGGTCTCATTATGTTGCCCAGGCCGGTTTTAAACTCGTGGCCTAAAGCGATCTTCCTGCCTTGGCCTCCCAAAGCACTGGATTACAGACATGAGCCACCATGCCCATCCTTCTAGCCTTTTTGAATTAAGGAAGTTGCCATAAGAGCAAGTCCAGTTGGCCCAGGATAGGGAGTTGGGGAAAGTAACTTGCCCTTTAAATTTATACTGTCCTCTCCAGGTACTTTTTTCCCTAGAGTCTGTTCTCTTTGAAATTTAACACTAAGCCAATGAAGTTGAAAGTGGTTTTTTAAATAAAGCATTGATGTACTACAGAGATAAGTGGGAATTGCACAAAGGAGAGGGATAGTAAGTTGGTCCTATAAATACTGTGTAAAGACATTTCTGTTTCTTTGCAGCGAAGAAACAACTAGCAATATCAGTGATTCCATGGATTTTGTACTGCTCAACTTTGCAGAAATGAACAAGTTCTGGGTGCGAATGCAGCATCAAGGACATAGCTGAGATAGAGAAAAAAGAGAGCGAGAAAGACAAGAACTGAGAATTTTAGTGGGAACACATTTGGTGCACCTCAGTCAGTTGGAAGGTGTAAATGTAGAACATTACAAACAGGTTTATATCTTTTTGTTACCTCTTCTTATGTTCTGAGATAAACTGAAATCTGGTTTTTAAAATAAGAATATTTTTGTTATATAATATTACATTGAAAAAATCTTAAAATGGCTTTTATTGAAGAAGACTTAAATAAACGGAAAAATATATATGCAATGTTTGTGGATTGGAAGACTGAATATTGCCAAGGTAACATTTTTTAAAAAATTGATCTATAGATCCAGTGTAATTTCAGTCAAAATCCCAGCAGACTTTTGTAGAAATTAAGAAGCTGATTCTAAGGTTTATATGAAGAAACAAAGAACCTGGAGCAGCTACAACAAATTTGAAAAGGAAGAATAAAGTTGAAAGACCCAAACAACTCGAATTCATGATTTACTCTAAAGCTACAGTGAGAGCCTGTGCGGTACTGGTGAAAAGGATAGACACACAATCAATGGAGGGGAATAAAACAGGGAATGGAAAACTTTACCTGTGAGGGACCAGATAATAAATGGTTTTTGGCTTTGCAAGACATATACTGTACAACAAGCTTGTCCAACCTGCGGCCCAGGACAACTTTGAACGTGGCTCAACGTAAGTTTGTAAACTTTAAAACATGAGATTTTCTGCTTTTTTTTTTTTTAAAGCTCATCAGCTATTATTAGTGTATTTTATGTGTGGCCCAAGACAATTCTTCTTCTAATTCTTCTTCAAGCCAAAAGATTGGACACCCCAGTCTACAACTAATAACAGTGCAGACATGGTGCAAAAGCAGCCACAGACAATATGGAAGTGAATGGGCAAGGCTGTGTTCCAGTAAAACTTTATTTGTAAAAACAAGCAGCAGCTCAGTTTACTGATCTCTGACTGGACAATCCATAATAGACCCAGATATTTATGATCAGTTATTTTTGATAAAAGTACAAAGGCAACCTTTTCAGCAAGTGATTCTGGAACAATTGGATGTTTATACGCAAACAAACAAAAAACCCTGAACCTTGACCCATCCCTCATACCATATAGAAAAAACACAAAAATCAATCAGAGACCTAAATATAGAAACTAAAACTGTTAGAAGAAAACACAGAGGAAATCTTTGTGACCTAGGATTAGACAAAGATTTCTGAGGATACACAAGCACAAGCCATGAAGAAAAAAGCTCACTTTTGAGAGGCCAAGGCAGATGGATCACTTGAGTCCAGGAGTTTGAGATAGGCCTGGGTAACATAGGGAGACCCCATCTCTACAAAAATTACCAAAATTAGCTGGGCATGATGGAATGTACCTGTAGTCCCAGCTACTCAGGAGGCTTGAGGTGGGAGGATGGCTTGAGCCTAGGAGGTGGACGTTGCATTGAGTGGAGATTGTGCCACTATTACTCCAGCCTGGGCAACTGAACAAGACCTTGTCTCAAAAAGAAAATAGCTTTTACAGTTTAGAAGTGAAGTCTTGGTGGGAAAAATCTCAAATACGATTTTCAAGTTAGTAGTTCAAATGTGTTACTAGGGGAATAGCTTAAGATTTCAAAAACAGATTTTAACCCTTATGTGTGTGTTTTTTCTCTTTTAGATTGTTTTGTCTGGCATATTGGAGCAAGTTGTAAACTGTAGGGATACTTTGGCTCAAGAATATCTCATGAGGTGTGTTATTCAGGTAGGTGTGAACATTTATTTCATTTTTTTAAAGGACCTATTTTATGTTTCATTAAATTTAATTGTTTTGAAAAAATTTTGATGGAATAGGAAATAAGCTTTCCTGAATAAAGAATTTTCCTTGCTGGGTGTGGTGACTCACACCTATAATCCCAGCACTTTGGGAGTTCAAGGTGGGAGGATCTCTTGTGGCCAGGAGTTCAAAACCAGCCTGGGCAACATAGCAAGATGCCGTTTCTATAAAAAATTGAAATCATTTTTAATGCTTTTTTTTCATGTAAACTTGCTTCTTCTAAAAATAATTTTAAAACAAGAGCTTTCTGTTATAACTTGGTCTTTGTATCAATGTGGTTTGTTTTCCTCCAAAATGTAGGAATGAGTAATCTGAGTTTTCTAGGTCTCCGTAGCTTTAGTTTAATTGTAGGTACACTTTGTTTACTGGAATATTTGTGTCTGAGCTTATGTTTAGTAGAGAGCTTCAAAAGTAATGTGTTTGAATTTAGTTGTATAAAATTTTTTTTCCCACAAATGTGAACTTTACCGTATGTGAGTTCAGAATATTATGTGAAATACTTTTACTTGTACTGATCATTTGATTTTCAGGTTTTCCCTGATGAATTTCACCTCCAGACTTTGAATCCCTTTCTTCGAACCTGTGCTGAGTTACACCAGAATGTAAACGTGAAAAACATAATCATTGCTTTAATTGATAGGTAAGACCTTCCAACACTGGAGGATAAATGCTCTGACTTGGGAATAATGAATTTTAAACATTTTTTGAATTATTTGTTTCTGTTACATCTTCATCATACCAATGATCTTAATTTAATTATAATATAAATAATTTAGCTTTGTGAGTATGAATACTAGGTACTTGCCTAGGTTGACATGAAAGAGGCTTAACTTAAATGTGCAGGAGACATGAAGATAATGAATATCTTTATTCTGTGCACTTAACTGACATTTAAAGAGGTTGTACAGACTTATTTTTTAAATTGTACAAATCCAAAGATCATATTGAAGAACATAATTTGTTTTTTACCATGATGTAAATATCTTGCAGTGGGAACTCATTTGATTTAGAGTAGCCATAAGATACAGATGATTGAAAATGTTCAAGTAATCACTCTATCATCACATTTTCTTAAAGAAAAAATTTTAGGTATCAAATATGTTTAGTACACCCACTTTAAGTTTCATTTTCTTGTTTTGTTTTGTTTTTTTTTTTCCAGACAAGGTATCACTCCGTCACCCAAGCTAGAGTGCAGTGGCGCTGTCTCGGCTCACTGCAAATTCCAACTCCTGGGTTCAAGTGATTCTAGGGTCTTAGCCTCCGGAGTAGCTGGGATTACAGACACGCACCAACATGCCCGGCTAATTTTTGTACTTTTAGTACAGACAGGGTTTTGCTGGGTTGGCCAGGCTGGTCTCAAACTCCTGAGCTCAGATGATCTGCCTGCCTTGGCTTCCCAAAGTGCTGGGATTACAGACGGGAGCCACCATGCTTAGCCAATGGGTGACTTTTTTTGCAGCCATGTTGTGTAGTAGTACATAATGTCTGTCCTACACTTGTAAGCATTGTCATGAAACCAGAAACCTAAGAGAAGATTTATTTCTGCAGATACCTTTTGTATGTTTTTTTTAAAAAACTAAGTTATTCATTTTAAAGTCTGAGAATTTAGATAACAAAATTTTCCAAATCATCAGCTCAATCCTGGGCAGCAAAAATTCCATACTTATTGGGCCCACTCTTTTTTTTAATTTAATTTTATTTTATTTTATTTTATTTTATTTTATTTTATTTTATTTTTATTATTATACTTTAAGTTTTAGGGTACATGTGCACATTGTGCAGGTTAGTTACATATGTATACATGTGCCATGCTGGTGTGCTGCACCCACTAACTCGTTATCTAGCATTAGGTATATCTCCCAATGCTATCCCTCCCCACTCCCCGCACCCCACAATAGTCCCCAGAGTGTGATGTTCCCCTTCCTGTGTCCATGTGATCTCATTGTTCAATTCCCACCTATGAGTGAGAATATGCGGTGTTTGGTTTTTTGTTCTTGCAATAGTTTACTGAGAATGATGATTTCCAATTTCATCCATGTCCCTACAAAGGACATGAACTCATCATTTTTTATGGCTGCATAGTATTCCATGGTGTATGTGTGCCACATTTTCTTAATCCAGTCTATCATTGTTGGACATTTGGGTTGGTTCCAAGTCTTTGCTATTGTGAATAATGCCGCAATAAACATACGTGTGCATGTGTCTTTATAGCAGCATGATTTATAGTCCTTTGGGTATATACCCAGTAATGGGATGGCTGGGTCAAATGGTATTTCTAGTTCTAGATCCCTGAGGAATCGCCACACCAACTTCCACAATGGTTGAACTAGTTTACAGTCCCACCAACAGTGTAAAAGTGTTCCTATTTCTCCACATCCTCTCCAGCACCTGTTGTTTCCTGACTTTTTAATGATTGCCATTCTAAATGGTGTGAGATGGTATCTCATTGTGGTTTTGATTTGCATTTCTCTGATGGCCAGTGATGGTGAGTATTTTTTCATGTGTTTTTTGGCTGCATAAATGTCTTCTTTTGAGAAGTGTCTGTTCATGTCCTTTGCCCACTTTTTGATGGGGTTGTTTGTTTTTTTCTTGTAAATTTGTTTGAGTTCATTGTAGATTCTGGATATTAGCCCTTTGTCAGATGAGTAGGTTGTGAAAATTTTCTGCCATTTTGTAGGTTGCCTGTTCACTCTGATGGTAGTTTCTTTTGCTGTGCAGAAGCTCTTTAGTTTAATGAGATCCCGTTTTTCAATTTTGGCTTTTGTTGCCATTGCTTTTGGTGTTTTAGACATGAAGTCCTTGTCCATGCCTATGTCCTGAATGGTAATGCCTAGGTTTTCTTCTAGGGTTTTTATGGTTTTAGGTCGAACGTTTAAGTCTTTAATCCATCTTGAATTGATTTTTGTATAAGGTGTAAGGAAGGGATCCAGTTTCAGCCTTCTACATATGGCTAGCCAGTTTTTCCAGCACCATTTATTAAATAGGGAATCCTTTCCCCATTGCTTGTTTTTCTCAGGTTTGTCAAAGATCAGATAGTTGTAGATATGCGGCATTATTTCTGAAGGCTCTGTTCTGTTCCATTGATCTGTATCTCTGTTTTGGTACCAGTACCATGCTGTTTTGGTTACTGTAGCCTTGTAGTATAGTTTGAAGTCAGGTAGTGTGATGCCTCCAGTGTTGTTCTTTTGGCTTAGGATTGACTTGGCGATGCGGGCTCTTTTTTGGTGCCATATGAATTTTAAAGTAGTTTTTTCCAATTCTATGAAGAAAGGCATTGGTAGCTTGATGGGGATGGCATTGAATCTGTAAATTACCTTGGGCAGTATGGCCATTTTCATGATATTGATTCTTCCTACCCATGAGCATGGAATGTTCTTCCATTTGTTTGTATCCTCTTTTATTTCCTTGAACAGTGGTTTGTAGTTCTCCTTGAAGAGGTCCTTCACATCCCTTGTAAGTTGGTATTTTATTCTCTTTGAAGCAATAGTGAATGGGAGTTCACTCATGATTTGGCTCTCTGTTTGTCTGTTGTTGGTGTATAAGAATGCTTGTGATTTTTGTACATTGATTTTGTATCCTGAGACTTTGCTGAAGTTGCTTATCAGCTTAAGGAGATTTTGGGCTGAGACAGTGGGGTCTTCTAGATATACAATCATGTCGTCTGCAAACAGGGACAATTTGACTTCCTTTTTTCCTAATTGAATACCCTTTATTTCCTTCTCCTGCCTAATTGCCCTGGCCAGAACTTCCAACACTATGTTGAATAGGAGTGGTGAGAGAGGGCATCCCTGTCTTGTGCCAGTTTTCAAAGGGAATGCTTCCAGTTTTTGATCGGGCCCACTCTTAAAGGAAGCTAGTAACTGGATTTTCCTGTGTTGTCTGTAATGTCACTTACACATCTCTGTCAGTAGTGATGCTTCTGGGCATAACAAAGTGTGGATGTAGTTGTGACTCTGACAAACAGATAATGATAATGAAACAGACATTACTTTGAGTAATTTAAGATGTGGGAAATAAAAGTTAATTTTATGAATTTTAGACTTAGTTGTATTTCAAACTTTAAGCAGTAAAAATGCTGTATCTTAAAATAGTCTGTACTTTTATTTTTAAAGATTATTTATTTAAATCATGGTTGTTGAATACATTTGTCACTTTAATGCATTTCTGTCCATATCTACTTAATTATGCTTCAAAGAGTTTGAGAGAATTATCTTTTTGAAAACCTACTTAGTATGGTATGAAATAAGAATGCTGATGAAAAAGGTTTCATTGGCAAAACTGTTTAGTTAAAAATGAATTGAGGAGGCCGGGTGCAGTGGCTCACATCTGTAATCCCAGCTCTTTGGGAGGCTTGCTTGAGTCCAGGTCAATACCACCCTGGGCAACATGGCAAAACCGCATCACTACAGAAAACGTAAAAATTAGCTGGGCATGGTCGCACATGCTGTTAGCCCCAGCTACTCAGGGGGCTAAGGTGGGAGGATAGCTTGAGCCCAGCAGGTGGAGGTTTCATTGAGGGGAGACTGCGCGACTACACTGCAGCCTGGGCAAGAGAGGAAGACCCTATATCAAAACACTGAGGGAATGATCGACTTAAAAACCTTTTGGGCTCATATAAAATATAGAAAAGCAATAAAGAATAAGATGTCATCCATGATCTCACTACCCAAACCCTGTATCTTTTAAAATAAAGGGGTTTTGGGGTTTTTTTTAGATTAGCTTTATTTGCCACTGTGAAGATGGACCTGGAATCCCAGCAGATATTAAACTTTTTGATATATTTTCACAGCAGGTGGCTACAGTGATACAGGTTTGTGTAGCATTTCTCCTAAGTTCTCAAAACTTTGAAACTTCTCTGCCTTCTTTTTACAATTGTTTAAAATAAATTGTGTGGTTTTCTAAACATTCCAGTCTAGACAAGACATGCCTTCAGAGGATGTTTTATCTTTACAAGTCTCTCTCGTTAATCTTGACATGAAATGTTACCCTGATCGTGTGGACTATATTGATAAAGTTCTAGAAACAGCAGCGGAGATATTCAATAAGCTCAACCTTGAACAGTAAGTTACATTTTTTGTAAAAATCTTCATAAAGACATTTTTGTCTTAGATTTGCTTTTCTTTCTCAATTGTTTTTTGAACTGCTGGCATTTGTCTTGTTTTAATCATGCATTAAGATTGTCATGCTGGCCGGGCACGGTGGCTCACGCCTGTAATCCCAGCACTTTGGGAGGCCGAGGCAGGCGGATCAGAGGTCAGGAGATTGAGACCATCCTGGCTAACATGGTGAAACCCCGTCTTTACTAAAAATACAAAAAAATTAGCCGGGCGTGGGCGCGGGCGCCTGTAGTCCCGCTACTAGGGAGGCTGAGGCAGGAGAATGGCGTGAACCTGGGAGGCGGAGCTTGCGGTGAGCCGAGATTGTGCCACTGCACTCCAGCCTGGGTGATAGAGGGAGACTCCGTCTCAAAAAAAAAAAAAAAAAAAAGGTTGCCATGCTTAGCACTACTAGGGGCAGAAAGTGGTGACCAATTACTTGTTTTTTTATATTAATGAAATTGTGGTACCTATGGACCATAGGCAGTCTTCAGGGACCAGTGCCTCCAATTTGGATCCCTCTCTGTGTGTCAGGGGCGTCCAATCTTTTGGCTTCCCTGGGCTGCACTGAAAGAAGCATTTTCTTGGGCCGCACATAAAATACACTAACACTAACAATAGCTGATGAGCTTAAAAAAATCGCAAAAGCTCATAATGTTTTAAGAAAATTACAAATTTGTGTTGGGCCGCATTCAAAGCTATCCTGGGCTGCATGCGGCCTGTGGGCTGCGGTTTGGACAAGCTTGCTATAAGTGAATGAGTTTGTTCTTAAACTGGTAAGGAAACTTTGTCAGGCAGTATTTATTTCCATAAGAGATGTTTTCCTACGAATGAGTACATGGTGAAAAATGAGGGGTGTATATATATTTAAGGTGCAGAATTAAATTGGTTTAATTATCTTTTCTATTTTGAGCTTTGATTTTGATACCTTCAAGGAAATATCAACAGTACTGTTTCCAACTTGAAGCCTCCCGAGCTGTTCTGTTCTAGACCTATGGCGTCCTCTAGTGGCCACTGTGGGCAGCACTGATCCTGTACTTTCCCCAGAAGTTCCCTTCCTGCCCCTTCCCCACTGCTCTGGACTTGGGTTAAGCCAGGCCCGCCTCCCCCGCCCATATTCTTCAGAATTTTACCTCATGTAATCTTCCTCCTTTCTATCTCCCTTCCAGTGGTTTACCTGCATCAATAAAATTTCTTCTTTTCCCCCCCCCCTTTGTATTACCCTTTTTCTTTTGGTCATTTTTGGTTTTGTGTGTGTGTGAACTGAAAACAAATCCAGATATGGAATGATAAGTGTGAGAGAAAATTAAATGATGTACCAGGTGTGGTGGCTTGCATCTGTAATCCCAGATATTCAGGAGGCTGAGTTGGGAGAATCACTTGAGTCCATGAGTTTGAGAACAGCCTGGGCAACATAGCGAGACCCCATCTCTAATAAAAAATAAAACTAAAAATTAAAAACATTAAAATAACTAAATGATATATCTATGTGTTTCCCCCCAAGTGAATTTTAAAGTAAAAATAGACAAAATAATTAGAAATAACAACCTCTAAAGAGGTTGTAATAAATGTCCCAATATGCCTCAATTCTGCGGAATGATTTTACTAACGACTACCTAAAAGTCAGTCAGCAGCCTGCTTTTCCGTAATCACCAACATCTGATGCAGAAGAAATAGTTTACATATTTTTCTGTTGTGTCGAATTGCTGGTTTTGCATGGATTTTCTTCCTACTTGTTTTCATCATGAATATACAATACTTGTTGGCTGCCCCCTGGGAACCAAACTACCACTTAAAATACTTCCCTTAGAAATGTCATCGAATTCTAGACAGTCATCTTAACTCCAGCTATACCATCTGTTCATGAGTTGGAAACTGTATCTAGTTTTGTATCAACAGAAAAATAATAGATGAATATGTGTTTGTGTTTAGATAAGCATTTTTATCCTCCTGAAAGGAGGTTGCTATAGTCTTCTGGTGGTATGATTCACTTGACCCATTTCCTTTAATGTGTAATGAAAAATTTCAAATTCTTATGGAACAAGTGCTATTTGTGTATATAGAAAGTTAATTTTATTCATTAAGACTTCTGTTTTTATTTTTGTAGTATTTCCACCAGTAGTGCAGTTTCAAAGGAACTCACCAGACTTTTGAAAACACCAGCTGACACTTACAAAAATATTTTAACAGTCTTGAAATTAAAACATTTCACCCACTCTTTGAGTACTTTGACTATGAGTCCAGAAAGAGCATGAGTTGTTATGTGTTAAGTAGTGTTCTGGATTATAACACAGAAATTGTCTCTCAAGACCAGGTAAGAGAATACCTATGTGCTATTTTAGGGAAACAGTGTTACAATTTTAGACTTTGGACCTAGATACCCAAGATGGGAGGCGAGGGTAATTCAATACTAAAGAAATTTACAAGTAACTTATTCATTATATAAATTGGAAAATTGGAGATGTATAAAGAATTATAAAACATTTATAATTCCACCAGATAGAGAATAACCACTGTTAATTAACATTTTGTGTATATCTTTCCAGACTTTTGTCTGTATATGTGTGTATGACATACATGTGTATTGACTTTCTCACCAAAAAAAGGAATATCTTGTTGATACTGTAATTTTATAACTGGAAACACTTTTGATAATGGCTTTATATGCCAATGGTTTCACGTTAGTGGGTTTCTTGTGCCTCGCATGTTACAGGTGGATTCCATAATGAATTTGGTATCCACGTTGATTCAAGATCAGCCAGATCAACCTGTAGAAGACCCTGATCCAGAAGATTTTGCTGATGAGCAGAGCGTTGTGGGCCCTTCATTCATCTGCTGCGCTCTGAGGACCCTGACCAGCAGTACTTGGTATGAGTTTACTCTTACTATAACGCTGTGTCAGCTCCTGGTGAAATCACATGTTGAAGTGCTTAAAATGGTTTAATTCACCTTCTGGTCTTAGACAGTTTTGAAGGAATTGCAACTGAATTAAAGATTCACTTGAACCCAGGAGGCGGAGGTTGCAGTGAGCCGAGATTGTGCCACTGCTCTCCAGCCTGGGCAACACAGCGAGACTCCGTCTCAAAAAAAAAAAAAAAGATTCATGGCATCCATGGGCTGTTACTTTATATATAAACACATAATTGTTTGTAAACTTCTGGAGCATTTAACAATTCAGTTGCTCTGATTTCTTTTGAAGACTATCTGAGAATTACAAAAAAGTCTGTCTTCTTTTACTTGAGTGCCCATAATTATTCCATGTTCATTTTTTTCTGAACTGTGTATTGCTTATAATAAACTTTATAAGAAATACAATTCTTATATTTAATTTTACTTTTCCAAATTTGCAAGTATAAGTTATATTTGTCACATTGAAAATGTGAGTTTTTGTTTTCTGATGAAAGATTTAAAAATTCATTTTACCTTTTTCTTAACTTTTTTTTTTCTGATGAAGAACCATCACATGAGGTTCTCTCTTTATTATTAGTCCACAGGGAATCTTTGTGAAATGGATAAAACATGTTGCCTGAGTAGGGGTATCAGTGACTGATACTAGATAGATAATTTATTTTAGTGAAGGGTTAGCATGGTTGGCTGCTTAATTATTGTTTGGGCAAAGTAGTTTAACCATTCTTGGATGCATAAGGCTGTTAGGCTGCTATGATGAAAAAGACATTTGCTTGAGGACGTCCTGTCTCATCTGTTTCTGTTGACTTTCTTCATTGTAATTGACACTCCTGTACTTCTCCATAATCAGTGTGAAATAAGAGGCTGACTTCTGTTGGTAGTGTGATGTTCTTTGTCTTGTCTTGGATTAGTGACAAACATTCCAGGACTGTGGTATTGTGCTCTGTGAGCTATGTGATCTGTACAGAGTGACTGTCTGAGTATTTTAACTGATTCCCTTATGTTTCTGTGTGAGATTGTGTGTGTCTGTGCGTTTTCATTTTCTATTACATACCAAATGTAGTAGTTAGGAAGTATGCCTTTTGGCTGGGCGTGGTGGCTCATGCCTATAATCCCAGCACTTTGGGAGGCCGAGGTGGGTGGATCACCTGAGGTTAGGAGTTTGAGACCAGTGTGGCCAACATGGTGAAACCCTATCTCTACTAAAAATGCAAAAAATTAGCTGGGCATGGTGGGCACCTGTATTCCCAGCTGCTCAGGAGACTGAGGCAGGACAATCACTTGAACCTGGGAGGTGGAGGGTGCAGTGAGTGGATATCATGCCATTGCACTCCAGCCTGGGCACCAAGAGTGAAACTCTGTCCCCACCCCCCCTCAAAAAAGAAAGAAAGAAAGAAAGTATGCCTTCTGCATGTGGCTGATTGGTTATTCCCATGTATAGAGATCTTTAATGATAGGGTAATTAGCTCTGACTGCCCCTAGGGGAAATGCATTCTCTTATTCATCTACCATATCAGAGAATTTCACAAAACCTGAATATCATTGTGTCACACATATTAAACAGGAGCAGGTTTCCTGCTGTTGAGAAGCTAACACGTCTGTCAAATTTATACCCCACGTTATGGCTGGCAGGATAGAAAGTTGAGTGCTGGGGACCACCTTTATCTGTTCAGATGTTTATGCAAAAACTTCAAGCTGTCATCTGGTTTTCTCCCTGGCAGGAGGTCAATACAAATGTTCCTTTGTGCCTGATCTGGGGCTAAGAGTTTCTAATGGGGGTGTGCCCTGTGGGGAAAGCCAGGCATGCCACTGACACCTCTTGGCCAGGCTTCCAGGCACTCTCTTTGCAGAGCTCCATGCAGGGGATCCATGAGGAGCTGTTTGATGAGTTAAGCTACTTTATCTCATTTGGCAAAGAGCACATGCACCATGCCAACAACCATGGGCAGGGTTAGTCTGGGGTGAAAGTGGGCACAGTGGAGTCTTGAAAGAGACCCAAAAGACCAGGGAAGGCCCAAGATCCAGACCCAAATATGAGGACTCCCTGGAAAATGTTTTAAAGCGTTCTCAATTAAGTGTCCCACAATCCCTTCCCAGAGGAATCTGGCATCCGTTAGTCCATAATAGCAACTTAGGTGCACAGTCACCAGTCATATACTTGTAGGAATATCAAAGAAAACACTTTTGTGTTGTTTTTACTTTACACAAGTCTACGAGTATCTTTGCAGGTCGCTACTATGTTTATTGTTTTAACTACCCACCCTAGATACCTCCTGCAGCAGGCAGCTTCAATGCCCTCCCTGCCAGAACTTTTCTAAGATTTAAAAATGTACAGTTACTAGAGAAGGGTTTTATCCAAATACTGGGGGTTACACAGAAAGGGTCTTATGTTACTCTATGCGTTAGTCATCTCACAGAACTCATCCCTATAGCCCCGTCAGGGCAGAAGCTTATGTCTTCATAATATTTCATAAGGGAGAGCCTTTTTCTCAGTAATTTAGCCTTTTAATGCTGATGGAGCCTGACATAATAAATTCAATTTCCATTTCATTCATGCTTCAGGGAACATCTTACGTGTCCTAATAGAGTATGACAGTTTGCTATGGCTTCCATAATACAGTAACACAGGCTGAAGTGCTTTAACAACAAAATTTGAGTTTCTCACAGTTCTGGAGGCTAGAAATCCAACCTCAAGCTGGTGACTGGGTGTTTTCTCTGAGGTCTCTCCTTGGCTTGCAGATGATCATCTTCTATCTCTGTGACCACAAGATCTTCTCTTGTGCTTTTCTCTTCCCTGACTGCCTCTTCCAATGAGGGCCCCAGTCATGTTGAATTAGGATGTGTCCCAATGAATTCACTTAACCTTAATTACATTTGCAGAGACTACATGTTCAAGTATAGTCACATTCTGAGGCACTAGGTGTTAAAACATGAACGTATAAATTTTGGGAAGGGAACACAATTTAGCTCATGACGTATACTAATCCCTGGTAGACGACAGCCTCCCAGGAAAGAAATGACTCAGTGAAAGAGTAGGCATTTGTAAAAAAGAGTGAATAGCTAAAGCCGGATTGTGTTCCAGAAGGGCTGTGACAGGTGCACTGCCAACAGGAGTTTCTTTCTTTTTTTTTTTTAACCAAATATAATATAGCTTTATTTTATTTTTTATAAGGATATTTTAGCAAACATTTTCAAATGTGAAAACTCTGGAAAACTACAACAAATCCAAAGAAGCAATGACAGTCTGCATTATAATTTCTGAAATTGATGGAGAAAAAGGTTTCTATGAATTTCTAACAAATTTATTTGTGTTTAACACATTTTCTACTTTTATATATGTTGTTGTGTGCATGAAAAAACTTCTCAAAAATAAGATTTATATAAATTATTATTTTATCAAGTAGGAGTGAAGACAGATTAGCAGATCTGAACATCCTGATACTAAATACAAATATATAAAGATCATTTTGATAAAGTCATTGACAAATTTGCAGAAACCTTGGAAATGAGAACTATTTCTTATATAATTGACCACGGTGTTGGTATTGATCAATATTTTTTATTTCAAAAAAATTAATGCAATTTAAGAGTGTTAATCTAATGTCTTTTTAAAATTTTTTTTATTATACTTTAAGTTTTAGGGTACATGTGCACAATGTGCAGGTTTGTTACATACGTATACATGTGCCATGTTGGAGTGCTGCACCCATTAACTCTTCATTTAACATTAGGTATATCTCCTAATGCTATCCCTCCCCCCTCCCCCCTCCCCTCACCCCACAACAGGTCCCAGTGTGTGATGTTCCCCTTCCTGCAAACAGGAGTTTCTGAATGTATCTGACATTTTGTATCCAGACTCCCTGGATGTTAACCTTCTTTGAATTATTTGACAAGCTGGCACCCATGTGTCAAAGAAAATTATGTTTATATTTCCACTTTTCTAACTGGTATGTTTGAGTTACCTTTCCGTTGTTTTATACTTATTTGGGTTTTCTGTTCACTGAGTTATCTCCTCGGATCCTTGGCCCTCTGACGGGGTTTTTCCTACCCTGGAGTTTCCCAGCATGGACGCTTTTGCCAGGTGTGGGATTGCTGTAGCTGGTTCTTTCCCTTTGAGGTTAGAAAACCCAGCTATGTTGATTTAAGTCAAAAGGGTTGTGCTAGGATTTCTTGCCCTGTGACCTGTCTTTAAAACATGCCCTTCCCCTCTATGACAGGAACAGACTAAGACTCAGGTAGCTTAGAGGAAATTTCATGCAACCCTCACCATGGAAGATTCTCATTCTGACCTGTGTGTTTTGGAGCAGCCATTTGACATCACAAAGCCTGTGTTTTCTCATTTCTACATTGAGAATGATTTTTGGGAACTCTCTGGGATAGTGTACTTTATAAAGATTATTAATACAGGTGAGTGCTGTTGTTCTACAGCTGATACAGTCTGATGAAGATGCCTTGAAAGTATTAATGGATTAATTATTCTTTACCTCCACATCAAATTCGACATTGGAAGCCTAAAAAATTCTTCACCATGAACATCTATGTCCTCCACATGCACAAGTCTCCAAAGGATGGGGAACTCCAGGTCTGAGCCACACATTCCAGTCCTCTGGTGTTTCATGGTCTCGTCACTGACTGTATGTTCCTTCTTGTCCCCGCCCCCCAGCACACCCAGGTAAAACTATGAGTCTATCCTGAACCTCGAGATTTGAATGAAGCCGACTCTCCAGCCAGGCAAAGGGAGAAGCTGATGCAGTCATTGGCAGCAGCTTTCTGGGGTCGAACTATCTTCTTTTTTATCATTTTCCTGAACTTTTACCAGGACTTCACCACCACTCCACAGTTCCCAGACCAGTTCAGTAGGCAAGCATCTGTTTTCTCCAAGGCGCAGTGGTGACTCTGCCAGCTACCGTGTTTCAGAATAACAATGCATCTCAATGAGCCTCAATTTCCATCTCTGAAAAGAATTGTACAATGAACCTCATATGGTTTTTGTGAGGAATGAATGACATAAAACATGAAAAGTGGATCCCTAGTGCCTGGCTCGGTGGAAAGGCTGCTGGGCATGCTCTGGATGTTCATATTTATATATTTTTTTCTGTTCTTTCACCCAAGAAGCTTTTTCTCATGTCTCAATAACTCATGTCCCTCTATAATTGGAAAAGCATGTAGAAGACAAACCTGTTCTTAACATTTGTAAAGGACAATTGAGCTTCATTTTAGCTGGACTTTGTCCTTGACCCAGAGAGGATGGATATCCCTGGGTGCTGAGAAAGGCAGACTAAGATATATCTAAAGAGGTGGGAGTTAGGGCTTATGCATTCATCACGTATATATTAAGCACTTTTTCCGACAGTTGGCATAATTCAATGAAGAAAGCAGATGACAGTTCCTGGGCCTCGATTTATTTTATGGAGTCATACACTCACAGTAGGCTTCATAAGCTGGTCATTTTGACAGAGTGTGAGATATGATGCCCTTATGCTCTCCTGTAGGTATGGATGCACGTTTCAGCTTCTGATCAGAAAGACACACCACAAGACCAAGTATAACATTTAAATATTTGCATAAATTTTTTAAAAAGTAACATCCCTTCATGATAAAAACTCTCAACAAATTAGGTATAGAATAAATTCACCTAAACCCATTAAAGTCCATGTATTACAAATAAACAGCTAATAATATATTAAATGAGACAAAGTTGCAAGCTTTTTCTATAAGAACTGGAACACAACAAGAATGCCTGCTTTCAACAATCTTATTCAGTACAATACTCTATATCCAAACCAGAGCAATTAGAGAACAAAATCAAAGGCATACAGATTGGAAAGGAAGTCAACTTGTCACTGTTTGCAGACCACATAATTTTATACACAAAACCTTTAAAACTCCACTAAAAAACTGTCAGATCTAATGTAGAAATGTAGTAAACTTGCAAGAGATAAAATCAATATACAAAAGTCAGTAGGGTTTTTATACACTAACAAGAAACTATGTAAAAGTATTTGGAAAAGAAATCAAGAAAACAATTCCATCTGTAATACCTACAAAAAGTATACTCAGAAATAAATTGAATCAAAAAGGTAAAGTCTCTACATTAAAGCTTAAAAAAGCTTTAAAAATTGAGGTCAAAAATTAAATTAAAAAAATGAAAAGATGTCCCTTATTCATGAATTTCTAGAATTAATATTTTTATAATGTCTATATTACACAAGATAATCTACAGATTTAAGACAATTCTTATCAAAATATCAGTGAGATACTTTAAAGACATAAGATAAAAATTCTACAATTTATATGATACAAAAAAGGCCTTGAAGAGTCAGGGCAATATGAGCAAAAAAAAAGTGCAAACATTATATTACTTGACAATGAAACATGGTACAAAGCTATAGTAACCAAAACAGTATGGTGTGGGCATAAAAACAGACACATAGGTTAATGGAGCAAAATAAAAAGCTCAGAAATTCATGCCTTTACAGCTAATTGATTTTAGATGAAGGTAACAAAAATACACAATAAAGAATGGCAGTCTCTTTAATAAATAGTGTTGGGAAAACTGGGTATTCACACAGAGAACAATAAAATAACACCTTCATTTTGCACCATGTATAAAATTAACTCATAATTTATTAAAAACTTAAATGTAAGACCTGACACTCTGAAACTGCTACAAAAAAACATAGGGTGGAAGTCCCATGACACTGGTTTAAGCAATGAGATTTTGAATTTAACCTCAAAATTCCGGGGAACAAACTAAAAATAAACAAATAAGATTACTTCTAACTAGGTCAGGCACGGTGGCTCACACCTGTAATCTCAGCACTTTGGGAGGAGGAGGCAGGTGGATCACCTGAGTTCAGGAGTTTGAGACCAGCCTGGCAAACATGGCAAAACCCTGTCTCTACTAAAAAAATAAAAAATTAGCTAGGAGTGGTGGTGCATGCATGTAATCCCAGCTACTGGGGAGGCTGAGGCAGGAGAATCACTTGAACCCAGAAGGCGGAGGTTGCAGTGAGCCAAGATCGCGTCACTGCACTCCAGTCTGGGCAATAGAGTGAGACTCCATCTCAAAAAATAAATAAATAAATAAATAAATAAATAAATAAATAAATAAATAAAATAGAGAGATAAAGACATACAAATATAAATACTGAAGAACTATTAGCATAGGTAATTGTAGAGAAGTACTAAAAGTATGATAGAAAAGAAATGTATTTTAAAATATTCACTTCTGAGTTAAGTTTGTAGATGTAGACACCTGACAAAGAGTTGCTCGTACATTACACAAACAAAAAAGCTGAAGAAACTGCAAATGAATGAATGTCTTGTTCTGAGCCTTTTGGAGACCTGAAGTCACAGAGAAGACAACAAACCCAACATCAGGGGATGCAGAAGCCTGCAGGTAATGGAGGCCCCAGGCTTTTATGTGCACCCAAAATACCATGTACTCTGGTAAAATTAAACCAGAACTTTTGAAGTAGTACTTGGTGGCTGTGTGTAGGTGGGTGAAGGAGAAGGTGAAACCCTGGAGTCTACAGACATAAGGTTTACACCTTTGTTAGAGTGTTTCTAGCAACCCTACAGGCCTGTCAGGGAGGATGGGGTAGAATCCTGAGAATGCTTCCCCAACAGTGCTGATGGGGAGGGACCACTATCCCACCCACTGCTACAACTCTGGAGATATAGCTTTCCCATCTCTCCTATAGAATACAAGGCCCAATGTGCAGAGTAAGAGCATCCAAACATGAGCCAGAGGGAACCATGAAAAAACTCACAGCAGCTGGTGGTGGAGAAAAAAGGCCAACATCCACATCTCTGCACAGATGCATCTCCCATAAAAAAATGAAGCCTAGCCAGGTGCGGTGGCTTATGCCTATAATTCTAGCACTCTGAGAGGCCGAGGTGGGCTTATTAATTGAGGCCAGGAGTTCAAGACAAGCAATATGGCGAAATCTTGTCTCTACAAAAAATTCAAAAAATAACTGGGCATTGTGGCACATGCCTGTAGTCGCAGCTACTTGGCAGGCTGAGGTGGCAGGATTGCTTGAGCCCAGAAGGTAGAGACTGCAGTAAGCCGAGATTGTGCCACTGCACTCCAGCCTGGGTGACAAAGTAAGACCCTGTCTCAAAACAACAACAAATAAACTAAACCGTTAATTTACAGAGCACTGTTGCAGAACCACTTCCACTGGGAGTTAAAAACATGGACTAGGAGCCTCTCTACTACTGGGGGAGAAGCAGAAATATGCTCTTGTCCCTGCATTGCATCTACAGGACGGGCAGGAAAATCTTTAAATGTCAGTAACCACACACCCCAGTTGACAGTGTTGTCTGAGGCTTCCTCAGAACATCGGAGATATCCTCACTCCCTCACCCCCTGCCACCAAGTTAAAAAACATGGAGTTGGCTGGGCACAGTGGCTCACGCCTGTAATCTCAGCACTTTTGGAGGGCGAGGCAGGTGGATCACCTGAGGTCAGGAGTTCAAGACCAGCCTGGCCAACATGGTGAAACCCCATCTCTACTAAAAATACAAAAATTAGCCGGGCGTGGTTGTGGGTGTCTGTAATCCCAGCTACTCAGGAGGCTGAGGCAGGAGAATCGCTTGAACCTGGGAGGTGGAGGTTGCAGTGAGCCAAGATCATGCCATTGCACTCCAGCCTGGACGACAAGAGCAAGACTCCATCTCAAAAGAAAAAAAAAAAGGAGTAAAAATAACAGGAAAATACAGCTGTGTACGAGACCACCTCTGATAAAAGGCATGAAGGGAAGGCACAGCAAACCTGGGAGATATTGGCAAAGTATCCTGAAAAGGATTTGAATTCCCTGGTGCTGAGAAGGTTATTGCTGCCATAACAAATTTCAATCCCAGCCTATCTCTCATCTACATGACCAGAAACCCCTACGCTAAGGCCTATCTGAGGGAAAACTGCTCATCAATAACCTAAAAACTATTTACCCCCAGTATACTGTTTTATACAACATATACTACAGCTTTTAACAAAAATTACAAGCCAAGCCATACTATTTTGTTTTAATATAAGATCTTTATTTATGTGAGAAGCAAATTAAAAACTGTAAAGGACAGAAGAAAATAAGCCATCAGGTAAAGGGGTCAGAATAAATTAGGCATCACAAAACCTATGCATATTGGAAATATGTTTAAATTTTTAAGCAAATGGGAAAAAGGGGATATCAAAATAGAAAATTATAAACTGAACAAGCAAATTTAGAAAAGAGTCAAATAGAAATAGAATAATTTAAATACATATTAATATACAGCATATGAGTTAAACATTAAATTAGACTGAGTTGAGAATGAGAGGTTTAGTGAACTGGATTAGTGAACTGGACTATTGAACACAATGAATATAGCCAAATACAGTAAGAGAAACAAAATAATAGCAATATGAATGTAAATATACATATATAAGTAACAGAATAAGAAGGAACAAAGCACAATTATTTTACTTAAGTCCATACAAATAATAAATCATGCTAATAAGATAATTATTTTCAATTTCTAAAATTAAAAATCAGATATAAACTCATAAATGCAGAAGTGCACTGTGTCTAAAAAAGAGCAATAAAGAAAGATATTTAACAAAATAACAGTCATACTGCATAACACCAAACAGAATGGAGACAAAAGCCATGAGAAGGAGAGATAACCTACAAGATGAGAGTAAAATCTCCACAGCCTATGCAGACCCAGAAAATGGAGAAATAAATAGTAAGAGTTCTGAAAAAAAGTTATTGTTCAACCTTTAATTGGATACATAGCTAGCATATTTTAAATAAATAAGGGTAAACTAAATTATCTTAAAAAGTAAAAAAAGAGAGAGAGAGAGAAAGGGAGAGAGATTGCATTTACCAACAGGAGCTTCTTGAGTGTACACTTCAAGAAGATAGAAAAGTGTCTTATAGAAAAATTAGGGAATCAAAATTAAAGATAAAGAACGTATAGACACTGGAGACTATGAGGGTGGACATTGAACTCAAGAAACCACTAAGTCTTTGGCAGCATAGGTTTCAAAATAATTTAGATAGATTAAAAGCGTAATTAAACTATTTTTTTATTTTATTTTATTATTATTATACTTTAAGTTTTAGGGTACATGTGCACAATGTGCAGGTTAGTTACATATGTATACATGTGCCATGCTGGTGCGCTGCACCCATTAACTTGTCATTTAGCATTAGGTATATCTCCTAAAGCTATCCCTCCCCCCTCCCCCCAACCCACAACAGTCCCCAGAGTGTGATGTTCCCCTACCTGTGTCCATGTGTTCTCATTGTTCAATTCCCACCTATGAGTGAGAATATGCAGTGTTTGGTTTTTTGTTCTTGCGATAGTTTACTGAGAATGATGATTTCCAATTTCATCCATGTCCCTACAAAGGACATGAACTCATCATTTTTATGGCTGCATAGTATTCCATGGTGTATATGTGCCACATTTTCTTAATCCAGTCTATCATTGTTGGACATTTGGGTTGGTTCCAAGTCTTTGCTATTGTGAATAGTGCTGCAATAAACATATGTGTGCATGTGTCTTTATAGCAGCATAATTTATAGTCCTTTGGGTATATACCGAGTAATGGGATGGCTGGGTCAAATGGTATTTCTAGTTCTAGATCCCTGAGGAATTGCCACACTGACTTCCACAGTGGTTGAACTAGTTTACAGTCCCATCAACAGTGTAAAAGTGTTCCTGTTTCTCCACATCCTCTCCAGCACCTGTTGTTTCCTGACTTTTTAATGATTGCCATTCTAAATGGTGTGAGATGGTATCTCATTGTAGTTTTGGTTTGCATTTCTCTGATGGCCAGTGATGGTGAGCATTTTTTCATGTGCTTTTTGGCTGCATAAATGTCTTCTTTTGAGAAGTGTCTGTTCATGTCCCTTGCCCAATTTTTGATGGGGTTGTTTGTTTTTTTCTTGCAAATTTGTTTGAGTTCATTGTAGATTCTGGATATTAGCCCTTTGTCAGATGAGTAGGTTGCGAAAATTTTCTCCCATTTTGTAGGTTGCCTGTTCACTCTGATGGTAGTTTCTTTGGCTGTGCAGAAGCTCTTTAGTTTAATGAGATCCCATTTTTCAGTTTTGGCTTTTGTTTCCATTGCTTTTGGTGTTTTAGACATGAAGTCCTTGCCCATGCCTATGTCCTGAATGGTAATGCCTAGGTTTTCTTTTAGGGTTTTTATGGTTTTAGGTCTAACGTTTAAGTCTTTAATCCATCTTGAATTAATTTTTGTATAAGGTGTAAGGAAGGGATCCAGTTTCAGCTTTCTACATATGGCTACTGGGTACATAACAAAATAAAGGCAGAAATAAAGATGTTCTTTGAAACCAACAAGAACAAAGACACAACATACCAGAATCTCTGGGACACATTCAAAGCAGTGTGTAGAGGGAAATTTATAGCACTAAATGCCCACAAGAGAAAGCAGGAAAGATCCAAAATTGACACCCTAACATCACAATTAAAAGAACTAGAAAAGCAAGAGCAAACACATTCAAAAGCTAGCAGAAGGCAAGAAATAACTAAAATCAGAGCAGAACTGAAGGAAATAGAGACACAAAAAACGCTTCAAAAAATTAATAAATCCAGGAGCTGGTTTTTTGAAAGGATCAACAAAAATGATAGACCGCTAGCAAGACTAATAAAGAAGAAAAGAAAGAAGAATCAAATAGATGCAATAAAAAATGATAAAGAGGATATCACCACTGATCCCACAGAAATACAAACTACCATCAGAGAATACTACAAACACCTCTACACAAATAAACTAGAAAATCTAGAAGAAATGGATAAACTCCTCGACACATACACTCTCCCAAGACTAAACAAGGAAGAAGTTGAATCTCTGAATAGACCAATAACAGGATCTGAAATTGTGGCAATAATCAATAGCTTACCAACCAAAAAGAGTCCAGGACCAGATGGACTCACAGCCGAATTCTACCAGAGCTACAAGGAGGAACTGGTACCATTCCTTCTGAAACTATTCCAATCAATAGAAAAAGAGGGAATCCTCCCTAACTCATTTTATGAGGCCAGCATCATCCTGATACCAAAGCCAGGCAGAGACACAACCAAAAAAGAGAATTTTAGACCAATATCCTTGATGAACATTGATGCAAAAATCCTCAATAAAATACTGGCAAACCGAATCCAGCAGCACATCAAAAAGCTTATCCACCATGATCAAGTGGGCTTCATCCCTGGGATGCAAGGCTGGTTCAATATACGCAAATCAATAAATGTAATCCAGCATATAAACAGAACCAAAGACAAAAACCACATGATTATCTCAATAGATGCAGAAAAGGCCTTTGACAAAATTCAACAACACTTCATGCTAAAATCTCTCAATAAATTAGGTATTGATGGGACGTATCTCAAAATAATAAGAGCTATCTATGACAAACCCACAGCCAATATCAGACTGAATGGATAAAAACTGGAAGCATTCCCTTTGAAAACGGGCACAAGAGAGGGATGCCCTCTCTCACCACTCCTATTCAACATAGTGTTGGAAGTTCTGGCCAGGGCAATTAGGCAGGAGAAGGAAATAAAGGGTATTCAATTAGGAAAAGAGGAGGTCAAATTGTTCCTGTTTGCAGATGACATGATTGTATATCTAGAAAACTCCATTGTCTCAGCCCAAAATCTCCTTAAGCTGATAAGCAACTTCAGCAAAGTCTCAGGATACAAAATCAATGTACAAAAATCACTATCATTCTTATACAGCAATAACAGACAAACAGAGAACCAAATCATGATTGAACTCCCATTCACAATTGCTTCAAAGAGAATAAAATACCTAGGAATCCAACTTACAAGGGATGTGAAGGACCTCTTCAAGGAGAACTACAAACCACTGCTCAATGAAATAAAAGAGGATACAAAGAAATGGAAGAACATTCCATGCTCATGGGTAGGAAGAATCAATATCGTGAAAATAGCCATACTGCCCAGGGTAATTTATAGATTCAATGCCTTCCCCATCAAGCTATCAATGACTTTCTTCACAGAATTGGAAAAAACTACTGTAAAGTTCATATGGAACCAAAAAAGAGCCCGCATCGCCAAGTCAATCATAAACCAAAAGAACAAAGCTGGAGGCATCACACTACCTGACTTCAAACTATACTACAAGGCTACAGTAACCCAAAACAGAGATATAGATCAATGGAACAAAACAGAACCCTCAGAAATAACGCCACATATCTACAACTATCTGATCTTTGACAAACCGGAGAAAAACAAGAAATGGGGAAAGTATTCCCTATTTAATAAATTGTGCTGCCCAGAAGCCTCTGCATGCTCACAATGACTGAGTCATAAGCCAATAATAGAGTTGAGGAGGATGAGATAATAAGGTCCCCCCAGTACATGACCAGAAAGCAACTCACCAGCAACAAGATGGTCCCCTTTTCTCTGGGGAGGCTCTTGGAGAGAGGTTGGTTCTATGAAGGTATTGGGATTGTCTCTGATGCCTGAACAAGAGAATTACCATGTATGCACTTGAGGGCTGCATGATTGCTACAAAGAAGACATTCGTAAGCAGTGGCAGCATGAAAGACAGGCTCCTGATAATGTAGCTTATGGAAGAAAGTGATCAGTATTTACTGATACTTAGCACAACCGTCTTGGTCCCATTAGAAGAAGCCACAGTGGAGGAGAGCAGGTTACTACTGAGAGACAAACTGAGAACCCATAGGAAGAAGAAGGAGTGAAAGATGTAACCTTTGAATTTCTGTTTAATCCTTGCAGACCAGGAGGTGCCAGGGCTGATGGCGACAGCCTGGAGCATGCTCAGGAGGCAGGTGGTGCAGATGGAGAGGCTCCTCATCACCCTGTGCATGCAGAAGAATGCCTTACACTTGAAGTCATTCTGAAAATACAGTGACTCAAACAGGTCTGGAGATGCCAAGAAGACCACAATGAGGAGCATCCCTAAGTGGACAAGGGCCAGGTGACAGGTGATGGGGTCAGTGGGCTTAGGCCTGTGATCCTGAAGGAGTGAGAAGATTTGGAAGAATAGGAGGAAGTTGTTGGCTCTGAGTCCAATACCAGCTTGAAAAAGAAGGGCAATTGTTAGTAGTACCTTAACTGGAACATGGTCGTCTTAATGATGAAGAGGAATTATATTTTATATACCTGAAAAAAAGCAATAGACCTCTTATCATCAATGTTAGTTATTGTATAGTCAAAATTATTACCAACCTTATCATTTTAATTTCACCCATTTATCTTGATTAACCCTATCTCATATAAAATTTTTAAATGCAGCCTATTATATTTTACAACAAATAACTTATACATATATCAAATATCAACACATCCACAATCACACCTATGTAGGGTGCACATTATCTATACTCATAGAGTACCTGTGGCTCTACTCCTCAAAAAGCATTTGTTTACTTTCTGTATTTTTTGTTTACTTTTCACCACCCATAATAACATGCATATAAAATAAATCATGGATGCTTTTATAACTGAACTGAGGTAAACTTTATGCTAATGGAAAAAGAATCACCAATAGTATTTTTGAAAAAAGTTGCATTGAATCGATCCAATATCCCATCACTCTAATACTTTTCTTATTGCCTCCCTCTTTCATATTTAAGTACCCTTCTAATTGCAAAGGGCTTCTGCTAATGATGAAGATAATCTATCATGAAGGCAGATGCTTATTAACCTTGACACCATCTGTATTTAATTTTCCTTTGTTATATTAGCTAAGATATTCACAGAGTCTGGGGTTTAGGATGTGAACATTGCTGTACTAACTGTATCTTTTCAAAATGGTCCTGGTTCTCTTGAAGCTTAGTTTTAATATGATACTCCTTATCTAAACCCTCATCATCTCAGAAAGGAATTACTAAAAACTCTGCTTTCAATTTTCAAGAGAACGAACCACACATTTCTCAAGTTTATGGCATCATAATTTTACATTAAAATGCTTATGTGAAGATTTTTTTCTTGAGCCTTCACTTAATACAGGAATACCCTCCTATGCCTTCAAAAACACTTTGCTCTTTAATAATAAAGGCAAATTTCTTCATATGTTAATTGAAAGATCTCTGTATCAAAATAATTTTTCTGAAATTTTACTGAATAATTTAAAAATTGTTCTCATGTTATTTGCTCTGGATGCTGGCATTATTATTTTATTAAATCAATTCAATACTGGTGTAGAACAATTCAGCTGTAATAATGCTGAAACAAAATCTATAGGCACTCTATTTTTCTTCTGCGATGTAAAAGTGCTCAATTGTTTTCAAGGTCACTTAAAACTACACTGGTCTCTAATTGTAAATATGTAAGGCAATGCAGATTATGTGATAGTCTGTGTTTTTGGTTCATACTCAGAAAATAATGGCTGAGGTAGACATTGCTCTAAGACCACCTGATGTCTATGAGTTTATAACAAAAATTGCAGCAAATAATTTTTACTTTTTATCCAAGCACTTAATCTATTAAAGAAATATATTTATTTCAACTTACAGAGCCAACCAATTGATAGTTCTCAACAATATACATTTGCACACTCAACTCAATTGGAATCTGTTGCCATATTGCACTCAGGAGAAACACCAGAAGAATATCGACAGAAAGTCTTAATGATCTTCACATTATAAGGTTCACAATCCAGTACAAGTAAAGCAAAATTTGGGTATGAATCACTAACATATATGGAATTATTTAATAACTATGTACCAGGATCTTTTTATTATTATTCTTCAGGTATTGTAGGTTATCTAACAAAGAGAGAGAATAAATGTAACAGAAAAAGTAACATAAATAATAATTTTAATATTTTCTCTTTTTATCCCAAAGACATCCATCTCACCATTTTTCATTCATGCCCCCACTCTGTAAATGACTCTCACACTATTATGTGACCTTCTACTCAATGAGACTCTAGGTCATTGGTGCTGAGCCCGGACACTGAGGAGGACTATGGTTCTTGTGGATTGAGATCAACAGATAAAGTACAAGAGTATTAAATATGAATTTCACATAAGTAAAATGTGAGTGTATATATATAATGTATAATAATAGTTATGCATAGAAATACTATATACAAATGTTTTATAGTTATATTAAAAAGTTATTTGTTTTCTTTCTGAATATTAAACTTAACTGTATGCTCTGTATTTTTATTTGCTGAGTCTGGCAATTCCAACATAAAATAATCATGAGATCTGAAAACATGGTATACTGCTGAGAGAAATTAAATAGAAGAAGAAAATCCATGAGGTCATATAGATTGATCTGAGTGTAAGAATTGGGTCCTATTTGACACAGTACACACTTAGAAATCCAAATGCAAATCTGAGCACTCAGTATGAGATCTGGCAACCAGCTTGCCTTTGGTTTGAGGGTGAAGCCTCTCAGAAGACAGATAATACAGATAAAGTTCATCTTCATTATTCTCACTTTAATCTCAGGATATTCTTAATACTGTAAGCCCCAAAGGATATGCACAATCATGGATATTAGGGAAAACAACACCTTTCAATGGACCAGTAACCAAAGGCTGATTATAAAATCAACGGGCTTGATCAGACATCAGAAAAAAAGATTGTCATTAGAGAAAGAAGCTATTCACAAACCTGTCACTATTTTGCATTACAGAATATACTATTTTGGACAAGAAAAAGTTTGATTAAATCTATTTTTTCATTATTATAATAATATTTACTATTTAGAATTGTATTATTTTCTTAATGATATGTTTTAATAGTTTTTTTACATTCTTTCTGACATATATTTAAGCATAAAAATCCATATCAGAAAATAAATAACACCTTGCTTTATTTTTACTAGTTTAATAATCAAAAGTGTCATATTCTCATCAATTTCACCATATTCTATGAACAGTGTCCTAAAACATATTACTGGCCATCAACTATGATTGTAAAGAATGAAGTAATTATGAGAATTGCACATGGCCTAGTTGGCAGGGCAGTAGGTCTTTTTATTCAGTGGCAATAGTTGGTAAACTGACAAACACAGCTGGCAACATCAGAAAAGGGAGTCATCTTTTCCAGCTAAAACAATTTTATAAAAATCTTTTGTGTAATGTACACGTGACAAAAGAATAATTTTGGCAAGTTCCAGATACCATTGAGAGATGAAACTAGAATGCATCTACTATTCTATTGTAATTTAGATTAGCAAAGAGTGCAGATGGTAGCACAGTGCTTACAAGTGCAGATATTCACAATCTCAAGACATTTTATTTTCACCTCATCTGAGAAAAAAACATGGGAAAAGACAGTGTCACTGCAGAGGTAGGAAACAAAAAAACCACCCGGACGGGGCTCGATCACTAATTCTGAGCTATAACTTTTTGGAAATCATAAAATTATGTCTGCCAGTGCATATTTTTCTGATTACCAAACTCTAAAATTTTGAGCAAAATATAGGACTTTTTTCCTAAATGCTTTCGAGGTATTTTACCATCATATCCCTGTGCATCAGAGTAACAGAAAAATTATGCTCATATTAATTGTGTCAAATATTGTATTAAGAAGGAAATGGAGGGCATGTCCTTCTGCTGAGGTACCCTCATCAGGAACAATTAGGATCAATTAAGACCCATCTTTTCAGACATCTTCCTCTTCTACATGAAGTACAGGGCTTTTAACGTGAACTCATTTAAGAAAAACTTAAAATTATCTTATGGTACAGATATAGAAAAGTTTGCTACTGATCAAATTTCTTAAGGCTTTCATGCCCTTGTGAGTCAAAAATGGACAATTTCTGTCATTGTCATTTTGTTTCTTCTGTTTTCAACAGTTTCTTGGTTTCATTCTCTCTGTCTTTCATTTTAAAGATACATAGACACTAAAAGGCATTAACCTTATTAAATACAGAAAATGTTCACTTGTGAATTTCAACAATTGAGTTAAAAATTACTTGTCACTTTTTGTGACTATATGTTTAATAGAGCTAAATACAGTTTAAACTTTCAGAAGAATAAAAAGAGATACTAAATTTAGAAGATTTTCTAGTAATAAGGGAATGCTAAATTATTCACTTGACACATTATTATTCTCTCCTAACTAAACAATCTTATACAAGTGAATACACACATCTTATATGTTTCAGATCATTTTGAAAATCTAAATATCGAACTAAATTTAAAGGCATATTTGAAATTGTACTCGATATTCCCAGCCTCTGTTCATGTAAGTTGGTCACTCACACTATTGAGTTTTAATACGTAACAAAAAAGATGGTGCCAGATAGTTTGTGTTATCAAGAAAAAATCCCTCTAGTAGCAGTTACTATAATCCAATAAAACATAATGTTTTCTATGGTCGTCTGCTAAATTATTGGTATTGTGAAATGTTGAAAATATTTTATGTTATGACATCATTATTTAAGTAGTGTTAAAAGTATTAAAATATATTGAAGTATCTCTAAACTTTAAAAAAGATATATGATTAAATTATTCTAAATTAGTTCCATTTGTTGTGTGTTGAAAGATAGAATTCTTCATAAATACATAAAATACTTTGTTGTACTAATTTATTGTAATCAAAAATAGCTTAGTAAAGTTTCAATTCAAATATTATAAAATCACAAATTTCATTACGTGAATATGTAAATTTGTGTGCTCATAACATTAATAACATTTATATTTTATCTGGAAATTCATATGAATTAGTCATAATTCAGTGAGAAGTAAAAATAAAATTATGAGAGAATCACAGACACTATGAAGAAAATCCTACCTCTTCCCACCATTCACCTGAGTCTTGAGCACTCAGTAGTAGTGAAGGAGAAACAGACACACAGCAGCTGAGTCTTGGAGTGATTCTGTGCATGTGGATTGTGGTCCCTGAGACATGGTTCTAAGAAAGAAATCCTGCCAGTTTGTTTCCCTCCAGGCCCATAACTGTGTTCTCTCAGCAGCTGCAATAGAAACATTCTGAGCAAGGACCTATCCTAATTGAGAAAACATTGTGATTAGCCAGATTGAGGTTGAAGCTGAGCTTCAAGTCTCTGTGTACCTTCTGGTCTCAGAGGAAGGGGAAAGACAGCAAATCACAAAGGGGACATTTACTTACTGCAAGTAAGGAAGTGGAAGAAATGGGGGAGGCTGTGTTCAGAGGTGGAGCAGCGGAAGATACCATGGAAAGAGTCAGCCTTCTGCATTTGTAGAAATCACAGGGAGTTATTGAGACAGTACAGACTAGGACATTGCCTTTGAAAGAATTTTATTTGTCTCTGCAAGGCACACAGAAGTTGCTGGCATCTGGAGACAAAAGTTAGGTTATTTTAAGAAAACTTAAGAAAAATACAAAAACATACCAAAACAAAGATGTCTATTAAAATGATATTGGACTACAAGAAGAATAACTCCATTGTTTAAAAAATGTTTTTATATACATAGGGCAAGTTAGATATAAATATTACGATCTTCTAAATGTTTTCCTTTAACTCTTGACTTATAAATTCTATTGTCCAAAAGTACCATAAAAATAATGACAGGGATTTAGAAAACAGTAGTCATATTATATTTTTGCAATTTCTGTTATACCATTAACAAAAACTAGAAATATCCTAAATTCCCAACAAAAAAGACAGATTAAGTTAATTGTGGCAGAGTTACAAAATAGAAAACTCTTCAGCCAGAAAAAGCATTCTGAAGAATGTTTACTAACATAGAAAAAATATTCAAATATGTAAAATGAAAAAAGCGAACAAAAACAGTGATATAGTATTTTGTCATATTTGAATAAAAATTACATTCACATGTATGTAGAAAAAGAAAGGTGATATGCTGAGATGTTAACTGTAATTTTTTAGGTTGTAGAAATATATAATATAGTAAATATATTAAAATATAAAAGATGTTAAAATATATTCCATATTTTTATTTGCATTTTCCAACTTTTTCTGTGCATGTATTACTTTGTAATAAGAAATTACCATAAAATCTATTTTAAGTCAACATTAAGAACCTTGTTTGAAAATAAGGAAACATTGCACCTATTAAGATAATAATAATTTCCTTTTGAAATGTAAATAAAAATTTGGCGGTTTCGTCCTTGGCATTCTGAGGGAAAGGACCATTCATAATGCACCAGTTTGTTTCCCTGATCCTCAGTAGAACGGCCCAAAGTAGCAGTCATTACAGGCGACTGTCACCACGCCTGGCTAATTTTTATACTTTTAGTAGAGACAGGGTTTCACCACGTTGGCCAGGCTAGACTCGAACTCCCGACCACAGGTCATCCGCCCTCCTTGACCTCCCAAAGTACTGGGATAGCAGGCAGAGCCACTGCGCCAAGCCAGCACTCCTAAACAGTGGTTTTGACTTGGCATTAGCACTTCCTCTGAGGTTGGAGGGGATGTCTTCCATGGATAATCACGAGGGACATCCATCCTCCCTCATTGATCCAGCCCTGCCTTCCTTCCTCTGCCTCTTCCCATGGGCTGGCTTCATTCCTCTCCGGCTTAATTTGGGGCATGCATGCTTGTGCCCATTGCTCTGATGGGTAGGCTAGGTTAAGGCTGATACAAAAAAAAAAAAGAAATGTAACCTCCACAATTACGCATCATTCTCTCCATAATTATCTCCAAATTCAAGGGACGGACATGCATTTTTGAAACATCTCAGCAGCTCTCTCCTGACACTTTTTGTGCTTCTTAAGAGTCAACACGGCTTTTCTTTTGTGAAGTGGAAGTGGAGAGTCCAGCCCTTGTCATGGCAATGAAATTCCCAGGAAGGAATAAATCATAGGAATTTAAGGTTGTGGAGTGACATTGTCCTTGGGTGCAACTTCAGTTCAAGAGGCACATGTGATAGCCTGCACTCTTCACAAATATTCATGCTGTGAAAGATAAAGAAGAGATAAATAACAACCCAGATCAAAGAAGAGCAGGGAGGCAGAACCACCCAATGCCATGTGTGAGCCTGGGATGGATCCTTGGCCAGGAGAAAAATAAACATGGCATAGAGAGAAATATCGCATAAAGAGAAAGATAGCATAGAGAGAAATATAGCACAAAGAAAAATATAACATAAAGAGAGATACACCATAAAAAGAAATAGCATCAAGAAAAATATAGCATAGAGAGGAATGCAGCATAAAGAGAAATACAGCCTGTTGGAACCTCTGGCAACATTTGAAGTGTGGTAGGCTGCCATGTGATTAAGGCATTAAATCAAATTTTGTGAATTTGAAAGTTGTAGTACAGTTATTGTAAGAGATTGATTTTCTTCTGAGAAAATAACATTAAGGTATTGGTTGGAGAGAGAGACAGAGGGAGACAGAAAGGGACAGAGCGAGAGTTAGAGAGAGAAAGAGTGAGACACAGAGAGAGAAAGAGGGACACACACACACACAGAGATTGGAAGGGTAAATATGGCAAAATGTGTAAAGTTGGTGAATCTAATAAAGGTACTTTGTACATTTTGTAACTATCCTTGTAACTATTCCATAAGTTTGGAATTACTTCAAAACAAATTATTGTTTGTTTTGTTTGAAAGAAGCATGTGTCACTTCATAAAGCACTGGCACCTGCTGTAAACAGCAGGAATTGTTCATGAGGCAGATCAGATTCTTATTTGTTGTGCAGTCAGCCAATCAAGGAACCAGACATACCTGCATGGTTGGAGATGGAGGACAGATGGACCGATGTATTCCACCTACAGGCAGGAGGTGTCTCCTAAGAACAGAACCTGCCACTTTACTACGCTCCCAGATTAAATTAGATACTTCTCTATCATATATTAGAAGCATGTATGTGTGTATATGACTCTTCTCACCACATATTAAAGAAATGATTTTACTTTTACTTTGCCATTCCCCAAATTATTTTCCTCTTTTCTCTAGAGTAATATATTTCAAATGTGTCCTGCAAATTGCCTTCCTGAAATAATAGTTGTTGCAATGTTAAACAGTATTGTGGTTATGACAAAGAAATTTTCAAATTAAGATTTTATGAGACTGACGCACTGCCTCCTGCACTAAGGAGGCAACTCCGATTCAGATTTTAATACCTGAATACCTAACATTGTGAGGGACAGGATGGCTTTAACACAGTGCAGTGACTATTGAGAGTTTGGAGCTACTGAAAAGTTGTTGCATGATATACTTGGCCTTTAGTTTCAGAGCATGGAAAATTATTTTGGAAGTTTGTTTTGATTTTAGAAAAGATTTTAATGACTTTCCCTAAAACAAGTTTCTTTAGATCTAAGACAAACTGACTTTACTTAGAAACATACGGTTATAACAAATGCTATGGAAAAATGGTGTAAAAAATGGCTGATCATTTACAGAAGTTACATGGTTCATGTCTGTGCACCCAAGACATAATGTGACCAGTATGCATCATATTTAAAATCTATCTTTATGTGGCACCCTTCTTAGAACATGAGATTTCTATTTGTTGTCTCATGTTGTTACCATGTGTGACTCAATCAGCAGTTTCTGTTGCCTGGTGCTTTCAATTTAAATGACCAACTGTAATGACAGTTTTTTTTTTTTTTTTTTTTTTTTTTTTTTTTTTTTTTTTTTTTTTTTTGAGACGGAGTCTCACTCCATTTCCCAGGCTGGAGTGCAACATTACAATCTTGGCTCACTACAACCAACGCCTCCCGGATTCAACCAATTCCTCTGCCTTAGCCTCCCAAGTAGCTAGGATTACAGGCATGCATCACCACGCCTGGCTAATTTTTGTATTTTTAGTGGAGACTGGGTTTCGCCATGTTGGTCAGGCTCGTCTTGAACACCTGACGTTAGGTGATCCACCCGCCTCAGCCTCTCAAAGTGCTGGGATTACAGGCATGAGCCACCTCACCAGGCAATAACAGCTATTTTTTTAATAGAACCCATTATGTACCCCTAGCCCTATGCATGATGTTTGAGATTCTCTTTGTGTCCAGCTTTTAAGGTATAAGATGTCCAAGGTCATAGAGTTTGTCAATGGAAGGACAACATATAAAACCCAGGTTTTTTTTTTTCTGGTTTCCCTCTAGCACCCTGCCTTGCTCAGCGATTTAACAGGAATACTGTAACATCCAGTTTACAATGCAACCTTTAGTCTACACAAACACATTTTGGGCAATGGCATATTTGTGTTGATACCATAAGTCTTTCAGTATTTCGCCTGCTTTATATATTCTTCTGCAACATAAAGCTGAACCTGGAACTTAATCTTAATCTTGGAGTACCCAGAAAAAAACATAAAACTCTTACAGATCTACTTGCATTTAATTGATCGCTAGAGAAAATCAAAATGTCCACTTATTACACAGATTTTAAAATCCATCTTTATTAGTTCACTTTCATACTGCTATAAAGAACTGCCAGAGACTGGGTAATTTATAGAGGTTTAACTGACTCACAGTTCAGCATGGCTGGGAAGGCCTCAGGAAACTTACAATTGTGACAGAAGGTGAAGGGGAATGAAGGCACCTTCTTTACAAGGCAGCAGAAAGGAGAAGTGCTGAATGAAGTGGGGAGAGCCTTCTATAAAACCATCAGATCTCGTGAGAAGTAACGAACAGCATGAGGGAAACCACCCCCATGGTTCAATTACCTCCACATATCTCTGCCTTGACATGTAGGGATTATGGGGATTATAGGGATTAGAATTCAAGATGAGATTTGGGTGGAGACACAGAGCCAACCATATCACCTTCCATAATATTAAAATCACTAATACTAAACTGTGTTCTTATTACACACTGTATAAGTTGTCAGATTTTGGAATATCTTGCTAGATGTTTTCTCAGTTTTTAACCTATGTGCACATTTTTTGAATACCATCTAACCAGGTGCTTTGTGCATGGTGTATGTAGCTTAATATCATGTTTTCTTATTTTTAAGAAATAATCTTAAATGCTAAGCGAGGTTAAAAAAGAATAAACACATTTCAAGTTCTATTAGGATGATGCGTATACCTTTATTACAAGTGTTACCATGCTTTAATTGAGGCAAATTATGACATGCCAAAAAGAACAAACAAAAAAAGTATAAACAGGAAAATTCATCAAAGAACTGACTGTGCGTTTGGACTAAATCAAGCTTAGCTGGTGGGAACAGGAGCTAATGACTCTTCACTCTCTACTCAGGCCCCTTTGCTTGATTTTGTTCCGTTATTACAGATTGTATACTGCTAGTTATTCTAAGTACATGTGATGCTTGCCATGAATGGATTGAGTTCCTGATAGCAGACATTTAAGAGCACACTACCATCACTCTACTAGAACAGTTTGAAGTGATAAATTCTCAGTGTTGGTTTTACATAGAAAGGGCATCAAAGACTCAATTAGAAGACCATGTCATCATTTCTAATGCATAAATGTGATTTTTTTCTAAAGAGGTTCCTCCCCATTATTCCTTTCTCATGGCTTCAAACATCAGTTGCACCATCCCCAATTCTAACATCTTCCCTGTATGTGAAACTCTTATATCCCACTGATTTTGTAACATCTCTTTCTGAATATTTAACATCTTCTCAGACTTCTGGTCTCCCCCACTTTCATCTTGCAAGCATGCTTCACCCACCATATTTCTCTCCAGCAAACAGGTTTGTCCTTTACTTCCTCAGACCAAAAACCTTGAAGTCAACCTTGACTCTTTTCATCCTACAGCTTACCCATCAGAATATCCCATGAGTTCCATATTCAAGATATGTGCATACAACAGCCATTTATCACCATCTTTCTCTGCCATTATCTTGTCTTTATTAGAGCAGTAGCTTCCGTGCTGGTCTTTCTATAACATTTTCCCCTTGTCCGTGTTGCCTAGAGTGTATTCTCAACACAGCCATCATAATCCTTTAACGACATAAGACAGATCGTATCACTCCTTGGTTCCAAACACCTCAAATGATAGCATTTCACCTTGAGTAAAAGCCCAAATCCTTACATTCATTCATGAGACAATACAAGATCTAGTCCCCAACCCCACACACTTCACCTCTGTCTTCTGTCTCCCCTTCATTCACAACACTGAAGCTATGGCCCTTCATGGGGTACCTTGAATTTGCTAAGCACATAATGCCTCAGGGCCTGTGCAGGTTCTGACTTACCTTTCTGGAATACTCTTCCTCAACTTATCTGCATAGCTGGCCTCTCATTTGCCCTAAGAACAAAGAGCTTGGAAACCAATAAATTTATTGACAGATTAAAATAATCTGATGTTCGAGGACACAGAGGTTTACTATTATGTATGTTTTTAAGATGTTTGTAACCTTGTGTGCCACAGACAATCTCTATCAGCATTATTTTGTGTTTTTCTCCTATCCTAATTTCACCCTGTCTTTCATTTTAAAGAAACATAGACACAAAGAACACTATTTCTACTGAATGCAGAAATAGCTACTTACTAACTTCAACAACTTGACATTTACTAGTTATATTTATGAATATATATTTTAATTAGATTACAAATTTGGCCGGGAATGGTAGCTCACTCCTGTAATCCCAGCAGTTTGGGAGGCCAAAGCAGGCAGAGCACTTGAGGTGAGAATTTCCAGATGAGCCTGGTCAACATGGTGAAATCCAGTCTCTACTAAAAATACAAATTAACCAGGCACGGAGGTGGAGGTTGTAGTGAGCCAGCACCATGCCACTGCACTCCAGCCTGGGTGACAAAGTGAGACATACTTTGTCTCAAAAAAAAGAAAGAAAGAAAAATAAAATCATAAACTTAGAAGTGATAGGGATACAATATGAGAAGACCCTTTTCAAAAAGGAAATACTATATCCTTAATATTTTTGTAAATTTTGTAAATTATTACTCTTATCACTAAGCAATCTTACCTAAAAAATATAAAACCAATTTTATAAGTTTGGTTTGTTTACAAAACACAGTAATAAAACAATTAATTTAAGACAGTATTTAAAATTATCATGAATATTGCAAGTCCCCATTCAGGGAAGATTTTAACTCTGTAAAGATTTAATAAATAGCAAAATGTGACATTTTTAGATAGTTATGTGGTAATCAGAAAAAAAAAGAAAAAATTTTACAAAACAGTAAAACAAAAGGATCTTTATGGTTTCTGATAATTATTACTATAAAGTATTGCAAGTATCTAATATATTAAGATAACACAATTTTAAGCAATCCTAAAATATTATAAACATGCTAATGATTCTCCAAACTAAAAAGAACAAAGGAAACTAACTAAAAAATATCTCAATTGGCTTATGTTTGTTTCAAAATACAAAATTTTACATAAATGAATAAAATAAGGTGTAATATAGCTAATTCATTAAATCCCAACTCAAATACAACACCATGAAAATACAAAGGTCTTTCCACAAATCTATAAGTTTATGTCCTCATAAGAGTAAATTTATATTTTATCTTGAAAAATGTTCTGCTCTTAGCAGTGATTCAATGATAATTAGACTGTGATTATGAGAAGCAATTCTACTAACATACCACTGAGAAAATGCTGCCTCATGCCACCACCCACTTGAGTCTTAAGCTCTCACTGTTTATGCAGATGGATAACAGACATTCACCCAGCTGAGTCTTTCAGTTGAATCTTTGTATGTAGGTTGAGGCCCACAATATGTTATAAGGAAACGATGCCAAGAGCTCATCTCCATTTTGGCCAATAATTTTCATGTCACCTGTAGAAGCAGGATAGCCTAGGGATAAAGATTATTAGAAAGGAGCCAACAAGGGGAAAACTAAACTTAACTAACTTTTAACTCCTGAAAAACAGCAGGCGAGGAACAGATGGGCTTTAAACTTTGTCACGTGTGATCTCACTTTCATGGTAACCTTGCCCAGGCAGGTTGTCTGGTCTAAGTCCTTGTCAACAAAACAGAACTCAAACAATATTTTTACTTAAAACAAACAAAAGCTCACATGTACATCTCGATTTATATTTTTATATATTATTTAGGAAGCAATTTTCTTTTACATTCTGGCCAAATCATATGGCTTTTATGAATTTTGTTCCATTCTGTCTTCTTAGGTCTATAACATGTTATTTCACATTTTATGATAATTTTATGGTAGATATGGCAGATTTACCAAATAAAAATACAGAAAACACGCTTAAGCTTAAAATTAGAATAAACAACAAAGAACTTTTCTGTATAGCTATGCAGTATTTGCATATTTGTGTATAGTATGTGTAAGCAATTCTTTGAAGGTATTTACACAAAATACTCATCCATTATTTACCTAAAATTCAAATCGAACTAAATGCCTAGTTTGTGAAAATCACTGTTCTTTCCTCTAGACTCAGGATCAACATTCTCAAAATCCTCATTAGAGAACAAAAAAAGATAATTTAACAGATAAACTCTTTTGCAGTAGGTAGAATTTATTTAAAATAAATGTGCAGCATGTATTAAAATATGTGGCTTGGATACAACATTGGGCAAGCAAAAAATACTAGAATTCTTATCTGTGTTTTCTTTTTCTAATTTTATTATTTGTTTCTGGGACATGACTTACAATACACGCAGCATATTTGTAAAGTGATTGCTATATGTTTACTAAATAATTATTTATATATTAGTAGTTCAAGTACAACTATTGTTTTGTTGGTACTAAACCGTTGTACTTTAAATGGAAAGATTATTTTGCCTTTAATCTGACATAATACTGGAGCTTCTGGATCTAAAATGAAAGCAAAACCCAAGTATGTTGAAGGCACCAGTATATGTTGGTGGCAGTGGTCTGTTGTTTGGTTCTGGACATTGAGATAAGTGTATACCTGTACTAGATTATGCATTGAGAGATAAAACAACAACGATTATATCAACTACACAATTTCTATTTTGTAAACACATCCACATCAGTTGGTATTAGAGCAGTTTTCTAACTCAGATATGAATTTCTCAGTATAATCTAAAAATGTCAAATTATCTTCATTGTCTTACATATTTACATTTATAGGTTGGTAGAATTGTAAGTGACCTTGAAATCATAATTTAACTTTTTTATGTTAAAGTTTGAGTAATTTGTTTGCCAATTTGTGTGTGTGTGTGTATGTTATAAAGCTAAATTATTCTAAGCCCTGGATTAACTTAATTGGATGCAATAATAGTGCCTATATTCAGGGACAGTAACACGAAAAAGTAATTGCAAAAGTATTCCATAAATTTATAAAGTATTCTGATACAGAGATATTCTCTTTAAGATATAGCAAATTATCTTCAGTATTAAAGACCTTAGTATTTTTCCAAGGCATGGAAGGATATCTCTGTAATAATTGAAGTCTCAACAAAGATCATCATGTTATCATTTTAATGCAACTTTTTTGATGTTAAAAGGCAGAGAATGGCAGCGTAGGTCCTCTTAATATTGAGAGCTGTATATTAGCAATTTTCTTCTTCTTCTTCTTCTTCTTTTGAGACAGGTTCTAGCTCTGTCACTCAGGCTGGAGTGCAGTGGCATGATCTCTGCTCACTGCAACCTTTGCCTTCCAGGTTCAAATGATTCTCCTGCCTCACCCTCCCAAATAGCTGGGATTACAGATATGTGCCACCATTCCTGGCTGATTTTTGTATTTTTAGTAGAGACAGGGTATCCTCATGTTGGCCAGGCTGGCCTTGAACTCCTGACCTCAAATGATCTGCCCACCTCAGCCTTCCAGAGTGCTGAGATTACAGGTGTGAGCCACCGCACTGGGTTGCAATTTTCTTCCAAGATAAAAAAGTTTACATAAGAGTTATCTGGGATCAAAACACAAGTTGGACAGAGCCAGGATTATTTTAATAAAATACAGTTAACAGGAGTTGTGATAAATGAAATAATGCCTCACAAAAGTGCCCATGTCTTAACCCCCTGGTTCTAGGAATATAGTATAGTATATGACAAAGACAAATAGAGGCTGCAGATACAACCAAGGGTGATAATCAGTTGATTCTAAATTAAGGAGATTAATCTGAATTATGAGTTTGGTGTCTACAGCCATACCACCCTGAATACACCTGATCTTATCAAAATTGAGTGTGAGCCTAAGGTAATCACAAAAGTTCTTTTTTTTTTTTTTTTTTTTTTTTTTTTTGAGACGGAGTCTCGCTCTGTCGCCCAGGCTGGAGTGCAGTGGCGCGATCTCGGCTCACTGCAAGCTCCGCCTCCCGGGTTCACGCCATTCTCCTGCCTCAGCCTCCCGAGTAGCTGGGACTACAGGCGCCCGCTACCACGCCCGGCTAATTTTTTGTATTTTTAGTAGAGACGGGGTTTCACCGTGTTAGCCAGGATGGTCTCGATCTCCTGACCTCGTGATCCGCCTGCCTCGGCCTCCCAAAGTGCTGGGATTACAGGCGTGAGCCACCGCGCCCGGCCCAAAAGTTCTTAAATGTGAAAGAGAGGCTGAGAAAATTAATGCTGTGATGTGAGAGTCAGATTTTTAAAAAATTTTTAAAATTATGTATACACACAAATATTCTTGGAATGTATATATTTATACACTGTAGTGTATAAAATAATGCTGAGACTTTTTGAAAATTTATGTACTAGAATTAATGAAGAAAGAATTTTATGAGATAAAACATGTTAGTGATGATTTGAACATACCATAAATAATATTTATGATGTAAAGTCTTATTTTGAGATATTCAAAATATGTTTCTCTTTCACAGTTTAGATTATTACACTCCACTTAGGTTTTCATTGAAGAATACCTCTTTTTTCCAAGCTGGTGTTGGAATCTCAACCGTCAACTTCCTCATTTTCTTCACACTTCTTCTATAATGCAGGCCTAAGCCCACTGACCTGACCATTAATCACCTGGCCTTCATCCACATAGTGATGCAATGGTGTCATTGTTTTCTCCAGGTGTGTTTGAGTCACTGTATTTTCAGAATGACTTCAAGTGTAAAGTATTTTCCTACCTAAACAATATAATAAGATGTTTCTCCAGTTGCACAACCTGCCTCCTGAGTGTTCTTCAGGCCATAATTATCAGCCCCAGCAGCTTTTGGTTGGTGAGGTTTAACCATAAATCCACCGTTTTCACCTGCCATTTCTTCTTCTTTTCATGTTTTCTCAGGTTTTTTTTTTTAGTAGTAATCTCATCTTGTACACTATAGCTTCTTCCAGTGTGACCCTGAGCAATCTTCTGCATATCAGTAAATACTGTTCGCTTTTCTATCATCAGAAGACTGTTTCTTACTCTGTCATTACCCAGAGATGTTTTGCTTATAAGGATAATGCTGCTTTCAAGTACATGCATGGTGGTTCTTTTGTTTAGGCACCAGATGAAATTCTGGTACTTTCACAGCACCAGCCTCTTCCCAAGACCTTCCCCAGAGAAAAGTGCCACTCAGACCATCCTGCTCCTAGTGAGTATCTTTGTGGTCATCTACTGGGTTGATTTCATCATCTTATTCACCTCAACCTTGCTATGGGCATATGACCCTGTTGTCCTGGGTGTCCAGAGGCTTGTGGGCAATGTGTATGCCACTGTCAGTCCTTTTGTGCTACTCAGATCTGATAAAAAGATAATCAGCGTGATGAAAACGGTGAGACAGAAAGTTAACAAGTTATTTTTATTAAAAACAGATTATTCTGTCACCACTTAAATTATTTAAGTAGTACAGAACTTGCCATCTAATTTAACTTAAATGTATCGACTTACAGTTTCAGTGTGTCTAAATAGTTTTTAAATTAATGATGCCAATTCTCTCATTTTGAGTTTAATTTACATGATAGATATTGCCATATGTTTACAAGTGTCTCTTTTTCATTTCTTTTTGAAGTATAATATTAAGAATATCTGGTAATAAAATCTTTTTGTCTTTGTATTTTTCAGAATGTTTTATTGTTTTCCTTATCTATTAATGATATTTGACTAAATATTCTTATACTCGATACTTACTTCTCTTTGTTCTGGGTTCTATCAAGGCTGTGTGGATGGTACCTACACATTTGTGGCTTACCTCTGTTTTTTATCTCCCTACTTTTAAGATTTTTCTTTCTTTTTTAAATTTTATTTATCTTTTTTGAGACATAGTTTTGCTCTGTCTAGAGTGCAGTGGTGCTATCTCTGCTCACTGTAACATCCACATCCCAGGTTCAAGCGATTCTCCTGCCTCAGCCTCCCAAGGAGCTGGGATTACAGGCACCTGCTACTGTGCCTGGCTAATTTTTGTATTTTTAGTAGAGACGGGGTTTCACCATCTTGGACAGGCTGGTCTTAAACTCCTGGTCTCATGATCCACCCGCCTTGGCCTCCCAAAGTTCTGGGATTACAGGTGTGAGTCACTGCACCTGGCCTTAATCAGTAAAATGCATTCATTCCTCTCTATTCTATACATAATAATCAATTGATTGTAGATTCAAATGTGCAAAATACAACTGGATAACTTGCAGAAGTCACTGTGGGGTTATTTTTTGACAAAGAATAGGCAGTTTTTGATGTAAGGAAAAGAGAAAACAAGAAACTAACAAATCGAAATATATTAAAATTAGAGAGTTAAAAGACAAAAAACTGAGACACAAATCTGCAATACATACAATATTAAAAAAATTAATGCTCATGGTAAAAATAAATGAATAAAAAATTTACCACATATGAAAGAGTATTCATCTCCTTGGTAATAGAATACGCAAATAATATATCATATAGATAATATTTAACATTTATTACAAAGTGAAAGATTAGTCAATCAGAGAATTCCAAGTGTTGATGACCACAGCTAACAAATAATTATCCATGAATAAAGGAAGAGGCTGTGGATACCCTTTATTGCTATTTAATGTGATTTGGAATTTACCAGAATCCACAGTCTAGTAATTTTTCTATACTGTCCAGAACATTTATTGTGCATTTACATTTGGAGACTGAAGAAAATGATAGGAGCAGTATTTCTTTCCAAGAGCAAAAACTTTAACTTGAAAGAGCCCACTGAAGTGGACAAGTGGATAGCGCTAGCCTTAGACACTAGTGTGTGTAAAACAAATTGAGGGAAGGACACCACTGATAAACATTTTCATTTTAATTTGATTAATATTCATATCAAGTAATACATGTTTAAGGTGGTGAATATCATGGTTACTCTGATTTGATCATTACACAATGTATTCATGTATGGAAATTTTACATTGTATACCATAAATATGTAAATTACTATTTGTCAATCAAAAATAAAACTGAAAAAAGAAACCAAACAAAAATAAAAATAATAGAATTATATACCAGGACAAATAATTTATTTATTAATAAATAAATTAAACCTGATTGAATGTTGGAACCTCAAGCTACCACCTTTTCTTCCCTCACCCTCTACATTTCACGTACTTTGACTGTCCTTAGGAAATACAGTTGCCTTTCCTTGGAATCATTAGTAAAGATTGAGATGCTTGCTTGGCTGCTTAAGCATGTATGTTATAACACCCAAAGAATAATGAAAACGCTGTTCAAAATTTATGGTGTGAAGGAAAGTAATTAGCTTGAATTATTTTTAATTAACTCAGTGTTGAAGCCCTGTTTCTTCTGTCTCCCGTATGTAAGGTAAAAATTTTGAGGAATTTATTAGTATTAAATTATCATTTAAGGAGGAAGAAAATACAGACCTCCATGCACTTGAATGATAACTCACACATATTTCTGGCTTAGAATGAAAGGAGATGGAGGTGGAATAATGTCTTCATTTTAGGCAGGAGCCTCTGAGAATAAATGCAATGGGTTAATAAGGCAAGAGAGCCTCAGGATGCTACTTTCTTCTCCCTTTCCTCAGAATGGGCTGTGACTCATCACTCAGGGCTTCTTCCGTCACATGCCCCCTCTCTTTGCAATTGATGTCACAAAGCTCTGCTGACACTCTCTGTGACAGAGCTGTTTGGAACTCACCTTTTGTCCCCATCCTGTGCTGCTAACTGCCATCTCTCCATCCGGGGAGCAGCTCCTATGGCCGATCCCCAAGTGCAGGGTGCTCTTGGCTTCTGTCCCTGCTGACAGCCCCAGACAGAGGAGACAGAAATCTTTAGGTGGGACTTGAGCTTCTTCCAGAGTGAGTTTGTCCCATAAGGACTACAGCTCAGCCTAGAGGACATGCCCAAAATGCCTGTCACCAAATGTTCAAAGACCCTGTGAGGTACATCCTCTAGACTGAGGTGAAGCCCTTTTAGCCCAGACTTTCTTCTTGAAGGTATTTACCATAGTCCGTGACACATAATAGTGCTCTATAAATAGCATGTTTTCTCTTTTCCTGCCACGGAGTCACAAAAAAGCAGCTACAGGGAGAAAGTGTAAAAGAGAGAGAGGCAAAAGTGTATTACCGAAGTGAGGGTAAGGAATGTTTGTGCATGAGGCTGATTTGAGTGAAGATCTGAAAAAAAGATTATGAATTGTTCTGGATTAGTTCCACCATTTCACCATGATAGCATCTTCTATAATCTCTAGCAAAAATGACTGCTTTGCTTGAAAGCTTTTCCCCAGAAGGCACTGGTGGGTTATTTCTTCATCAGCTTAAAAAAATTAGGCCAGTGATGGTGGCCCATACCTGTAATTATTTTGGGAGGTGAAGGCAGGTAGATCGCTTGAGCTCAGGAATTCAAGATTAGCCTGGGCAAGACAGTGATACCCCATCTCTACAAAAAACAAAAACAAAAATTAGTCAGGTGTGGTGCCATGTCTCTGTAGTCCCAGCTACTTAGGAGGCTGAGGTGGGAAGATCGCTTGAGCCAGGGAGGTTGAGGCTGCAGTGAGCTGAGATCCGACCACTGCACTCCATCCTGGGTGACAGAGTCCTGTCTCAAAAACAAAACAAAAAAACATTTCTGGGGTTTTGTTTTGTCTCTTTTTTTTTTAAGCAACTGGTATTTTCAAGCTAAAAATTAAAAGTATTATGGAAAAACTAATGTATTAATAGGGAAAGAATAGGGCATATAATTTGTTATAAGATGTAAATCTTATGTTCTAGAAGCCTTTTCTCTGATTTATAAAATTTTCCATCTCAAGAAAGGTTTTCTTTATGTCTTATAATTTAAAGATCCCCTGGATTAAAGTGTGATAGTTCTGTTGGAGTGAGGATAATGTTGCATACAACCTGCCTTTTGTGGCATCATCTTACCCTACTTTGCAGAACAGAGATACCAAGAGTTGGCCTTATGAAACTGGGGCTGTTTTTGCATTGTGATTTCAGAGATGCTGAAAATACTGATTTTCTAATACCCCAAATTACACTAAAAATATAAAAGACTTGGGCTTTTAAGTCTTGAAAACTTTTCACCCTGAGTTTTAAAATCTAAGATGAAAAGCAGATGCCTTCCAGAATCCTACCAGGGGTTACTGCCAGCCAACTGAATGACTTGGAGGAACGACTTATACTGCTGGGCCTGAGGGACAGGCTGATAGGCTGACTGGCTTCAGCAAGGACCTTCCACAGGTGACCCTGGTACCTAATCTGAGGCTTTGTCTACACCGGTTTCATTAGTATGTAGTCTTGGAGTACTTAATGTTTAAAACTAAATGAAAAAAAATGAATCAAGAGAGTTATCACTGTTATCACTGTGTAACCATATATAATATTTTATAATAAGGTCCCCCAGCAAACTATTAAAGTGGTCCAAAGGGATATTTAAATAGAGATTATCAAAGTGTTTCCACTACAGCCCTATTCATGGCATAAATGCAAACACTGTCCATGACCTCACCACACAAACTTCCCTCATGTGTGGAGAGAGACAAAGGGGCCCTCTGGTCCTCCTGTTCTGCGTTAATTATGCTGAGTTCCACACTGGGACCCCAAGGCCTGGGAACCACCGGGTGGGTGTCAGAGAAATGGTGGACGTGGACCCCAAAGCCACTTAGGGCTGTTTGCTGATTGGATGCAGCAGGGGTCAGACCATTCGCCTGTGACGTTTTCTTCTCTTTATAACAGTGGCGGGAGTGTCCCTGTGAGAGGCCAGGTGTGGGCCACGCATCCAGCCCGGGGTCCAATGGGTGTTCCTGGGGTGCTGGGGGATTTGTGACACCCCAAAGAGATAGAGCTAAATTTAGGTGGCTTTGAAAAGGGAAGGCCAGGTTACCAGGGACTGGGTGTTTTCACTTCAGGCAGTGAACTGACGGTTTTAGATACCCAGAAGGGAGCTTCCCACGTGGGATCGAAAGACGCCAAGAGAACTGGCCCGCCTGCAGGTCTTAAGCCCCTCTTGCACTGCCTATGTTGGGAGGGGCATGGCAATGGGAAAGGTGAGGGAATGGGGGTCAGAGTGCAAGGGCGAGGTGAGCCCAGCGGATGACTAGCGTTACTATGGCAACCCTACTGACAATGCTATGAGAGGCTCCCCGCCTCACGCTGGTCTGCGGAAAATCAAGCTTTGGAAATGAGCCTTGAAGGAGGAATGCTGGGAAGATGAGATGTCACAGACAGTGGATCTGGTCAAGTTGTTTCCTCGCAGGCCGGCTTTGAAGACCCGGCAGACCACTGTTCTGGCCAGGGAGGAGAAAGGCAGTGAGCTCATGACACCACGCCTTAAGGCCCATGGGATCATTCTGTGCCCCAGGGAGGCTGTCCCAGCCTCACTAGATTGTAACCCCATCCCTGCTCGCTCTGCGGGACCCAAAATCCCATGGGAAGAGGAGTCTGGAATGCCCTGAAGCTCCACCTCCACCGGGCACCGAAGAAGGTTCAAGGAGGTCCAGAGTACAGGACTCCCAGGGGACTGGCACTGGGTAGTAAGGCAGCCCACTCTTTCATGCATCCCCCTATATGCCCCCCACCCAGCTTCGGATGCTGCAGTCCCCGCAGCCCCCGCCACCGCAGCAGGCGCTGCCATTTTTGAGGAAGCCACAAACTGACTTCCAGGAGCCCAACTAGATTCGGTTTAGAAAATGCGCATGTGCGAGGCACGAGGCGATTCTCGCGTCACAGTGACCCCCATCATCGCCCAGGGGATGGATGGGTCCCTGATGCTTGGAGAAGCAGGAGCCCTCCGTGGCAGTGCCTAGGCGTTAAGGCTCCAGCCTAACCTCTCCCGGGGGTCGACAGGATGGTTTTTGGACGCCGGGAGTCGCGGAGGGCCGACCGGGATGAAGAAACCTCAGGTAGAGGGGTCCCGGGGAAGCAGCGCGCCATCCAAGCCTCAGGCCTGCCCCAGATGGTGTGTGGGAGAGTCTCACCACAAGTCGTGCCGCCTGTGATCTCGAGGACAGGCCTGACTGTGGGCCTGTGGGCTGCTCTCTTACCCGAGGGTCATTCTTGCCGAGAGCAGAACCCGGCAGCCTCTGGGGCTGCCTGGAGGTGGGTGTTTCTGTGCCACTGCTGTATGTCTCTGTGTGTGTATGTCTCTCTTTCTCTCCTGTTTCTCTGTCTCTTTCTTTGTGTGTGTTCGTGTGCGTGTTTGGGACTAATGTGCCCTGTGCGCTGGAGGGTGGTTTCTTGTATGTCAGCCTGTCTTTGGTGAGCCTCTTTCTGGGTCTCTGCCTGGGTCGTGTGACCGGTTGTCAGTCGTTTTCCTAGCGATGCCACTTTGGGTTTCTGAAGGCCTCAGCGACGTTGGGAGCTGCGTCGGACACGCAGGGGTTGAAATCTTCTTCCCATCCTGAGCGGCCTCTTTTCTAGGATCAGACAACCACATCACACCCAACGACCAAAGCCTCCCAGGAGCTCATTGTCCTTCTGAAGGAGGGGTGCAGACCGACATCAAAGAAGTTGGTTCTAAGTCCTCATGCTTTCTCCTGTCATTAAGAAATGTAGCCCTGGCAGGGCGCGGTGGCTCACGCCTGTAATCCGAGCTACTCAGGAGGCTGAGGCAGGAGAATCGCTTGAACCCCGGAAGATGAAGTTGCAGTGAGCTGAGATCGCGCCATTACACTCCAGCCTGGGGGACAAGAGCGAGACTTATTTTCAAAGAAAAAAAAAGAAGAAGAAGAAAAATGAAATGTGGCCCCACCACGACACAGGCTTGGAGAAGCCAGGAACAGGATGTGGCAAGGGCCTCTTTCACTCAAACACTGGCCTTTCTGGCAAGTCTCCCAGTTGACATTCCTTCCTGGATGCCCATGGCTGTAGCATTGTGCTGTATCCCATCTGGGCTCTGGCATCTGCTCTCTCCTCCCTCTTGCTCTATCTGCCATGTTTCTGAGGGACCTAGAGTCTTCTTGGTCTGGCATAATGTCTTCAACAAAGAACACTTTGGAGTCCATCAGAAGAAACTTCGTGGAGATCTGTTTCATGGTTGTTTCCCTCTCCAAACCTATTTCTGGTTGATTGGGCAGGTGTGACGATCCTGGAGCTCTGGGCTTCCATACCTGTCTTGGATAGGGAAGCTCCCTTGGTCTCCATGTCCCACCTGATGGCTGCGTGGTTTGTCTAGATCTAGGATGAGCAGTAGGCAACTGTGGCTGGCCTTTGTCTTCTAGGAAAGGCTGTGTTGCATTTCATCTGCACTTACTGTCTCATTCTTGAGGGACATCCAGTTCCTCTGCTCCTGGGTGGGACTGGGAGGCAAAGGGACCCGGCTTGGGCTGGGTGCAGGGGAGGTTGCCTTGTGTTGGGGAGTCAAACGGACTGGGCTTGGGCTGGGTGCAGGGGAGGTTGCATCAGGGATACCTAGCTGGTAGAGGAGTGGGGGTGGGGTGTACTTTCCATTAACCTCTTATCTCCTCAGGCAGGCATCCCCAAATGTGGCTTGGACTGCAGCACAGGCCCTTTCCTAGTTCCCAGGTGTGCTTTGCTTTTCTTTGGCTTTCTTGGGCAGGTCACCTGTGCCCCCGGGGCACATGCCTGGACATAATTGTTGGTCTCTTCATTGCCCCATATGGCTTCGGAGACACTCACTCCATCTGCTCTTAGGGGATGCCAGTGCCACATGTGGTCAGATTTGCTCCATGTCAGGCTCGCCCTTGTCCCTGTTTGCATGTGTCCCAGAAAGCAGTGTCAGGATGCAGGAGCCCCTGAGCTTTGGAGACCTTGGCAGGCCACTGCTCCACCCAAGGAGGAGGGAGGCAGTGGGCTCATGGGTCAGTGAATTTTCAGCTGACACCACACCTTGAGGCCCATGATATCTTTCTGTGCCTCAGCCATGCCCTCCCTGCCTCACCAGATTGTGAGCCCATCCCTGTTCACCTGGTGGGATCCAAAATAGGATCCGAAGAGGAGTCTCTGCTAATGTCCTGAAGCTCCTCCTCCACCGGGCACCGAAGCGGAAGATGGCTCATGGAGGCCTTGGGGACAGGAATCCTGGGGCCTGGTCCTGGCTCGTGTGCAGCCCCCCCACTCATGCTTCCCCCTACCCGTCCCCAGCTTCTGTCACCACCACCGCAGCTGAAGCCGCTGCCATGCCGCGCCATCGCCATTTTTTTTTTTTTTTTTTTTTTTTTTTTTTTGCGACAGAGTCTCCCTCTGTCGCCCAGGCTGGACTCGAGTGGCATGATCTCCACTCACTGCCACCTCCACCTCCCGGGTCCCAGCGATTCTTTTGCCTCAGCCTCCTGAGTAGCTGGGATTACAGGCGTGTGTTACCACGCCTGGCTAATTTTTGTATTTTTAGTAGAGATGGGGTTTCACCATGTTGGTCAGGCAGGTCTCGAACTCCTGACCTCAGGTGATCCGCCTGCCTCGGCCCCCCAGAGTGCTGGGATTACAGGCGTGAGCCACCGCCCCCGGATCGTCGCCATCTTTTTTTTTTTTTTTTTTTTTTTTTGATATGGAGTCTCGCTCTGTCGCCCAGCCTGGAGTGCAGTGGCGCGATCTCGGCTCACTGCAACCTCCACCTCTCTGGTGCAAGCGATTCTCTTGCCCCAGTCTCCAGAGTAGCTGGGATTACAGGCGCGTGCCACTACGCCCGGCAAATTTTTTGTAGTTTTAGTAGAATCGGGGTTTCACCTTGTTAGCCAGGGTGGTGGAGCCCGGCCCCGTCGCCATTCCTTAAAGGGGCTGCAACCTGACTTAACAGGAGCGGAGCGCAAGTCGGCCTAGCCAATGCGCATGCGCGGTGCACGAGCTGATTTCTCAAGGCACAGTGACTCCCACCGTCGCTCGAGTGATGGGTCCATGAGGCTGGGCGAAGCAGGAGCCCACTGTGGCAGTGCGTCGGTATCGAGGCTCCAGCCTGACCTCTCCCAGGGGTCAACAGGATGGTCTCCGGACGCCAGGAGTCGCGGAGGGCCGACCAGGTGAGGAAACCTCAGGCAGAGGAGTCATGGGGAAGCAGCGCACCATCCCAGCTTCAGGCCTTCCCGGACGGTGTCCAGTGAGTCTCCTCACAAGTCGTGCCCCCTGTGATCTCAAGGACAGGCCCGACTGTGGACCCGTGGGCTACTCTCTTACCTGAGAGACGTCCTCACGGAGAGCAGAACCTAGCAGCCTCAGGGGCTGCCTGGGGGTGACTGTTTCCGTGCCACTGCTTTATGTCTGTGTGTGTTTGTGTGTCTCCCTTTCTCTCCTTGTCTCTCTGTCTCGGTCTCTCTTTCTCTGTGTGTGCCCGTGTGCATGTGTGTTTGGGACGAATGTGCCCTGTGTGCTGGAGGGTGGTTTCTTGCATGTCGGCCTGTGTTTGGTGAGCCTCTTTCTGGTTCTCTGCCTGGGTGGTGTGGCCGGTTGTCAGTAGTTTTCCTGGCGGTTCCACTTTAGGTTTGTGAAGGCCGGTTCGACCTGGGGAGCTGCGTTGGTCCCACAGGGATTGAAACCTCCCCATCCTGAGCGTCCTACTTTCGAGGATCAAGACAACCACACCACACCCAAGGACCAAAGCCTCCCAGGAGCTTATTGTCCTGCAGGAGTGCGTGCAGACCAACATCAAAGAAGATGGTTCTAACTCCTCCCACCTCCCACCTTCTCCTCTCATTAAGAAATGTAGCCCCACCGCGACAGTCTTGGAGAAGAAGCCGGGAACGGGACGCGGCAAGGATCTCTGTGACTTAAATCTGGCCTTTCTGGCCCAGTCTCCCATTTGGCACTTCTTCCTGGATGCGCATGGTAGTGGCATTGTGCTGTATCCTGCCTGGGCTGTGGCCTCTGCTCTGTACTCCCTCTTGCTCTATCTGCCATAGGAGCCTAGAGGCTTGGTCTGGCTTAAAGTCTTCAACAAAGAACACTTTGGAGTCCGTGAGGGAGAAATTTCGTGGAGATCCGTTTCACAGTTGTTTCCCTCTCCAAACCTATTTCTGGTCGATTAGGCAGGTGCCATGATCCTCTGGGCTTCCATACCTGTCTTGGACAGGGAAGCTCCCTTGGTCTCCATGTCCCACCTGATGGCTGCGTGGTTTGTTTCAGTCTAGGATGAGCGGTGGGTGACTGTGGCTGGCCTTTGCCTTCTAGGAAAGGCGATGTTGCATTTTATCTGCACTTCCTATCTCATTCTTGAGGGACATCCGATTCCTTTGCTTCTGGGTGGGCCTGCTTTCCAGGCTGTTCTCCTGCTGTTCCTCCCAGCTTAGCTTGGTTTGGAAGCTAAGCTCCCCTCTGTACTGTGAAACTGCACTGGATGCATGGAGGGAAGCAGCGGAAGAGGACTGGGAATGCTGGGAGCATAGGCGCCTGGCCTGTTGGTCACAGAGTTGGGAGAGTACCTTCTCAGCATGAACCAGGACTGGGGACCATAAGGATCCCTGGAGGGAGGGGCATCGCTGTGTGCTTCTTACTGTATGCAGAGTAGTAGTCTCTCAACACCTTTTGGCAAGCAGCCAGACTACAATCCCCAACGGGGATTGGAAGTTGTGCTGTGAGGGTGGGGCAGCGCTGTGCGCTCTTCACCTGGCATGCTGGGAGAAGTAGTCTCTACAATCCCACCGGTCCCAGCATGCACCGGGGTTGGCATGCACCGGGGTTGGGGTGTCGTTGGGCGTCTTGTGGGTAGCAACGGTCCCAGAATGCACGTGAGTTGGCATGCACCGGGGTTGGGGGGGTCGTTGGGGTCGTGCGGGTACCTTGAGGGAGGGGCAGCGCTTTGCTCCTCTTGCCAGGCATGCTAAAAGTAGTAATCTTTTTTTTTTTTTTTTTTTTTTTTTTTTGAGACAGAGTCTCGCTGTGTCACCCAGGCCGGAGTGCAGTGGTGCGATGCACCATCTCGGCTCTCGGCACGCTGCAACCTTCGCAACCTCTGCCTCCCGGGTTCAGTCGATTCTCTTGACTCAGCCTCCTGCGATTGGACTACAGGCATGCACCACCATACCCGGCTAATTTTAGTAGAGACGGGGGTTTCACCATGTTGGGCAGGCTTGTCTCGAACGCCTGACCTCGTGACTCCTGACCTGGTGATCCGCCTGCCTCGGCCTCACGAAGTGTTGGGATTACAGGCGTGAGCCACTGTGCCAGGCCAAGAGTAGTAATCTTTTAACCGCTATTGGCTTTTGGTAGCCTGCTTTCCAGACTACAATCCCAGCATGCCCTGGGATTTGGGGAGGTGCCGTTACCTTGCGGGTGGGACAGCAGTGGTGCGCCCCTCCCCAGGCATGCAGGTAGGTAGTAGTAGTCTCTTACCGCTTTCAGCCTTTGGTCGCAGGGATGCCAGACTGAAATCCCAGCATGCACCGGGATTGGGGGTGGTGCGGGTATTTTGAGGGAAGCACAGAGCTTTGTCCTCCTTGCGAGGCATGCAGGGAATAGTAGTCTCTTAACCGCTTTTGCCCGTTGGTCTGAGGGAAGCTGGACCACATTCCCAGCATGCCTGGACAGTGAGCATTTCTGGAGGGAGGGTCAGTGCAGTGTGCTCCTCGCAGGGCGTGCAGGGAGTAGTAGTTTCTTAACCGCTTCTGGCCGTGGGTCTCAGGGCCGCTGACTGTAGTCCCAGCATAAGCCAGGGTGGTGTGCTGCCTGGGAGGGATGGGTAAGAAGGCAGCGTGTACCTTTCTGCTTCCAAAGCAATGCCGGTCACTGATTCTGTGCCACCCCTGGCTAAGGGGAGTAAGTCCGGAGAGGGACTTGAGGTACAATTAGCAAGATTTGATGCTACGAAGTGCACTTCACCTCTGCCCAATCATCCTCACCTCTCCTTTCACTGCTCAGCTCAGTTTCCTCTCCCACCCGCACTCCCGGGGTCTTTCCTGGTCATCGCGCCTCACCAAGCCCAGGGAGCTGCCTGCTTTCCGAAGCTGATGTGGAACTGAGACACTGTCCATTGTGCTGCCGCCCAGCCAGAGCCTCAGTTCAGCTGCTTTTGGGAGAATTCGCAGTTTGGCCCTCCCACAGACAAGTTTAGAGCTTGGCAGGAATAACATGGGCTGTGGCTTCCTGGAAAGGTCACCCTCACCGGGTGCCTTTTTCATGGATGTGAATGTTGAGTCATGAGGGAGGGTAACTGTTGGTTTACCCAGGCGATGCTAAGAGCAGAGGAGAAAACCCCAATTCCCAGGCATGTGTCTTGAGCCAGGGACAGGCTGGCCAGACCCTGATCCCCTGGGGCCCCAGAGAGCAGCCTACGGCCCTGGGTTCTGTGGAACTCCCTGCATGCTGATTGCCGTAGCCTCAGGGACACGCTAGCCAGATGAGGTTGGTGATGACCCATGGGCTTCTGGAACTGGGCTGCTGGTCCTGGGAGGGCCAGCCCATCTCCCTTGGAGAGGGCCTTTGTGTTGAGAGATGCTCACAGAGGCCTGGGTGTCAGGGACACTCACTCCAGGCAAAGGGCCCTCTTGGGGAACCCCACGTATTTGGCTGAAAGGAAGCAGACTTGGTCAGCGTTTCCACCTAGCCCATCTGGCCCTTACAAGGCTGGGCCTCATGAACCTAGGTCCCTGGAGTCCTTGAGGACCTTGTGTGGCCCACTTGTTCTGACACTGAGGATACCCCTGCAGGCTGCTAATTTTAGAGCAAGGGATGTGTGCAATCTGGGCATGGGTGCTGTCAAAGCACATCAGGGTGCTCCTGGGATGGCTCCTCAGGGTTCAGGCTGGCTCAGGGCTCCCTGCCTCACACCCTCACCCCAGGGCCTGCTTGGTCTGGGCTTGGACCCTAGTCCAGAACTCAGCTGGGAGAAACTGCAACTGTCACCTGGCCTCCTTGCCACCTAATATAATGGCCTGTCTCCATAGTGGGTAAGACGCCCCTGGGCACTGGGTCCCTCAGCAATCCAGCACCATCCACTCAATGCCATGAGTTCCCATGCTCAGCTGAACTCCGTCTGGCTCCAGGCCACGGGCCCACTTGTGCCCTTTCCCTGAATCCTCTCTGGGATGCCTGGATCCCTCTCCAAGGCACCATGGAGGCCTTGAAGGTGCCTCAGCACCACGTCATCCTCCCGACCCCAGGCCCAGGACAGCATGTCCTGAAGGAGCTCCACCAAGCTGAACTAGGACAGCTTTAGGAGGCGTTCTGGGGATGGAGGTGGGCGTCATGCTGGGAGAGGGGTCCTCTGGGAGGGATCAGTGCCTGCACTCTATTTCCTTCCTAGGCACCTCCCTTTGGGCAGTGCTGGTCGTGTTTGGTCACCCATGAGATCCAGGTGTGCACAGGAGGCCATGGTGGGTGGGAGATCTCTGTAGGGAAGTACTCGCCACACTCCTGCCCTTCATCTGTGCCATGTCAGGGATGGGTTTGGTGTCTGGGAGGAATCACGGTGCCCTGCCAAGCCCACCAGGCCTGACCCTCCATCCAGGCCAGAGCAGAGGGTCATATGGACAGTGTGAATGTGTCCCTTAGGACAGTTGGGGTCTTCCTATGTGTTCCCCTGGAGCTCCCTCAGGCACATAGGTTGTGTGCACCTTTACTGGCTGTGTATGCCCTGGCTGTGAGCATGCACTTGTTCTTTAGAAGGCAGACATCCCAGAGCCTCAGAATGAGCCCAAAGTGGATATGTGCGGACAGCAGGCATGGGAGGACCTGGCCCTTCAAGATTAGAGGCCAGTGGTCTACTAGGAGCTCCGTCTGTAGTGCCAGGGGCTCCCTCTGCATGGGATGTGACCCCCTCCTCTATGAGGCTGGGTTAGACAAGGTCCTGTAGTTCCTCATGGGGCTGGACTCATCTCAGTGGCATGTGGCTCCTGGAAGAAGGGGCTTCCCAAGGGCTTTGGGCTTTCCTGGGCTCTCCCAAAAGGAGTCCTGGCCCAATCTGCCCATGATGATGGCCCTGAGCACTGGCCTCTTCCATGGGACACCCCCTCTCAGGGGCACTGTTGGTTTGTGTGCCCTGCAGGGACCTGCCTTTGCCTCCTGCTCGAAGGAAGGGACCTGGGTCCTTCTGAGGGAGCCAGACCTCTGGCCCAGAAAGCCAGACATTGTGTGGAAGGAGCGTTCCTGGCCCAGGGTCTTCCTGTGTATCCTTGCCCCATCGATCAAGTGCTGTGGGAGCTGTTTTAAGGTGAAAACCTAGATGCACAGCACTTCCTTGTCCTCATGAAAGGAGCAGAGGTCTTCACAGGCCTCTGGGCTGCCCCGAGAACCTCTCTATTCCAGGCCCCTCTGCAGACCCCTCCAGACGCCAGAACTCCAGGCAGTGGCCTGAGCTGTCACTCCTTGCTCTGAGACCCCTACCTCTGCCATGAGACCTCTTCATATTCCCCCAGATGCCCCGATCCCTCTGGATTCCCCACCTCCCCTGGAACCTCCCAGAACATGAAATGTTTCTCAAAATGTGGCTCATATCCAGGTTCATTTTCACTGAGGACATCTTGCCCTGCTCCTTCATTGTCTATAGGGCAGGGCCAAGAGCAGGAACCAGCCTCAGAACAGACAGGAGACTCACTGCTGCACACAGCACCATGACAAAGTCAGTGCCTTTGTAGGAAAGGAGGGTTTTTCTCTGCAGATAGTTGCTTCTCTTGCTTGTTTCTTAAGTCACAGAATGTCACCAGAGCCCAGCTCACTTGTGGTGTCCATGTCACTGTCTGTGCCCAGGATGTGCTACTGACCCCCTAACTGCCAGGCTCGATGTTCCCTCCAGCTGGTTAACTGGGCTCCTGACATGGTGTGACATGTCTGTGCGCTGGCTGGGTGTGGAAGGGCCTGACCTGGTGTATTGCTGGATTCTTGGCCTTCACCTTCTTGGCATCCAGCAGGAGTGACCACGCTGGACCCCATACCTGTGGGGGGATTCCCTTGTATACCTGCTGAGACATCTGTGGACAGAAGAATGCTCTGGTGAGGCAGGTGTCAGGATGACCCCAAGGATGATAAGAATCTAAGGATTCTGGAACCTTCCAGCCTTTGGCCTTGTGGTTCCTCAGGAGAGGTTGAGTCTACCTAGGACCAGGCCTCCCTTCCCATGAATCAAGAGTGAACAAGAGCTCTCACATCAGATTGTCTCCCAGCAAGGTAACCCTTGCAGGGATAGGCAGGAAAGTTGGGGACCAGGCCTGTTGTCTTTTGGGTGAGGACAGTGTGCCACCTGCTGTCTGAGAGGCAGGCAGTACCAAGAAACAGCAAGGGGTGCCTGTCCCCCAACTCTGGAGAGTGGTCACAGGGGACCCTCACTCTCCATTGTGCCTTCTTGCTGCTCTTAGATTTATTTCAGTGGTTAAGCCTTTGTAGCCATTTATCTTTGCATCCAATAGCCTGATGTTTTTGCCATAAATGAGAAATGATGGAGTTAGCTGAGCTGCCAGGCTTCCGGGAGTGGTTCTTGGATGCTGGATCACGTCATCACTGAGGACTTCTTGCCCTGCTCCTTCATTTCCAATATGGCAGGGCCATGAGGAGGAACCAGCCTCATCACAGACATGAAACTCACTGCCGCACACAGCAACATAACACAGTCAGTGCTTCTGAAGGAGGCTTTTTCTCTGGAGAAGTTTGCTTCTCTTGTTTGCCTGGTCAGTCATTAGGGGCCTTGATGGGGCTGAACTGGAAGGAGCCAGAAAAGGGCAGATCTTGTGACTGAGACCCTCTGACTGAGTAGGTACCGGTGACCCAACCTCTGGAACACAGGACACACTATTCTCAGGCCACAGATGCCCTAATCAGATCTCAGCCTCCAGGTGGGGTCCTGGTGCCCAGTGGGCAGTGACCCCCAAGCCGCTACCCTGAATCTTTGTGGCGGGTTTGGTAAAACAACTGCAGGGACAAGGCTTGGGTTGAGATTCAGCAGGAATTATGGCCTCTCCCATTGAGGGCATGTGGCTCCCTCTCACCACCACCCAGGCCCACAGGCCACACCATCTGTTTCACTGACCAGCCACCAAGTTGCCCATTGATGGGTGAGCCTCCCATGTAGCAGGTACAGGCTGTTACCTTTGTCTTCAGGGCACTGACAGGGGCAGCTCTGTCACTGTAAGGCAGTGAAGAGAGCTGAAGATCTGCACCAGGCCAGGGGCCATCCCCCTCCCTGAGCAGGCCCCAGGAAAGGACTAGCCCCATCCACATCCACCCCAGGTCTCAGCCTCCCTGCTGGCTGATACCCAGGAGAGGCTGGGAAATGGGAACAGAGGAAGCACAGGGCTGGGCAGGTGCTGCTTGGGATTCATGGGGGTTTGGGTTACCCAATGGGGTTGCCCCTCCTGAATTGGAGTTAGCGTCCTCTTTGGGAACAAAGAAACTCTAGTCTTGAGGTGGGCCAGTGCTGCCCAGGTTTGTGTGTCTGGACCTTGAGAGAAGACCCCAGGAAGTGACCACATCCTCAGGTTGTGGTGCAGGGAACCTGGCCTGAGAACTGCCCAGTGTGTTAAGGCCCCTGGAGCCTGTCTGCCCGATGGCCCCACAGCCATCGCAGGGTCTGACTATCTAACCTGCCTCTCCCTGTACACTGGCTACCCACCCTTCCTGTTACTTTACTTCTCTAGCCTGTCTGCCTGGAAACCATGCCATGTCTTGGTTCCTGTCTCTTTAGGCACCCCTGTTCTTCCTTTATCCTTGTTTTGTCAGAACGTCTGAGCAAGAACCCCCGAGATCCATCCACACACCTTCCTTGTCCACTTTTTAACTGGGCTGCTCAGCACTGCTGGTGGACACCAGGGGCAATGAGGGTGACTGAGGGTTTCACAGGCAACCGGAATGGCCCTGAACCCAGTCCCCAGCCTCAGATGGTATTTAGGGTCTTCAGCCAACAGCTTCCTCCCTCCTGTTGCAGCAGCCCTGACACGGGGCACCTGGCTGTCCTCCTCCCACTGTTCTTTTCTGACTCAGTCTCCCCAGTCTTCCCTCTGGCCATGGTGCTGACCAAGCCAGCAGGGAGCTGGGTCTCTAGAGGGTGTTCCAGAGCTTTGGGACTGACTAAAGCTTCTCTGCTGAGGGGTCCCAGGTAAGTCCCTGCTCTTGGCTTCACCAAATCTCCTGCCCTTCCCAGCTCCATCCACTCTCCACAGGCTGGCTCCATCCAGATGCATCCCAAAGTCATCAGTTCCATTGTGTCACCACTACCTCAGCTCCTCCAATGACCCCTACAGGGACAGACTTTATACTGGGCCCCTCCCACCAGACCTCAGATCCCCTCTTACCATGAAACCCTTGGTTAGATCACCTTGGCTGCAAGCTCTGCTGCCTCCTTGCCTTTCCCATGAGATGCCCAAGCCAGGGCCCTGACCATCTTCTCCTCCCAGGGCCACAGCTTTGGCTGCCCCTGTACCCCTCCCTGTGGGATGGCAGGGCTGGGCTCCTTTAGCTCTCAGAGACCTGCTGGACAACTACCCACAGACCATTCCAAGCACCCCTTTGTCCCATGGCTAGACCCTGCAGATCTCCAGGGCAGGCTCCAAGGGAGCAGGCTGGCCCCTCAGGCTGGCCCCCTCCTCTCTTGTTGACTTGGAGACTGGACTGCGCTGCTGTCCCCCTTGGAGAGCCTAGGGGCTTAGACCAGCCATATTTCTGTCTCCACTTGCTCTCTGGGTTCCCACATTGGGATACTCAGCTCTGGCCTAACACTGACCTTGGACTGGATTTGCAGGGCACCTGGGGAGGAGTTCCAATCCTGGGAAGGAGGTGGACTTGAGACATGTCCTTCCTCAGAGAGGCCTTTTTCAAAATAAAACCTATTGCTGAGACGAGATTGCTGGGGGTGGGGGCTCAGGAGACAGAAGACACACTACAGAATCTGGAGATAATTGGTGATTTTCTAGATTAAAAAATCTTCCTGCCTTATGTCCACTGGCACCCTGGCCTGGCATCCCTGCAATGCAGAGGGGTCAATGTGAGGGGGGCCAAGCTGTGGAATGCAGAGGCATGGGGTTGTGTGCAGCCACTCCCTGCCCTGTGTCCCAAGTGGGCCTAGGACCCTCTGACTACAGCACAGAAGGAGTGGTGATCCCCCTGCCCCTTCGAACGAGCAGCCTGCCCTGTGTCCCCTCATACTTGGCAATAATGTCCCCTTGATTCTGGGTAAGAGGGTGTCCACATCCTGCTCCATGTCCATCCTGCAAGAAAAAGATATTACACTGCATTTGAAAACTTCAGAGAACACCCTAAACCAGGGTCCTGCCTGGGTCTCAAAAGCCAGCAAGGTGACCACATTCTGTCACCAGGAACAAAAGCCCAGACCCAGTCCTCACCCCCGACCAGGGTCTCTGGAGTCTCTGCCCCTGTCCAAGGGTGAGTTCCTGCCTGAGGATATGAGAACAGGGGGGCTTGGACAGCAAGGTCTGTCTTCAAATGCGCCAAGATGGGCACATGCTTGCTTCAGGAGGATGAACAATGTCCACCTGCCAAGGGGAAAGGGCCTATGATGGGCTGTTCTGGGCACCTGGAAGCACAGTGGGGTCAAGGGCCAGAGACCTCTATATGATCATGTAGGGAAAAGAAAGAGAGATCAGACTGTTACTGTGTCTATGTAGAAAGGAAAGACATAAGAGACTCCATTTTGAAAAAGACCTGTACTTTAAATAATTGCTTTGCTGAGATGTTAATTTGTAGCTTTGCCCCAGCCACTTTGCCCCAGCCACTTTGACCCAAACTGGAGCTCACAAAAACATGTGTTGTATGAAATCAAGGTTTAAGGGATCTAGGGCTGTGCAGGACTTGCCTTGTTAACAAAATGCTTACAAGCAGTATACTTGGTAAAAGTCATCACCATTCTCTAGTCTCAATAAACCAGGGGCACTGTGGAAAGCCACAGGGACCTCTGCCCTTGAAAGTGGGGTATTGTCCAAGGTTTCTCCCCATGTGATAGTCTGAAATATGGCCTCGTGGGATGAGAAAGACCTGACCGTCCCCCAGCCCGACACCTGTAAAGGGTCTGTGCTAAGGTGGATTAGTAAAAGAGGAAAGCCTCTTGCAGTTGAGATAGAGGAAGGCCACTGTCTCCTGCCTGCCCCTGGGAACTGAATGTCTCAGTATAAAACCCGACTGTACATTTGTTCACTTCTGAGATAGGAGAAAAACCGCCCTATGGTGGGAGGCGAGACATGTTTGCAGCAATGCTGCCTTGTTATTCTTTACTCCACTGAGATATTTGGGTGGAGAGAAACATAAATCTGGCCTACGTGCACATCCAGGCATAGTACCTTCCCTTGAACTTAATTATGACATAGATTCTTTTGCTCACATGTTTTTTGCTGACTTTCTCCTTATTATTACCCTGCTCTCCTACTACATTACTTTTTGCTGAAATAATGAAAATAATAATCAATAAAAACTGAGGGAACTCAGAGACCGGTGCTGGTGCAGGTCCTTGGTATGCTGATCGCCGGTCCCCTGGGCCCACTATTGTTTCTCTATACTTTGTCTCTGTGTCTTATTTTTTTTCTCAGTCTCTTGTCCCACCCAACTAGAAATACCCACAGGTGTGGAGGGGCAGGCCACCCCTTCAGATCAGCCTCCTGGGATAATTCAGGGACACAAAATGCCCAGTTTTCTTAAAAAAAAAAAACAAATCTCATGACAGCTTTGGTCTACTCAAAGCTCACTGTGGCTGGTGAATCAGCTTAAGAAATAAAACCAGTTGAGTGAGAAAATGGTTCAGGGGAAATGATCTGTTGATTCCAAAGCAGCTTCTGTGCTCATGGAGATCATGTCTTAGTTAAAGGGACAACAGATTCCCCAATTTTGGGCTGTCAGTACAGGAAGGGGCTTCATTTGCTCAGGTTACCAGAAAGGAGCAAATGAGCTCTAGTATGTGGTCCTTGAGAACACCCAGAGAGACTGTTCCTTCAGGGACTACTCAGACTGGTCCCCACTCCCAGACTGGGGACCTCACATGTCTGGTGGGTCCCACAGTGACCACAGCTGAAGACTGAGTTGATGAGACCCCTTCTTGCCCAGACCCATGTTAGGGGACAGATTTTTACTGAGGCCAGTGTTCCACCACTACCCATAAAGGCTCCATCCCATGGCTCTTCCAGTGACAGGCTCTGCCCCATTGGGGTCCAAAATCCTGGGCAGATTTTGTACCTAGGGCAGGGAGGCTGCAGATAAAACCATACCCCAAAGAGTTAAATATAAAACTAAATTCTTGGGCTTACAGGATAGCGGATAGCAGAGAAAATGGGCTGAAACTGAAATTGTGCCCCTAAGAGTAAGAAACCAAATGACTAACAGGTATTCTTGAGTTTGCAGCATAGCAGATAAGAAAGGGAACAACTTTCTGAAATGCTGAACTCCCTCCATTTGTGATATCAAGAAAAAACTAACTGAAAACGGTTGGGACCAAGGTGGCTGGAGTCTGCACAGAACAAGCTTGCTAAGATTGTAGCCCAAATTTCAATCAAATGTTTTGTACTAACTTCCCCTGAATTTGACATACAACCCATGATGTAGAATGAAGAGATAACTGCATGCTCAAGGACTTTCCAGACCTCCCTTCCTTCCACCAATCACCAAATCCACTTCCTGAACATTTTCTAGTAAAAAAAAAGGCTTGAGGCCTACACAGAGAGAAAGATACAGACTCCTGTCTACTTGTGAGTTAAATAACAACAGAAATATGTATTTCTGTCATTTGCCCACTTTTTGATGGAGTTATTTTTTTCTGCTAATTTGCTTTACTTCCTCATAGATTCTGGGTACTAGTGCTTTGTCGGATGCATAGTTTGCAAATATTTTCTTCCATTCTATGGGTTTTCTGTTTACTCTGATTTTTTTTTTGCTATGCAGAAGCTTTTAAATAAGGTTTTATTTATTTATCTGCATTTGCTTTCAGGCTCTTAGTCAAGAATTCTTTGTCTAGTCTAATGTTCAGAAGAGCCCCCCACCCCCCACCTCAGTCATCTTCTAGAATGTTTATGATTTCAGGTCTTAGATTTCAGTCCTTGATCTATCTTGAGTTGATTTGAGTATAAGGTGAGAGATAATAATCCAGCTTCATTCTTCTACATGTGGCTAGCTAGTTTCCTGGCACCATTTATTAAAAAGAGTCTTCTTTCTCCAATTCATATTCATGTATGCTTCATCAAATATTAGTTAATTGTAAGTATTTGGCTTATTTCTGGTTTCTTGATTCTGTTTCATTGGCCTTTGTGCCTAGTTTTATACTAGTGCCATGCTGTTTTGGTAACTACAGACTTGTAGTATAATTTGAATTGCAGTGATGTGATGCCTCCAGATTTGTTCTTTTTGCTTAGAATTACTTTGGCTATTCAGGCTCTTTTCTGGCTCGATATGAATTTTAAAATTTTGGTTTCTAATTCTGCGAAAAGTGATATTGGTATTTTTATGGGAATTGCACTGAATCCACAGATTGCTTTGGGCAGAATAGTCACTTTCACAATATTGATTCTTCCAATCCATGAGCATGAGATGTATTTCCATTTGTCTGTCCCACATATGGTTTCTTTCAGCAGTGTTTTGTAGTTCTCCTTGTAGAGATATTTTGCCTCCTTGGTTAAGTATAATCCTAGTTATTTTATGTTACTGCAGCTATTGTAAAAGGGATTGAGTTCTTGATTTGATTCTCAGCTTGGTGTTGGTACAATGTACCAGCAGGGTACATTGATTTTGTAACCCGAGACTTTACCAAAGATATACAAATGACCAATATACATATGAAAAAATGCTCAACACCACTAATCATCAGGGAAATGCAAATTAAAATCACAATGAGATGCCACCTTGCACCTCCTGTAAGAATGGCAATTATCAGAAGTCAAAAAACAACACATGGTGTGGATGTGGTGAAATAGGAACACTTATACACTGCTGGTAGGAATGTAAATTAGTGCAACCTCTATGAAAAACAGTATGAAGAACTAAAAGTAGATTTACCAGCAATCCTTCTACTGGGTATCTACTCAAAGGAGAAGTCATTATATGAAAAGGACACATGCACACATATGTTTATTGCAGCACAATTTACAATTGCAAAGATACAGAACCAACCTAAATGTCCATCAACCAATGAGTGGACAAAGAAAATGTGATATACATACACATGGAATACTACTCAGCCATAGAAAGAAATAAAATGTTTTTGCAGCAACTTGAATGGAGCTGGAGGACATTATTCTAAGTAAAATAACTCAGGAATGGAAAATCAAATACTATATGTTCTCACTTATAATGGGAGCTAAGCTATGAGTATACAAAGGCATATGGTATGATATAATGGGCTTTGGAGACTCAGAAGGGGAGGGTGGGAGGTGGATGAGAAATAAAAAACTACCTATTGGGTACGATGTATACTACTCAGGTGATGGGTGCACTAAAATCTCAGAATTCACCACTATACAATTCATCCATTTAAACAAAAATCACTTGTACCCTAAAGGATATTGAAATAAAAACATTTTAAAACAAAACAAAAATTACAACAAAAAGCCTTTTTTTTCTAAAAAGAAAAACTCAGAGTCTACAGCTCCCAGTGGGAGCGACGCAGAAGACGGGTGATTTCTGCATTTCCAACTGAGGTACTGGGTTCATCTCACTGGGGAGTGCTGGAGAGTGGGTTCAGGACAGTGGGTGCAGCGCACCGTGCGTGAGCCGAAGCAGGGCGGGGCATCGCCTCACCTGGGAAGCATAAGGGGTCAGGGAATTCCGTTTCCTAGTCAAAGAAAGCATTGACAGATGGCACCTGGAAAATCGGGTCACTCCCACACTAATACTGCACTTTTCCAAAGGGGTTAACAAATGGCACACCAGGAGATTATATCCCGCACCTGGCTCGGAGGGCCTTATGCCCACGGAGCCTCACTCATTGCTAGCACAGCAGTCTGAGATCAAACCGCAAGGCGGCACCGAGGCTGGGGGAAGGTCGCCTGCCATTGCCCAGGCTTGCTTAGGTAAACAAAGCAGCCAGGAAGCTCGAATTGGGTGGAGCCCACCACAGCTCAAGGAGTCCTACCTGCCTCTGTAGGCTCCACCTCTGGGGGCAGGGCACAGACAAACAAAAGACAGCAATAACCTCTGCAGACTTAAATGTCCCTGTCTGACAGCTTTGAAGAGAGTAGTGGTTCTCCCAGCACGCAGCTGGAGATCTGAGAACGGGCATACTGCCTCCTTAAGTGGGTCCCTGAACCCCGAGTAGCCTAACTGGGAGGCACTCCCAAGTAGGGGCAGACTGACACCTCACAGGGCCGGGTACTCCTCTGAGACAAAACTTCCAGAGGAATGATCAGGCAGCAGCATTTGCGGTTCACCAATATTGGCTGTGGTGCAGCCACCACTGCTGATACCCAGGCAAACAGGGTCTGGAGTGGACGTCCAGTAAACACCAACAGACCTGCAGCTGAGGGTCCTGTCTGTTAGAAGGAAAACTAACAAACAGAAAGGACATCCACACCAAAACCCCATCTGTACGTTACCATCATCAAAGACCAAAGGTAGATAAAACCACAAAGATGGGGAAAAAACAGAGCAGAAAAACTGGAAACTAAAAATCAGAGCACCTCTCCTCCTCCAAAGGAACACAGCTTCTCACCAGCAATGGAACAAAGCTGGACGGAGAATGATGAGTTGAGAGAAGAAGGCTTCAGAAGATCAAACTACTCTGAGCTAAAGGAGGAAGTTCGAACCCATGGCAAAGAAGTTAAAAACTTTGAAAAAAAATTAGACGAATGTATAACTAGAATAAACAATGCAGAGAAGTCCTTAAAAGACCTGATGGAGTTGAAAACCATGGCATGAGAACTACGTGACAAATGCACAAGCCTCAGTAACCAATGTGATCAACTGGAAGAAAGGGTATCACCGATGGAAGATGAAATGAATGAAATTAAGCGTGAGGAGAAGTTTAGAGAAAAAAAATAAAAAGAAATGAACAAAGCCTCCAAGAAATGTGGGACTATGTGAAAAGACCAAATCGACGTCAGATTGGTGTACCTGAAAGTGACCAGGAGAATGAAACCAAGTTGGAAAACACTCTGCAGGATATTATACAGGAGAACTTCCCCAATCTAGTAAGACAGGCCAACATTCAGATTCAGGAAGTACAGAGAACACCACAAAGATACTCCTTGAGAAGAGCAACTCCAAGACACATAATTGTCACATTCACCAAAGTTGAAATGAAGGAAAAAATGTTAAGGGCAGCCAGAGAGAAAGGTCGGGTTACCCACAAAGGGAAGCACATCAGACTAACAGCTGATCTCTCGGCAGAAACTCTACAAGCCAGAAGAGAGTGGGGGCCAATATTCAACATTCTTAAAGAAAAGAATTTTCAACCCAGAATTTCATATCCAGCCAAACTAAGCTTCATAAGTGAAGGAGAAATAAAATACTTTACAGACAAGCAATTGCTGAGAGATTTTGTCACCACCAGGCCTGCCCTAAAAGAGCTCCCGAAGGAAGCACTAAAAATGGAAAGGAACAACCGCTACCAGCCCCTGCAAAAACATGCCAAATTGTAAAGACCATCAAGGCTAGGAAGAAACCGCATCAACTAATGAGCAAAATAACCAGCTAACATCATAATGACAGGATCAAACTCACACATAACAATAATAACCTTAAATGTAAATGGTATAAATGCTCCAATTAAAAGACACAGACTGGCAAATTGGATAAAGAGTCAAGACCCATCAGTGTGCTGTATTCAGGAAACCCATATCAAGGGCAGAGACACACATAGGCTCAAAATAAAGGGATGGAGGAAGATCTACTAAGCAAATGGAAAACAAGAAAAGGCAAGGGTTGCAATCCTAGTCTCTGATAAAACGGACTTTAAACCAACAAAGATCAAAAGAGACAAAGAAAGCCATTACATAATGATAAAGGGATCAATTCAACAAGAAGAGCTAACTATCCTAAATATATATGCACCCAATACAGGAGCACCCAGATTCATAAAGCAAGTCCTTAATGACCTGCAAAGAGACTTAGACTCCCACACAATAATAATGGGAGACTTTAACACCCCACTGTCAACATTAGACAGATCAATGAGACAGAAAGTTAACAAGGATATCCAGGAATTGAACTCAGCTCTGCACCCAGTGGACCTAATAGACATCTACAGAACTCTCCACCCCAAATCAACAGAATCTACATTTTTTTCAGCACCACACCACACCTGTTCCAAAATTGACCACATAGTTGGAAGTAAAGCACTCCTTATCAAATGTAAAAGAACAGAAATTAGGAGGAGCCAAGATGGCCGAATAGGAACAGCTCCAGTCTACAGCTCCCAGTGTGAGCGACGCAGAAGACGGGTGATTTCTGCATTTCCATCTGAGGTACCTGGTTCATCTCACTAGGGAGTGCCAGACAGCGGGCGCAGGTCAGTGAGTGCATGCACCGTGCACGAGCCAAAGCAGGGCGAGGCATTGCCTCACTCGGGAAGTGCAAGGGGTCAGGGAGTTCCCTTTCCTAGTCAAACAAAGTGGTGACAGACGGCACCTGGAAAATCGGGTCACTCCCACCTGAATACTGCCATTTTCCAACGGGCTTAAAAAACGGCGCACCAGGAGATTATATCCCGCATCTGGCTTGGAGGGTCCTACGCCCACAGAGTCTTGCTGATTGCTAGCACAGCAGTCTGAGATCAAACTGCAAGGCAGCAGCGAGGCTGGGGGAGGGGCACCCGCCATTGCCCGGGCTTGCTTAGGTAAACAAAGCAGCCAGGAAGCTCGAACTCGGTGGAGCCCACCACAGCTCAAGGAGGCCGGCCTGCCTCTGTAGGCTCCACCTCTGGGGGCAGGGCACAGACAAACCAAAAGACAGCAGTAACCTCTGCAGACTTAAATGTCCCTGTCTGACAGCTTTGAAGGGAGAAGTGGTTCTCCCAGCATGCAACTGGACATCTGAGAACGGGCGGACTGCCTCCTCAAGTGGGTCCCTGACCCCTGACCCCCAAGCAGCCTAACTGGGAGGCACCCCCCATCAGGGGCAGACTGACACCTCACATGGCCGGGTACTCCAACAGACCTGCAGCTGAGGGTCCTGTCTGTTAGAAGGAAAACTAACAAACAGAAAGAACATCCACACCAAAAACCCATCTGTACATCACCATCATCAAAGACCAAAAGTAGATAAAACCACAAAGATGGGGAAAAAACAGAGCAGAAAAACTGGATACTCTAAAAAGCAGAGCGCCTCTCCTCCTCCAAAGGTACACAGTTCCTCACCAGCAATGGAACAAAGCTGGACGGAGAATGACTTTGACAAGCTGAGAGAAGGCTTCAGACCATCAAATTACTCCGAGCTATGGGAGGACATTCAAACCAAAGGCAAAGAAGTTGAAAACTTTGAAAAAAATTTAGAAGAATGTATAACTAGAATAACCAATACAGAGAAGTGCTTAAAGGAGCTGATGGAGCTGAAAACCAAGGCTCGAGAACTACGTGAAGAATGCAGAAGCCTCAGGAGCTGATGCGATCAACTGAAAGAAAGGGTATCAGCGATGGAAGATGAAATGAATGAAATGAAGCGAGAAGGGAAGTTTAGAGAAAAAAGAATAAAAAGAAATGAGCAAAGCCTCCAAGAAATATGGGACTATGTGAAAAGACCAAATCTACAACTGATTGGTGTACCTAAAAGTGACCGGGAGAATGCAACCAAGTTGGGAAACACTCTGCAGGATATTATCCAGGAGAACTTCCCCAATCTAGCAAGGCAGGCCAACATTCAGATTTAGGAAATACAAAGAATGCCACAAAGATACTCCTCGAGAAGAGCAACACCAAGACACATAATTGTCAGATTCACCAAAGTTGAAATGAAGGAAAAAATGTTAAGGGCAGCCAGAGAGAAAGGTCGGGTTACCCTAAAAGGGAAGCTGATCAGACTAACAGCAGATCTCTTGGCAGAAACTCTACAAGCCAGAAGAGGGTGGGGGCCAATATTCAACATTCTTAAAGAAAAGAATTTTCAACCCAGAATCTCATATCCAGCCAAACTAAGCTTCATAAGTGAAGGAGAAATAAAATACTTTACCGACAAGTAAATGCTGAGAGATTTTGTCACCACCAGGCCTGCCCTAAAAGAGCCCCTGAAGGAAGCAATAAACATGGAAAGGAACAACCACTACCAGCCCCTGCAAAAACATGCCAAATTGTAAAGACCATCAAGGCTAGGAAGAAACTGCATCAACTAATGAGCAAAATAACCAGCTAACATCATAATGACAGGATCAAATTCACACATAACAATATTAACTTTAAATGTAAATGCACTAAATGCTCAAATTAAAAGACACAGACTGGCAAATTGGATAAAGAGTCAAGACCCATCAGTGTGCTGTATTCAGGAACCCCATCTCAAGTGCAAAGACACACATAGGCTCAAAATAAAAGCATGGAGGAAGATCTACTAAGCAAATGGAAAACAAAAGAAGGCAGGGATTGCAATCCTAGTCTCTGATAAAACAGACTTTAAACCAACAAACATTAAAAGAGACAAAGAAGGCCATTACTTAATGGTAAAGGGATCAATTCAACAAGAAGAGCTAACTATCCTAAATATATATGCACCCAATACAGGAGCACCCAGATTCATAAAGCAAGTCCTGAGTGTCCTACAAAGAGACTTAGACTCCCACACATTAATAAGGGGAGATTTTACACCCCACAGTCAACATTAGACAACGAGACAGAAAGTCAACAAGGATACCCAGGAATTGATATCAGCTCTGCACCAAGTGGACCTAATAGACATCTACAGAACTCTCCACCCCAAGTCAAAAGAATCTACATTTTTTTCAGCACCACACCACACCTATTCCAAAATTGACCACATACTTGGAAATAAAGCTCTCCTCAGCAAATGTAAAAGAACAGAAATTATAACAAACTATCTCTCAGACCACAGTGCAATCAAACTAGAACACAGGATTAAGAATCTCCCTCAAAATTGCTCAACTACATGGAAACTGAACAACCTCCTCCTGAGTGACTACTGGGTGCATAATGAAATGAAGGCAGAAATAAAGATGTTCTTTGAAACCAGCGAGAACAACGACACAACATACCACAATCTCCGGGACACATTCTAAGCAGTGTGTAGAGGGAAATTTATAGCACTACATGTCCACAAGAGAAAGCAGGAAAGATCCAAAACTGACACCCTAACGTCACAATTAAAAGAACTAGAAAAGTAAGAGCAAATACATTCAAAAGCTAGTAGAAGGCAAGAAATAACTAAAATCAGAGCAGAACTGGAGGAAATACAGACACAAAAAACCCTTCAAAAAATTAACGAATCCAGGAGCTGGTTTTCTGAAAGGATCAACAAAATTGATAGACAGCTAGCAAGACTAATACAGAAAAAAAGAGAGAAGAATCAAATAGATGCAATAAAAAATGATAAAGGGGATATCACCACCGATCCCACAGAAATACAAACTACCATCAGAGAATACTACAAACACCTCTACGCAAGTAAACTAGAAAATGTAGAAGAAATGGATAAATTCCTCGACACATACACTCTCCCAAAACTAAACCAGGAAGAAGTTGAATCTCTGAATAGACCAATAACAGGCTCTGAAATTGTGGCTATAATCAATACCTTACCAATGAAAAAGAGTCCAGGACCACATGGATTCACAGCTGATTTCTACCAGAGGTACAAGGAGGAGCTGGTAACATTCCTTCTGAAACTATTCCAATGAATAGAAAAAGAGGGAATCCTCCCTAACTCATTTTATGAGGCCAGCATCATCCTGATACCAAAGCCGGGCACAGACACAACCAAAAAAAGAGAATTTTAGACCAATATCCTTGATGAACACTGATGCAAAAATCCTCAGTAAAATACTGGCAAACCGAATCCAGCAGCACATCAAAAAGCTTATCCACCATGATCAAGTGGGCTTCATCCCTGGGATGCAAGGCTGGTTCAATATACGCAAAGCAACAAATGTAATCCAGCATATAACAGAACCAAAGACAAAAGCCACATGATTATCTCAATAGATGCAGAAAAGGCCTTTGACAAAATTCAACAACACTTCATGCTAAAATCTCTCAATAAATTAGGTATTGATGGGATGAATCTCAAAATATTAAGAGCTATCTATGACAAACCCACAGCCAATATCATATTGAATGGGCAAAAACTGGAAGCATTCCCTTTGAAAACTGGCACAAGACAGGGATGCCCTCTCTCACCACTCCTATTCAACATAGTGTTGGAAGTTCTGGCCAGGGCAATTAGGCAGGAGAAGGAAATAAAGGGTATTCGATTAGGAAAAGAGGAAGTCAAATTGTCCCTGTTTGCAGACGACATGATTGTATATCTAGAAAACCCCATTGTCTCAGCCCAAAATCTCCTTAAGCTGATAAGCAACTTCAGCAAAGTCTCAGGATACAAAATCATTGTACAAAAATCACAAGCATTCTTATACACCAACAACAGACAAACAGAGAGCCAAATCATGAGTGAACTCCCATCCACAATTGCTTCAAAGAGAATAAAATACCTAGGAATCCAACTTACAAGGGATGTGAAGGACCTCTTCAAGGAGAACTACAAACCACTGCTCAATGAAATAAAAGAGGATACAAACAAATGGAAGAACATTCCATGCTCATGGGTAGGAAGAATCAATATAGTGAAAATGGCCATACTGCCCAAGGTAATTTACAGATTCAATGCCATCCCCATCAAGCTACCAATGACTTTCTTCACAGAATTGGAAAAAACTGCTTTAAACTTCATATGGAACCAAAAAAGAGCCCGCATTGCCAAGTCAATCGTAAGCCAAAAGAACAAAGCTGGAGGCATCACACTACCTGACTTCAAACTATACTACAAGGCTACAGTAACCAAAACAGCATGGTAGTGGGACCAAAACAGAGATATAGATCAATGGAACAGAATAGAGCCCTCAGAAATAACGCCACATATCTACAACTATCTGATATTTGACAAACCTGACGAAAACAAGCAATGGGGAAAGGATTCCCTATTTAATAAATGGTGCTGGGAAAACTGGCTAGCCATATGTAGAAAGCTGAAACTGTATCCCTTCCTTACACCTTATACAAAAATCAATTCCAGATGGATTAAAGACTTAAACATTAGACCTAAAACCATAAAAACCCTAGGCATTACCATTCAGGACATAGGCATGGGCAAGGACTTCACGTCTAAAACACCAAAAGCAATGGCAACAAAAGCCAAAGTTGACAAATGGGATCTAGTTACACTAAAGAGCTTCTGCACAGCAAAAGAAACTACCATCAGAGTGAACAGGCAACCTACAAAATGGGAGAAAATTTTCGCAACCTAGTCATCTGACAAAGGGCTAATATCCAGAATCTATAATGAACTCAAACAAATTTACAAGAAAAAAACAAACAACCCCATCAAATAGTGGGCAAAGGACATGAACAGAAACTTCACAAAAGAAGACATTTATGCAGCCAAAAAACACATGAGAAAATGCTCACCATCACTGGCCATCAGAAAAATACAAATCGAAACCACAATGAGATACCATCTCACACCAGTTAGAATGGCAATCATTAAAAAGTCAGGAAACAACAGGTGCTGGAGAGGATGTGGAGAAATAGGAACACTTTTACACTGTTGGTGGGACTGTAAACTAGTTCAACCATTGTGGAAATCAGTGTGGCAATTCCTCAGGGATCTAGAACTAGAAATACCATTTGACTCAGCCATCCCATTACTGGGTATATACCCAAAGGACTATAAATCATGCTGCTATAAAGACACACGCACACGTATGTTTATTGCGGCACTATTCACAATAGCAAAGACTTGGAACCAACCGAAATGTCCAATATTGATAGACTGTATTAAGAAAATGTGGCACATATACACCATGGAATACTATGCAGCCATAAAAAATGATGAGTTCATGTCCTTTGTAGGGACATGGATGAAATTGGAAATCATCATTCTCAGTAAACTATCGCAAGAACAAACAACCAAACACTGCATATTCTCATTCATAGGTGGGAATTGAACAATGAGAACACATGGACACAGGAAGGGGAATATCACACTCTGGGGACTGTTGTGGGGTGGGGGGAGCGGGGAGGGGGGAGGGGTAGCATTGGGAGATATACCTAATGCTCGATGACGAGTTAGTGGGTGCAGTGCACCAGCATGGCACATGTATGCATATGTAACTAACCTGCACATTGTGCACATGTACCCTAAAACTTAAAGTATAATAATAAATAAATAAATAAATAAGAAAAAAAAGAACAGAAATTATAACAAACTGTCTCTCAGACCACAGTGCAATGAAACTAGAACTCAGCATTAAGAAACTCAAAACCGTTCAACTACATGGAAACTGAAAAACCTGCTCCTGAATGACTACTGGGTCCATAACGAAATGAAGGCAGAAATAAAGATGTTCTTTGAAACCAGCGAGAACAACGACACAACATACCAGAATCTCTGGGACACATTCAAAGCAGTGTGTAGAGGGAAACTTATAGCACTAAATGCCCACAAGAGAAAGCGGGAAAGATCTAAAATTGACATCCTAACAACAAAATTAAAAGAACTAGGGAAGCAAGAGCAAACACATTCAAAAGCTAGCAGAAGGCAAGAAATAACTAAGCTTAGAGCAGAACGGAAGGAAATAGAGACACAAACAACCCTTCAAAAATCAATGAATAAAGGAGCTGGTTTTTTGAAAAGATCAACAAAATTGATAGACTGCTAGCAAGCCTAATAAAGAAGAAAAGAGAGAAGAATCAAATAGATGCAATAAAAAATGACAAAGGGGATATCACCACTGATCCCACAGAAATACAAACTACCATCAGAGAATACTATACACACCTCTACGCAAATAAACTAGAATATCTGGAAGAATTGGATAAATTCCTTGACACATACACTCTCCCAAGACTAAACCAGGAAGAAGTTGAATCTCTGAATAGACCAATAACAGGATCTGAAATTGAGGCAATAATTAGTAGCTTAGAAACCAAAAAAAAGTCCAGGACCAGATGGATTTACAGCCGAATTCTACCAGAGGTACAAGGAGGAGCTGGTAACATTCCTTCTGAAACTATTCCAATGAATAGAAAAAGAGGGAATCCTCCCTAACTCATTTTATGAGGCCAGCATCATCCTGATACCAAAGCCGGGCACAGACACAACCAAAAAAAGAGAATTTTAGACCAATATCCTTGATGAACACTGATGCAAAAATCCTCAGTAAAATACTGGCAAACCTAATCCAGCAGCACATCAAAAAGCTTATCCACCATGATCAAGTGGGCTTCATCCCTGGGATGCAAGGCTGGTACAACATACGAAAATCAATAAACGTAATCCAGCATATAAACAGAACCAAAGACAAAAACCACATGATTATCTCAATAGATACAGAAAAGGCCTTTGACAAAATTCAACAACCCTTCATGCTAAAAACTCTCAATAAATTAGGTATTGATGGGACGTATCTCAAAATAATAAGAGCTACCTATGACAAACCCACAGCCAATATCACACTGAATGGACACAAACTGGAAGCATTCCCTTTGAAAACTGGCACAAGACAGGGATGCCCTCTCTCACCACTCCTATTCAACATAGTGTTGGAAGTTCTGGCCAGGGCAATCAGGCAGGAGAAGGAAATAAAGGGCATTCAATTAGGAAAAGAGGAAGTCAAATTGTCCCTGTTTGCAGATGACATGATTGTATACCTAGAAAACCCCATCGTCTCAGCCCAAAATCTCCTTAAGCTGATAAGCAACTTCAGCAAAGTCTCAGGATACAAAATCAAGGTGCAAAAATCAGAAGCATTCTTATACACCAATAACAGACAAACAGAGAGCCAAACCATAAGTGAACTCCCATTCACAATTGCTTCAAAGAGAATAAAATACCTAGGAATCCAACTTACAAGGGAGTGAAGGACCTCTTCAAGGAGAACTACAAACCACTGCTCAATGAAATTAAAGGGGATACAAACAAGTGGAAGAACATTCCATGCTCATGGGTAGGAAGAATCAACATCGCAAAAATGGCCATACTGCCCAAGGTAATTTATAGATTCAATGCCATCCCAATCAAGCTACCAATGACTTTCTTCACAGAATTGGAAAAAACTACTGTAAAGTTCATAAGGAACCAAAAAAGAGCCCGCATTGCCAAGTCAATCCTAAGCCAAAAGAACAAAGCTAGAGGCATCACAGTAGCTGACTTCAAACTATACTACAAGGCTACAGTAACCAAAACAGCATGGTACTGGTACCAAAACAGAGATATAGACCAATGGAACAGAACAGAGCCCTCAGAAATAACGCCGCATGTCTACAACTATCTGATCTTTGACAAACCTGAGAAAAACAAGCAATGGGGAAAGGATTCCCTATTTAATAAATAGTGCTGGGAAAACTGGCTAGCCATATGTAGAAAGCTGAAACTGGATCCCTTCCTTACACCTTATACAAAGATTAATTCAAGATGAATTAAAGACTTACATGTTAGACCTAAAACCATGAAAATCCTAGAAGAAAACCTAGGCAATACCATTCAGGACATAGGCATGGTCAAGGACTTCATGGCTAAAATACCAAAAGCAATGGCAATAAAAGCCAAAATTGACAAATGGGATCTAATTAAACTAAAGAGCTTCTGCACAGCAAAAGAAACCACCATCAGCATGAACAGGCAACCTACAGAATGGGAGAAAATTTTTGCAACCTACTTATCTGACAAAGGGCTAATATCCACAATCTATGATGAACTCAAACAAATTTACAAGAAAAAAACAAACAATCCCATCAAAAATGGGCGAAGGATATGAACAGACACTTCTCAAAAGAAGACATTTATGCAGCCAAAAACCACTTGAAAGAATGCTCATCATCCCTGGCCATCAGAGAAATGCAAATCAAAACCACAATGAGATACCACCTCACACCAGTTAGAATGGCGATCATTAAAAATCAGGAAACAACAGGTGCTGGAGAGGATGTGGAGAAATAGGAACACTTTTACACTGTTGGTGGGACTGTGAACTAGTTCAACCATTGTGGAAGTCAGTGTGGCAATTCCTCAGGGATCTAGAACTAGAAATACCATTTGACCCAGCCATCCCATTACTGGGTATATACCCAAAGGATTATAAATCATGCTGCTGTAAAGACACCTACACACGTATATTTATAGCGGCACTATTCACAATAGCAAAGACTTGGACCCAACCCAAATGTCCAACAATGATAGACTGGATTAAGAAAATGTGGCACATATACACCATGGAATACTATGCAGCCATAAAAAATGATGAGTTCATGTCCTTTGTAGGGACATGGATGAAACTGGAAACCGTCATTCCCAGCAAACTATCACAAGGACAAAAAACCAAACACCGCATTTTTTTTTTTTTTTTTGCAGTAACATTCCCCTTTAATAGCCTGGTGGGACCTCCAGAGGTGGAGGGGTGGTTTGTCTGGGCCCAGCTACCCAGGCCCTTTGGCTGAACAAGCACCCAGCAGGGGGGCTAGAACAGCCAATTCATTTCCCATCGCTGAGTGGGTCGGGGGAGGCAGCGCTGACCTTAATCACATGGTGTTAATAAAAAATAACTAGGGGCACGTGGCAGGAAGGGGAGGCAAGGCCAAGGCAGGGGATTCCCCCACCGGCCGCCCCCCAAACCCCTACCGATGGCCCCCAATAAATATTTGCAGGGGATGCCAGGGCTTGCGGCCGTGGCGGGGGTGGGTATGCGCCAACCCTATTTCAGGCAGCGCTCGAAGTAGGTGGAGCCTATGTAGCCATCCCGCATGGATGGCTGCACGTTCTGCTCCAACAGCTGCCGGTTGTTCTGCAGGACCTCTGCGGCCTTCTTGTTCAGTGGGTCCTCGGGGTTGGGCTCCAAGTAGAGATACTGCAGGCCATAAATTATGGAGTTTATCGTAAGGACTGGCTTCCAGTTCTCTCTGAGGATGTTGAGGCAGACGTTGCCCTCGATTTCAATGTTGGGGTGATAGACCATTGTCTCACACTTCACCTTGGGGGGATCATGCGGGTAACCCTGGCCCACCTTAAAACTGAACACAAACTTCCCACTCTTGTAGAAGCCCTCATCAGGACAGATGACCAACTTGAAGTTGAGGAGGTCGTCTGGATCTGAGAAGCTGATATCACACGTCTTGGGCAGGTTCAGCTCGTTTATGTCCTTCTGGATCCGCAGCTGCGCCGCCGACGCCTTCTTGCTGCTGCGCTTGGTGCCTCCCGCCGACTACTCCTCCTTCTTCTGCTGCTTCAGCGAGAACAGCTTGATCATCCTACCGCTGCCGCCGCGGGGCCCGGGACCCCGGCCACCCGGCCCCCAGCCGCCGCCCGCGTCGCCTCCGCTCCTGGGACTCGCAGCTGCGGCCTCCTCCGCTACTGCCGCAACCCGCCCGGCCTGCCGCGCCGCTCCGCTCCTCTCCGCGCCCACCGCGCGGCCCGCCCGCATGTTCTGACTCATAGGTGGGAATTGAACAATGAGAACACATGGACACAGGAAGGGGAACATCACACACCGGAGACTGTTGTGGGGTGGGGGGAGGGGGGAGAGGGGAGGGATAGCATTAGGAGATATACCTAATGCTAAATGACGCGTTAATGGGTGCAGCACACCAACATGGCACATGTATACATATGTAACAAACCTGCACGTTATGCACATGTACCCTAAAACTTGAAGTATAATAATAATAATAATAATAATAAAAGAAAAATTTAATGTCATAGTATTGACTTTAGTGCATTGCAAGCCCCTTTTGCTCAGTAACACACTCACTACTGGAGAAACCAAACCCTGAAAATTCAAGAACCTGGGCATTAATAATATTGCTGACAAGTTATTTATACACTGCCTACATGAGTATTGCAGATATATGTTAAAGACAAAGATCCAAGTCAGACTGGGTCAGCTTTATTCATTCATTCATTCATTCATTCCTTCATTCATTTATCTTTTGAGACTGAGTCTCACCCTGTCTCCCAGGCTGGAGTGCAGTGGCACAATCTTGGTTCACTGCAACCTCCGCCTCCCAGATTCAAGCGATTCTCCCGCCTCAGCCTCTCAAGTAGCTGGGATTACAGGCGCCCACCACCATGCCTGGCTAATTTTTTGTATTTTTAGTAGAGATTGGGTTTCACCATATTGGCTACGCTGGTCTTGCCTGACCTCAGGTGATCTGCCTGTCTCGGCCTCCCAACGTGCTGAGATTACAGGCATGAACCACTGTGCCGGCCCTTGGCTCAGCTTTATACTTGGTCATTTTAGTTCCAATTCTTCTCTCTCAAAATATAAGTCGCTTGTTGCCATTTTGATTATTCCACATGCATTGTGATCATATGGAACTGGTGACACGTGTTCTTATTTCCCTTTCAATTACAAAATGAGCTCCATGTTCTTAGCCATCAAATCTCACCAACACCTACTTACTTTAGTTTCAACTCTGGTTCCTATTACAAAGATCACTCAAATCACAGAAAGACAAAAATGTTTTAATCAACCAAAAAAATTTTAACCCCTGGTGTCATGTAATTTGGTTTTTATTTGTTGTATTTTCAGGTCCATAAAGCCTACAAATATTAATAAAATACAGTTCATGATGACTTAATTTTTATTGAATAGTAAAATAAATACATGTCAAGAGTGGATGTGGCTTCAGGTATAACTGTCATCAGGGCTGAAGTGTTATAACCAGTGGTCAAGGAGAAATGTCAGTGTATAATCTGACTTCCTACACTGGAATTATGCATCAATGCTTTAAATGTCTGAAAAGAATCAAAGTCACAGAGGGAAATAAATGAAATGGAAGAAAATAGAAAAGTTACAAATTAGTTTAAGAAGGAATTAAACCTGGTTTTAAAATAAAGACATACAAATAAGAAAAATACTGAAGAACAATTAGGTTAGGTAGAGCAACACTGAAAGTATGATAGGAAATAAATGTATTTAGAAATATTAGTCTCTGAGTTAAGTTTATAGCTGTAGAGACCTGACAAAGAGTTGCTCCTACATTAAACAAACAAAAAAGCTGGAGAAAATGCAAATGAATGAATGGCTTGTTCCGAGCCCTTTGGAGAATTGAGGTCACAGAGGAGACAACAAACCCAACATCAAGGCATGCAGGAGCCTGCAGGTCACACAGGCCCCAGGCTTTTATGTATACCTGGAAGACCATGGAAACTAGCAAAATTAAAGCAGGACTTTTGAACTAGTTCCTGGTGGCTGTGTGTGGGTGGGTGGGTGGGTGGGTGAAGGGGAATGAGAAATCCTGGAGTCTACAGACATAGAGTTTACACCTTTGTGTATGATTTTTCTAGGAACCCTACAAGGCCTGTCAGGGAGGGTGGGGTATAATCCTGAGAATGCTTCCCCCATGGTGCTGATAGGGAGGGACCACTATCCCACCCACTGCTACAACTCTGGAGACATAGCTTTCCCATCTCTGCTATAGAACACAAGGCCGGGGAAAGAGCATCCAAACTTGAACCAGAGGGAACTGTGAAAAAACTCACTGCAGCTGATGGTGGAGAAACAAGGTCAACACCCACATCTCTGCCCAGATACATCTCCCATAAAGAAACTAAAGCATTAGTTTACAGGGCACTGTTGCAGACCCACTCACACTTCAACTAGAAGCTAGGAACGTGGACAAGGAGCCTCTCTACCACTGGGGGAGGGACAGGAATGTACTCTTGTTCTGGCATTGCATCTACAGGAGGGGCAGGAAACTTTGAAGGTCGGTAACCCCACACCCCAGTTCACAGTGCTGAGTGTGAGGCTTCCTCAGAACATCAGATATCTCCTCATTCCCTCACCCCTGCCACCAGGCTAAGAAGCACGGAATAAAAAGAACAGTGGAACATATTATAGCTGGGCCAAGTGCAAGAGACCATCTCTGGTAAGCTGCACAAAGGAAAGGCACAGTAAACCTGGGCGATATTAGCAAAGTATCATGAGAAGGATTTGAATTCCCTGGTTCTCAGAAGGATATTGCTGCCATAACAAACTCTAATCCCAGCCTACCTCTCAAACATTACCAGAAACCCCTACCTTAAGGCATACCTAAGGGAAAACTGCTCATCAATAACCTAAAAACTGCCCTCGATCAATGTCAGTGAGCTGATGAAAACAATAAAAATAAAAAACCTATTTACCCCAATACACTATCCTATACAACAATACTATTGCTTTCAATAAAAATTACAAGCCAAGACATCCCATTTTATGTTTATGTGAGATCTTTATTTGTGTCAAAACCAAATTAAGGTCAGAGCGGGGAGTTCAGGAGGCTCAGACCAAGGCGATGCCGGGCGTCACCCCTCCCGCCCACCATGGCAGCGCAGCGTTCTGGAAGGCCGAGGGGACTCTCCCGGGGAAGGCGATCACGGCAGGTGGCCTGGACGGCAGCATCCACACCTGTATTCCGTTTCCCACCGAGCACGTGAGGACCAACGAGCGCTCGCCCCCGCCGGGCACCCGGCATGGGGGCCTGTGGGGCACAGTCACAGCCACGGCGTCCTGGGCCTGAACCGCGGCCTCAGCTTCCTGCTCTGCGGCTCCATCCCCGAGGCAGAGTCAGGTTCGGGAAGTTGGAGTTCCTCTGCACCCAGATGTGGAATGCCCAGGGACTGCTGAACAGCAGGCGCGGGCTGCTGTGAGGTCTAGACACCGGCATGGCCGAGGCCATGGTGGTCGTACGTCCCATGGAGACCATCAAAGTGAAGTTCATCCACTACCAGACCTCCCCAAACCCAAGAACAGATAATTCTTCGGGGTTAGGGAGATTATGCGGGAACAAGGGCTGAGGGGACTTACCAGGGCCTCAGGGCCGCCGGGCTGAAGCAGGGCTGGAACCAGGCCATTGTTTCTTTGTCCTGACCTCCCTGCAGCAACTGGTACCAAACAGATAAGCCCATGAACCCGCTGATCACTGGGGTCTTCTGAGCCATTGCAGGCACAGCCAGCGTCTTCGGAAACACCCCTCTGGACGGGATCCCGAGGGGCTCAAGGCCTTCACAAGGGCACTGTCCCATGCCAGTCACTGACGGAGTCTGCCTGGATGTGGCCATAACATTTATCATCTACAATGAGGTGGTGAAGCTGCTCAACAAAGTGTGGAAGAAGGACTAAGCCCAGAGGGGCTGCGAGGGGACACTCCAGGCACCTGCAGAGTGGCTGCCACCCCTGTCTCACAGGATTCCAGGGCAGAAGGGCCAAAAGGCCCCTTCCCACATCCCTTGAGCTCTGCGGCCTGCTCTGTGCATTGTGGCGTCAAGTCACTGTGTCACATAGAGCCATGTCTTCCCTGTGGTCTGTGTGTGAAGCCACCACTGTGTCCACAGGTCTGGCCCAGCCATGGCTGGCTGTTCATCTGGCCTGTGAATCTGCGCCCACTTGTCCATGTGCTTACTGTGAGCCTGGGCCTGTGTTTCATGTTCTGTGTCATCTGACACTGTGCCTCGCCTGCCGGGGGTACTCATGTGGCCTGGGTCCTTGGCTTTGTAGGTCTGACTAGGTCCCAGTCCAGTGCCTTCCACCCTGCCCCAGCCTACCACAGCTGCCTCCTGGCCTTGGCCTGTTTTCACCTCATTCAAGGGGCTGCACCCCCACCTTCGCCTACCATTGGCCTTAACTGGCCCTCTGGGCCTCCCTTAGTCCAGGACAGGGTGGCACCTACGACTCTCAGGACCACCCTGCCAAGGCAGAATAAACCTAATCCTGTTGTTAGGAGTTTGAGACCAGTCTGACCAACATAGCGAAACCCCGTCTCTACTAAAAATACAAAAAATTGGCTGGGTGTGGTGGCAGGTGCCTGTAGTCCCAGCTACTGGGGAGGCTGAGGCAGGAGAATCTCTTGAACCTGGGAGGCAGAGGTTACAGTGAGCTGAGATTGTGCCATTTGCACTCCGGCCCAGGTGACAGTGGGAGACTTTGTCTCAAACAAATAAAAATTAAATTAAATTAAATTAAAATTAAAATATGATTAAATCATTATAAATTAGTTCATATTTAGTGTCAAGATAAAAAATGTCATAAGTGAACAATTTGTTGTAAAATGAGAAATAGTCGAGTAAAACTGCAATTAGAGTATAACATTTAAAAAATCACACATTTTCTTACAAATATGTTTATGTGTTCATAATATATGGTATGTAGAAACACCTACCAGTTAGTTATAATTCAGTGAGACACAAGAGCAAAATCATGCAAAAATTATAGACCTCATTGATAAAATTCTGCCTCCTCCAACTTTCCACCTGAGACTTGAGTACTCATCAGTAATGAAGCTAAGAAACAGATACCAAGGTTTGTCTTGGAGTCATTCTGTGTATATGAATTTTTGTCCCTGAGACATGGGTATAAAGAATAAATGCTATCATTTCATTTCCCTCTGGATTTATTACTGTCATGTCACCTGTAGAAGTAAGACACTAGGCTCTGGGATTGGTAGAAATGAGAGTCACCAAAGCAAAATCTGAACTTACCTAATTCCTGGAAAAGTAGAGTAGCAGCAGCTGGGTCCTAAACTTGGTAATGAGTGAGCTCATTTTCTTCAGTAACATTGCTCAGGTGCATTGTCTGGTCTCAGTACTCATCAAAAAAAAAAAAAAAAAAAAAAAAAGTTAAAGAATAACTATAGCTTCAGACATTTTTATTTTTATATCATATTACCAAATGTATTATTGCTGAATAATGAACAAATTATATGTACATGTAATGAGATGGATAAACATCACAAATATAATGTTGCATAAATTCAACCAGATTAAAAATATGCATACTATCTAATCCCATTTATTAAAACTTCAAAAAGCGAACAACATTCAGTTTCTGTCTTCAAGTAAGGGTGGAATAACTGGTGGAACTAATACACTCACAGAAAAACATAATAAATTCTTGATAAAATATTATATGTAGTAATATACAAACATCTCTACATGTAATACATATGACATGATAAGGGTAAGAATTGAATGATAATTTTAGCTTGGTCCACTGTAGCGGATATGGGGATATTAGCCACCATACCCGGCTAATTTTTTGTATTTTTAGTAGAGACGGGGTTTCACTATGTTGGCCAGATGGTCTTGAACTCCTAACCTCATGATCCGCCCGCCTTGGTCTCCTAAAGTGCTGGCGTTACAGGCGTGAGCCACTGCGCCCGGCCATATTTTTATTTTTTTAAATTTGAAGATATTTTAATATATCTCTAATACTTAAGAACTGTTTGAACAATTACGTGATAAAACAAAATTTTAAAATATTTTACAATAATGATATTTTAGCAGATGGCCATAAGGAACATTGTGTTTAATTGTATTAGAGTAATTGCTAATAAACAGGTCAGTTTTTTTTTTTCTACCACAAAACTATCTGAATTATAGATATTATCTACCACTGCTGCCACCAGGCTTGCAAGGAAGCATGGAGCCTGGGCACCTCTGTGCACCTAGCAGTGAAATCCATGGCTGGCTCTGCAGGGGAGATGTTCGAGTGGGCCACATGCCCACAGCTGTCACTCTTCACTGCACCCACCAAGGGAGTGGGGCAAGGCTCACCAGTGACAGCCCTGGAGCACAGCTGCTCTGCCTGCACCCTGGAATTTTGGCTGCTGCCCAGTGTTCTTCTGAGATTACAGCCTTGCGTAGGTCTGCATTCTGTCCTGGGGCCCCCACTGTCATCACCACTGCTGCCACTGCCACGGCCACTGCTGGGCCAGGCAGGCAATGGGTGACCAGGCACTGCCACACACCCCAATGAAGGATATTGCTGCTGCTCCTGTGGGAGAAAAACGTGGGTGGACAATGTGCCCGGCATCTGCCTGCCTCCACTGCTCCCCCTGAGGGAGCCCTGCCTTCCCTGGAACAGGCCAGCAGCACAGCTGCCCTCCTTCCATGTGATGATTTTAGCCGTGGCCTGGGGCCTTGCTGCGAGACCAGCCCTCACAGGCCTATGATCTGTCCTTGAGCTCCCACCATCTGAGTGCTCTGCTTGGCCCTGCCTGAGAGTTAAGCTGGTGACCTAGGGACCAGCCTGCTCCTACATGTCACAGTCAACACCTGCACCCTGAAGACCTGAGGACAAGTTCACTGGCCCAGTTCAGGTCAAGGACCTCCAGGACTCATTCATGCTGTATAGAGGACCATCGAGAAGCCTGAAGATTGGGAGACTGCCTAGCCCAGTCCACCACTCCTGGCACCTTATCACTCACCTCAGGGTCTGTGGCTAGGCTGACCCTACCAACTGACACCACCACAGACGGCACTCACCTATATGTGGCAAAAGGCAAAGCCTGGCCTCTCTAAAGAAAGCAGCAACATCCCTGCCTGGAAGATCAGGTGAACCACAAAAATGTCTGTATTGGGCTGAGTTAATAGGTTCTGCCCCATAGCCGCTCCTATGGAGAAGAGTGGAACAGAAGTTTTCTGTGGCTCTCGGGTACACTGTGGTCTGGAGAAAGATGACAGCGTCTGTCTGAACGGAGAGTCTTGAGCCCTAGAACAGAAGTTTGATAAGGAAGCAGATCACATTTTTTTTTTTTCTGTACAGGGTGACCAGTCTTTTGGTTTCCCTGGGCCAGGTTGAAAGAATTGCCTTGGACCACACATAAAATACACTAGCAACAGCTGATGAGCTAAAAAAAAAAAACGCAGAAAAAATTACGTAATGTTTTAAGAAAGTTTATGAATTTGTTTTGGGACACATTCAAAGCCATACTGGGCCACATGCACCTTGTGGGCCACGGGCTGGACAAGCTTGGTTTAAGATGTGTAGCTGATATATCTCCATTCCCCTCTGCAGCCTCACCAGGAACTCTCTCAGCCATCCCCAACAGGGCTAGTGTCTGTGCTCGTCATTGGGGTATTCATAGATGAACTTGGTGGTTCAGCTCTGCCCAGCTTTGTCCCCTCCTGGATGAATGGGGAAATAAAGGCACTGAACTTTTCACAAACCAGATCATCACCTGAAACAACAAAGAGCACCTCTCATTAAAGAAAGATCAAGTACATTTGCATATACTTCTGCCGCAACTGGCTGTTATCCATAACCACTATCTATGACTCATTTTGTTCCTAACATAACCCAGTTCTGCATGTACTCAGCACATATATGCAGGGCCTAGATGCGCTGGCCTCAGTAAGCATCACTGTGAGGAGAGAAATTTCCTGGAAAAAAGTGTTGCATTAAAAAAATTAACACTATGCCACTTTTCAAATTTAGGTAAAAATAAAAAGACCTTGTTTCACTTGATAATTAGGGCATGAATAGACTTCTGAATATTCAAACTCATCTAATAATGTCATGAGAGAACATGTCTGCTTTAACCAAAACAAAATACTGTTGTTATTCTGAGATTTTGGGTTGGATTTTATGTGAAAATATGTAATATTTTCATCACTTTGTGATGTACGACAGGCATACAAAAATACATTCACAAAGTATTCATGCAAAGCTTGATGAATTATTGCAGAGCAAATACACTTGTGTAGCCAAGAAAGAGAACCAGCATCACTCATGCCCTGGCAATTACTCTTTTCCTCCCTCCCTCCCTCCAATGGCAGCTAAGCTTTTAATAGCCTACATTGTACAGTAACTTTGTATTTTTATACAAAATATTTTATTACAGAAAATTTTAAACATGTACAACAGATACAAAATCGTATAACAGACCCATCACCCAACCTCAACAACTACTAATCATGTGCCATTTTGTTTTATCTATACTTCAACCTAGCTCACCCCTACTTTATTATTTTTCTATTTTTCTTTGTGAGGTCATATGTACATTGAAAGGCATGAATCTTAAATGTATGACTTTGACAGACAAATATACAATATAACATTCATAACTTTTAAGAATAGAATTTTTACCATCTCCAAAAAATTCTCTCATGCTCCTCTCTGGGCAATTTTTTTTTTTGCCCCCAGAGTTTATTTCTTTGTTGATTTTTTTTAAATTATAGGTTCATTTTGTCTGAAATTATACAATATGTATTATTTATGTGCAGCTTGTCTCACTTAGCAGGTTCATGAGAATCATCCAGGCTGTGTGCTTCAGTAGTTTGCTCCTTTGTATTGATGAGTAGTACTTGGTTGTATGAATGCTCTACACTTTGCTCATCCATTTTCTGTTGAAAAACATTTAGGTTACTTTCTGCTTTGGGTTATTATGACTAAAAGGTCTATACACATTCTTGTACAATACTTTTTATATGTAATTTAATTTCTGTATCAGCATTTAAGTGACACCGCTTTGCATTTTTTTAGTGATTGGTCCAGAGATTACAATATGTATTTTTGACATATCACAATCTACTTAGAATTAATACATTTTAATACATGTAAAATATAAAGACTTTCCTACATAACAGTTCCATTTTCCTCCTTCTATCCTTTGTGCTGCTCTTGTAAATTTTACATTGAAACACTACAAATCTCATAATACACTGTTAATTTTTTGCCTTAAGTAATTATAGGTCTTTTAAAAAATTAAGAGAAAATAATATTTTAAAAATATTTGGAAGCCAACACTTTGGGGCTATGAAAATACATTTTTTCTCCTTTAAATTTTATCCACAATTTAAAAACTCGTTAGCAACTTTTGCCTACAGTCGTTATTACTGGGGTGTTCTAGGAGTGATTTTCTGTTTTGAAGTATTCATCTACATTGGTAGATACAGTACTTGGAATTCTGTAAAGATTTTCTTTCTTCCTCCCCTCCTCATTCCCTCATTTCTTCCTTCTTTCCTTATTTATTTCATCTTTTCTATATTGGTATGGATGTGTGGATATGTATTTTATTCTTTGGTTATAATTTAATGCTATCATTGTTTATTTTGCTGCTCACATTGTTCCACCTTGGGCCATTGGGAGGTCTTACAGGGTCGCTCCTTTTGACATGCTCTCTTGTATGTTTTTAAAGCACTTTTTGAGTTTCTGGCTGTATAAGATACTCTAGGCTCAACTTGTATTTTCTATCTCCTGCCCTAGAATTATCCACTGTTACAAGTAGCCCTGGTTCTTTTTACTGAAGAACAGTATTTAGAAATCAAGATCCGAAAGTTAGGTGTGCTCATTGATACTGAAATGTCACTGCTTCTGGGCCCTATTAGCAGACAGGGTTTGGAAACGTATGTATAAACATAAACTAAGGTGTGCACACATATCTCCTTCTCTCTCTCTCTCTCTGGATGGATATATTGCAATAGAAATGTTTATTCTGATATTTCCAGCTCCAGATCAGCATGACAGGGTTCATTATAGTATACCCTTTTTATTTTCAACTTTTTTCAACTAGAGTGAGGAACAGGCACTAATAATCAATCATATATAAATATATACACTAATATGTAAAGCAGTTTCAAAATTGCTAATTCATAGCTTTACAGGAAAAAAAAACCCAACTAGAATACAGTGTTGGTGTACAGCTTTTGAGAATTACAGCATTCAATCAAAACACTGTTTTCCAAAGTGACTCAGGTCAAGAATTTTCATCCCCACCATCTTCAATAGGTTTAGGCCATACATTTGTAGTACGGTTAAACTCATTTATCACCTACTGCATTTCATCTAAATGTCCCAACTTTCTGGTTATTTTTTTCAATTTGCATCAAGGACATTTACTCTTTGTGGTCTACAGTTCAATGTGATTTGTCAACTGTTTAGAGTAACATCCGCCTTCACAGTACCACACAGAACTGTTTCATTATCCCCCGATTCTCTCATGCTGCCCCTTCTTAGCCAACACCTCCCCTCATCCCATTCTTTGGCATCCACTAATCGCTTTTGATCTTTATAATTTTCTTTTTCTACAATATCATATACATATATAGAAACATATAATATGTAGCCTTTTGGATCTGACTTCCTTCGTTTATAGAAATAAACTTAAGATTCATCAGTTTTGTGGTGTGAAGCAATAGTTCCATTTTGTTGAAAAGTAGGATTCGATTCTGTGGCTACATCACAGTTTATTGATCCACCTGTTGGGGGACATCTGGTTTATATTTAGCTTTTTGCAGCATGGCCCTTCCCCAATTCTGAGCATTCTCAAAGCTAGACCATGTATCCTCACCTCTCCCAACCTGCTTCCCCCAAGTGGTTGCTCCTGCTAAGAGGGTCAATGTGCTCCCTCCTGGCCTGGGAAGCTTCTGGACATAGAGGTATCTCCCTAGGGAGCTCCGTCCCACCCAGGAAAATACACTGGGGCAGGCCCAGGACCCAGTGGTAAGCTCAGCTGAATGGATGAGGCAGGACAGGCCTTGGAAGCAGTTTGCTAGGAGGGGAAAGCCAGCTGCCTGCAGAGCTGGGAGCCTCAGAGGCAGCCAAGAGGTATCAGCCCACTAGGATCTGAGACCCTACCCCACTCTCCGAAGAGCTCCAGGGCCTGGCAGGCACCAGGTGAATGAGGATGGCATCCTTGAGGCCCCACCTCTTCCCCTCCTGGTGTCCAGGGCTGCCAGTAACCACTTCCTCACAGCTCAACTCATGTTCCTTCTTGGGGTCTGCCTTCCTGCTGGGACTCCTGGGGAGGCTGGCGTATCATCCCCCAGGAGGGAGGCGCCAGAAGCCCAGGAAAGAAAAGGGAGGCATTCCCCTCTCCAAGTTGGCCTCACTGCCATCCACCCACAGGGACATGACCGTCACATGGAGGAGGACACTGAGGCACAGGTGAGAGCAGTGTGGCAAACACTGAGAAGAGCCAGCTCCCAGGGCTCTGGGCTGCCCTCCTGAGCATCCTGGGGTGGGAGACAGAGACCCCTGGGTGATAGAGACAACCTGTCAGGCTGTGGAAAGGGTTGTTTTCTGAGACAAGGAGACCACAGTGTTTCGATGCTGCCCACTGCCAGATGGTGCCTTCTGAAATGCAGACTGGTAACCCTCAAACTCAAGTCCACAATGCGAGAAACACCTAACACCTGCCTAGGATGGCCAGGTGGGCAGGGGCAAGCAGAAACTCAGGGTGAGGTCACTGGAGAGTGTGGTCCAGGCAGGGTTTGAGGGCTCAGTTGAGGCCAAAAATTCTGATTCCCTCCCGGGTATGCTCCTCTCCTGGGACCTGCTGCCCTGGTGTCCCCCATGTCCATCCCCCTAGCTGAGTCCTCCTCACCTCCTTTCCTGCTCTCCTGTGTGGGCTCAGGGCCTCAGCCCACATAGCATCAGTCCCTAAGTTGTAAATTTCCCCATATTCATTCCACAAAGACCTTTGTCTGCACAAGCACATCTGTCTCTTGGTCCTCCAAAACTAGAAGTCCCATCTCTCTGACCAGCCCTCCACAGCTGGGCAACATCCACCTGCCACTGCTGGAGGCCAAAACACCCCAACATTGTCCCACTGACAGCTCTCTCAAACCCACAGTCCCTCTGCAGGAAATGCTGTAGACATTGCTTTTACAGCTGCCCTCTGCTCCCACTGGGCCAGAGCATTCACCTCTGGGTGCCCTCAACCCTGGAACCACTTGTTCCCTGGCAGCCACCTGAGCCACATGCCCTGCTATCCTCACATCTACAGTAGCCCACCTCTCCAAGGGCTAGCACCAAAGTTCCCAGAGTCCAGCCCTGGCCTCCTCACTGCTCCTGGATCCCCCATAGTCCTGGGCCTCAGTCTCTCCACCTGCAGTATGGGTGCCCCTCCATCACCCCCAGCCTGCCACCCAGAGCCCAGGCCAGGAATCTAGAATCATTTTGATAGCCTGGCCTCTATTCCATCCTGTTGGGACCCGGGCTTTTGGTGTGACCTGAAGGAGATTGTCCACCAGGCATTTGTCCCTCCCCTGCCTGTTGAGGACAGAGCTTGGTGGTGAAAAGCAGGCCCATCCCTGTCTAGCCTGTGTGCTGGAAGCTGATCTCACCTGAGTCTTCAGCCTCATTCTTCAATCTTTCTCACCTCCCAAGGATGCAGCACCTACAATGCAGGAGAGGGTGGGGGGTGGGCAGTGGCCCCATGATGGCCCATATCTAAGAGCCTGCTGCTTCTCAGCTGGAATGTGCATCTTTCCCTCCCAGGGCTCAGACCCTGACCTGCCCCCAGAGAACCCCAGGTGCCTCTCATGGGCTGGGCTGGGGCCCCTCATTCACACAGCACTTCCCGGGGATGCTCTTATCTCTACCAACAAACAGCAATACCCTAGGGCAGGGATGCTGCAGCCATACCTCCTGAGACCCCCTAGCCACCCCTGGGCCATGTACCCACTCAGGGAACTTAGTGGCCTTGGTAGGCAAACACCTGTCACGCACACACTGAAGGGGCACAGTGTAAGTGGGCGAGCAGCTGCCAACAGCTGTTGGCCCTGGCACCCTCAGGGATGGTGATCAGCACTGCAGTAGCTGGGGCCCTTCCAGCCTGCAGTTTAGTACACCACCCCTGAGCCATCCTTGACCCAGACAGTGGGCCTCACAAAACTACCTCCAGATGGGAGGCAGCTGAGCTCCATGTTGTCCCTGCAGTGAAAGACCAGCTGTTCCTACTGGTTTCGACCAGGCTTGGGACCTCTTTGGGTGAGATACGACACATGAGGAAGGTACCCCGAAACCTGGCACACCAGCCCTTGACCCCCCCACCCATGGGAGGCACAGTGGGCATTCCCACATTACACACACACCAGCAAAGGCCACAGCAGACCCTGAGAGAAGAAGGATGTGACCAAGAGCCTAGGTTTCCACCACACAACCCCCAAATCAGGGTCAGAGTTCAACATTTTTCATTTTGCCAACCTACCTCTGTTCTAGGGGCTCAACTCTGTCACTATAGCATGACAGAATCTCACAGATAGCCTGAGAATGAACGGACATGGCTGCACGCCCATAAAACTTCACTGATGGACATGAAAAATGTTGATTTCAAAGGTCGTGAAGTATGATTCTTCTTTTGATTTGTTTGAACATTTGGAAATGTAAAATTCATTCTTGGCTCATGGGCCATAAAAGAGCAGGTGGGGACAGGTTGCATTTTTCTGACCTTTGGCAAAAATGGAGCTCAGAGCAGGGAAAGATGGGGTGGGGCAAACCTAACCTCCTCACAGCAGAGATTTACCCAGGAGGGGTCCCTCTCAGCACCCCATTTCCCATCCTTCATCTTGGCTTCAGGAGCAGTTCAGGTGGAGAGTGAGGGATCAGAACAGGCCTTAGCAACAAGAAGAAAGGAGTTACAGGGCCAGGCAGGCATGTAGATGGAGCTCACTCAGCAGTGCATGCTCCAGGAGCCTTTCCATTAAGCTGAGCACAGGATTGACCAGACCTGGCAGTGCCTGGGGTGGGGCTTTCCGGTATGGGCAAGGCTCTGCACCCTGCATCTTAGATGGAAATTCCACACAGCAGTTGGTTACAGAAGAAACACACTGAAGAAAAGAGCAAAGTACAAATAGGACACCAGGTCTTGCTAGTTGGGTCTCAAAGGCCAGTGGGGTGAGGAGGCCCAGGTGGGCCCACAGGGCAGACTGGTGGTGGGCTTCTGCCTGCAGAGGGACTGGGATCTCTGTCTCACAGAGGATAATGCAGGCTGTTGGGAGGAAGCTGTTAGAATAACCAGGGGAGCACAGCAGAGCTGGAGCAACAGAGCAGGTGAAGACCCTGGCTGCTTCTACCTGAGGGCAGAGAAGCTGGGGTGGGAGCACATCCCCAGGGGCAGAGGCACACAGGTGGCTGCTGGACACTGTTG